>NC_000014.9:103247715-103550715 GCF_000001405.40 Homo sapiens
GATCCACCCACCTCGGCCTCCCAAAGTGCTGGGATTACAGGCATGAGCCGCTGAGTTCAGCCGAGAGTACACCTTTTGAGCCATCATGGGTGATGGTTTCCAGGAATATTATTTTTCCATGAAATTGTTTTTCCATGAAATCGTTTTATCTGACTCCAGTGAGTTGACTCATGAACATATTGTAAAAAGGGTAACCAAAGTCGCGAGAGAAGAATTGGTCTATCACTGAACTGTACCATAAACCCATTTCAGGAGAGGACGTGACATCCCCCTCTTACTTTTCCAAAGCTTTAACTCTTTTTCAGGGCCTTTCTCTGTGCTTTCTTCAGCGAGGTTTTTTTGTTTTGTTTTGTTTTTGAGATGGAGTCTCACTCTGTCTTCCAGCCTGGAGTGCAGTCGCGCAATCTCAGCTCACTGCAACCTCTGCCTCCTGGGTTCAAGCGATTCTCCTGCCTCAGCCTCCCGGGTAGCTGGAATTACAGGTATGCACCACCACGCCTGGCTAATTTTTGTATTTTTAGTAGAGACAGGGTTTCACCATGTTGGCCAGGCTGGTCTTGGACTCCTGGCCTCAAGTGATCTGCCCGCCTTGGCCTCCCAAAGTGCAGGAATTACAGGCATGAGCCACCGTGCTTGGCCTCCTTCAGCAAAGTTTTAATTGGAGCATATGCTTGCAGGGATAGCTCGAGATGTATAGTTTTTGGGTGAGGAAAGACACTTCAGCAACAGTTTTGGTCACAGCCTCTGTGAAACAGTTGCTCTTACCATCAAAAGTGTCTGGCTTCCGATGTCTAGGAATTTTGATAAGGGCCAGTGATTTCAGTTTCTGAATGACCTCCAAGAGATCAAAGGCCTGTTGGCCATTTTTAAGGGATTGTCTGGAAGAAGTCAGGAATCTACGTTATTTCCGGAGCATCCCCAAATCACGTGCTGTTGTAAATGCGCCTCTGCTCTCTGTGTAAACTTCAGCAACCTTGCTTTCTGCGCATCGACAGGCTCTGGCTAAGGCAATCAGTTTTGCTGGGTGGGCCAACTTTGCCTCTGGGAGAGGGTTGTCTTTTAGGACTTCAGTCACAGAGACAGCTGCATCACCTTGCAGTGTTTTCCAGAATTGCCATTTAATTAGGGGCCATCAGTAAACCAAATTACATCAGCATCCTCTGTAGGCATCTCCTGTGAGTTCTGCCTAGGAGTGAGAATTTGCTGGGTCACGGCAATACAGCCAGGGAGCAGCCCATCAGAAGGCAATGGCAGCACAGTAGCAGGGCTAAGATCCCTACAGTGAGAGAGTAATGTGAGGTGAAGGCAAGGGAAGAACTCCACATAAAGAAGCCTGTGGCAAGAGTGATGCTGCAAATGATGAGTGGCTGAAATTATTCTCCCAATGTATGTGGGTGCTTGTGACCGTAAGTGGTGAGGCAGGGTTTGCCATAAGTTGCTCACATCATCCATTGGTTCCGAATTCAAAATATTTTCTTTCTTTTTTTTATTTTTTTGAGACAGAATTTTGCTCTATTGCCTGGGCTGGAGTGCAGTGGCACAATCTCAGCTCACTGCAACCTCCACTTCCTGGGTTCAAGCGATTCTCCTGCCTCAGCCTCCCGAGTATCTGGGATTACAAGCACGCACCACCACACCTGGCTAATTTTTGTATTTTTAGTAGAGATGGGGTTTCGCCATGTTGACCAGGCTGGTCTTGAGCTTCTGACCTCAGGTGATCCATCTGCCTTGGCCTCCCAAAGTGCTGGGATTACAGGCGTGAGCCTCCATGCCCGGCCTCAGGCATTTCTTTGCAGCAATGCAAAAATAGTCTCATGCAGTCCCTATTTGAAATTCTGAAACTTGGGCCTTACAGTCATGGGTGGGTTAGGCACTCCCACCATTTCAGTGGTTTCGTTCCTCTGAGGAAGGGGACAGTTATATATGATGGGGTTGAGAACAGAGAAGACAGCTCTGGTGTCAGTGAGAGCAGGAGTCTCTTCACTCAGCAGTGGATCCACTCCTCCTAATGGGAGAGGAAGGAGAAATAGAAACGCCCCCTTCGGCTCCCCAGAGCAGCTGTTTCTCTTGGGTGGTTTTTCTCTCCTGTTGCCATTTAAGTTGTTTGCAATCTTTTTAAAGGTGACTTTGTTTCTTGCAAGAGAAGCAGACCCCTCTTTGGTCATGTGGGCTTATCTGCATCTTCTTAAGAGGTTGGGTCTGGCAAGTCAGCTGCTGGAGCTGCCTTCGTTGAAAGAAGCGGGTTGACCAGAAGATCTGCAAGAGTGCTGTGGGATTTGCTGAGCCTCTTCCTCTGGCGGAGGAGGGATAGGAGAGATGGTAACCAGAGCATGGAAGGCCTGACAAAAGTGGATGTAGAGGTGTGGGAGGAGGCAACAGGAGAGCAGTGGAAGGAGAAAGAGAAGACATTTTCAAGGTTTTCTTTAGTTGTGAAATTGTTTCTGACAATTTTTTGCTTATCTCCTGGACGGAAGCCATTTTTTCCATACCTCTCTTAGAAGCTTCTACCTACCGTTAAAATAGGACTGCTGTTCAATTTGTCTGGTTCTAAAACCTGCTAATTGTATGCACAAACATATTAACTTAGAAATTTCCAAAGACCCCGATTTTGGCCATTGAAATTTGGGGTCATCCTGAGTCATGTGGGTGCATCTGGCTGGGTGTCCACAGCATGGCGCTCTACAGGGGTGACCCACAAACCCGGCTGGTGCTTCCAAGGGGGATTGCCCCTTAAAGGAAAGCTCAGTTTTTGACAACCATTTTCCCATACTTTTAGAAATTCCTTCTCAAAAGTGATCAAGGCTGGAACAGAGCTTCTGGTTGAAGTGTGCTACTTGCAAGCGTCACTCCCTAAGGTCCCAGTGACACCGTGATTGACTGTCTTATGTGTCTCAGAATCCCTGGTCCCCTTGCAGTGGTAGAGTGCTAAAGGCGCCAGGTGACCAGCCCTTATGTGCACCTTCCAGCTGGGGTCTGTCCTGCAGGGAGGCCCTCTCAGACTGCTACACATCATGGACAAACATCCCAACACCCCCATAAAATCTCTAGTCCCCTGCAGCACCCAGCTGGGTTTGGAGGGAGCAAGTGTCTCTTAACTTCCAGGTGAGAGAACTCACCCTCATGCACCCTTTGGTTTGAAACTAGCAGGAATTGGTCACAATTGAAAAGACGAGTCCAAATTACCAGCAATAGGAAACAGCTACAATTTTAAAATCATGCTATGTAACTTTAGGTCAAAAAAAGTGAAATCACCAGTGCTAGTGAAACCACCTTTGCAAAAAAGATAACAATGAGGAAATTATGATGGTGAAAGAGATCTGACCTAACCAGCTCCATCTTACCTTTCACCTCCAAGCTGCCCTTGTTCATTCCTGAGTGTAGGCCAAAGGAGGAAGGGAGGGATTTATAGCTTAATGTTGAAGCAAAGATAACAGCCTCTCCCCAAAACAAACCCTCTCCTTGCCTGGGGATCAGACAGCCTTTGTAGAACTAACAAATGAGCCACAGATGAGAAATTTTGGCTCAGGAGTCACGCGGCCAGAGGCCACAAGATTCCTCACCTCCCCAGTTGCCCCCATAGGTAACGTTACTATTATGAAACCTAAGGTTGGTGTTTGAGGTGTTTTTCAGACCCTGCATTCTGATGGGTCAGCTGAGGCTACACTGACTGGTGAACTGGCTCATCTCGTCTTATGATCCCCACTCAAGAACCAACTCAGCCCAAGAGGACAGCTTCGACTCCCGGCGGTTTCATCCCCGACCCAAGCAGTCAGCACTCCCACTTCCCATCCTCCTGCCCACCAAACTATCTTTAAAAAAATCCTAAACTTTGAATTTTCAGGGAGGCTGATTTGAGTAGCAATAAAACTTTAGTTTCCTGTTTAGCCGATGACAACATGTATTAAACTGTTTTTATTTATTTATTTATTTATTTATTTATGAGATAGAGTTTCACTCTTGTTGCCCAGGCTGGAGTGCAATGGCGTGATCTCGGCTCATGACAACCTCTGTCTCCTGGGTTCAAGTGATTTTCCTGCCTCAGCCTCCCGAGTAGCTGGGATTACAAGCATGCGCCACCATGCCTGGCTAATTTTGTATTTTTAGTAGAGATGGGGTTTCTCCATGTTGGTCAGGCTGGTCTCAAACTCCCGACCTCAGGTGATCTGCCCCCCTCAGCCTCCCAAAGTGCTGGGATTACAGGCATGAGCCACTGTGCCCGGCCTTAAACTCTTTCTTTCTCTGTTGCAATTCCCTGTCTTGATAAATTGGCTTCCTCTGAACAGTGGGCAAGAGGAACCCATTGGGCAGTTACACTAGACTCCAACACTGTAACCCAAAACGCTGCCATGAGGCTGAGGAGAAGACAGACATTCTCTGCAGAGCTTTTGCCTAAATCTCCTGTCCAGAGACAGAGACAGAAGCCCTCACTCTTGCAGGAAAGAAAGGATTTGGAAAACAGCCCAAATAAAGTTTCAACTTCTTCACAACAGCCAAAATTTGGAAGCAACCTACATGTCCATCAACAGAGGTACTTACACAATGGAGTACTATTCAGCCATAAAAAAGAATGAGATCCTGTCATTTTCAAAAACATGGATGGACTAGAAGTCATTATGATAAATGAAATAACCCAGTCTCAGAAAGACAAACATCGCGTGTTCTCATTTATTTGTGGGATCTAAAAGTCAAAACAATTGAACTCGTGGAGACAGAGAGTAGAAGGATGATTACCAGAGGCTAAGAAGGGTAGTGGGAGGGTGAAGGGGAGGTGGGTTCATGGATACAAAACAAATAGTTAGAAAGAATGAATAAGACCTAGTATTTGATAGCACAAAAGGGGGACTATAGTCAATAATAATTTAATTTTACATTTTAAAATAACAAAAAGAGTATAATTGAATTGTTTGTAACATAAAGTATAAATGCTTGTGGGACTGGATACCCCATTTTCCATGATAAGATTATTACATGTTGCATGTCTGTGTCAAAACATCTTATGTTCTGCATAAATATATACACCTATATGTCCACAAAAAATAAAAATTAAAAATTAGAAAAAGATCTAGACCTCAACCAAAAGGAAGGGAGGTCTGAATTCAGGACTCAACCTTTGCACGCAAGGAAACCTCTGGAGTCAGAGGAACACAGAGTGTTTATACTGGTTCGGATTGCTGAGTGTGAGAGGGAATGCCAGTTGGCTGCAAGGGAGGAATAGAGCTGAATCCTCCAGACAACACCAGAAATGCCAACCAAAATTAAGAAACTGAGGCCCCAGGCACGGTGGCTCATGCCTGTAATCCCAGCACTTTGGGAGGCCAAGGCAGGAGGATCACCTGAGGTCAGGAGTTCAAGACCAGCCTGGCCAACATGGTGAAATCCCGTCTCTACTAAAAATACAAAAATTAGCCAGGCATGGTGGCGGGCACCTATAATCCCAGCTACTCGGGCGGCTGAGGCAAGAGAATCACCTGAACCTGGGGGGCGGAGGTTGCAGTGAGGCAAGATCGCGCCACTGCACTCCAGCCTGGGCGACAGAATGAAACTTTGTAAAAAAAAAAAAAGAAAGAAAGAGAGAGAGAAAGAGGGAAAGAGAGAGAGAGAGAGAAAGAGAGAAAGAGAGAAAGAAAGAAAGAAAAGAAAGAAAGAAAGAAAGAAAGAAAGAAAGAAAGAAAGAAAGAAAGAAAGAAAGAAAAGAAAGAAAGAAAGAAAAGGTATCCCATGGTAATCCCATGGTGAGATCCTATGGTGAGATCATAGCTCACTGCAGCCTGGAACTCCTGGGCTCAAGTGATCCTCCCACCTCTGCCTCTAGTCCTAGTCTTTGAGTAGCTAGGACTGTAGGTGCATGCCACTATGCCTGGCTTTTTTTTTTTTTTAATAGAGATAGGGTCTCACTCTGTTACACAGGCTAGAGGGCAGTGGTATGATCACAGCTAACTGCAGCCTGGAACTCCTGGGCTCAAGCCCTCCTCCCAATCCTTGGCCTCACAAAGCACCGGGATTACGTGTGCGAGCCGCCAAACTCAGCCACAAGTCAGTATTTAAAGGAAAAATGGGGCAGTTCCTAAGTTGTTTACCAAAAATTTTTATTGTTTCATTAAAATAACCTATTGATTTATTAGACATCGTTCTTTGTATCACAAATTCCAGGAGCATGAAGATAATGGGTGAGGCTCACATTGTGCAACTTGTGGTAATATTTTAGGTAATTTATTAGCTAGCCTGGAAACTACAGGGAAGGAAAGAAAAAAACAAAGCCCTTAAACAGTTACCCCTGGGCATGGCTGCGGGGGTGTGACTGAGGTCCCATGCTCCTGTCCCTCTGGACCTGATACATTTTGCAGACCCCCCCCCATTCCTCAGGCTGTTCTGAGCCACTTTTCTTTATCAGTTGACAAGGATGCACACCCATGTACTCTTTGTGTCTGGCTTATTCACTCACAATTAAACTTATTCACTCACTTGCTGGAAGTTGCCAGGTCATAGGGTTTGGGTAGGTTCAGCTTTAGAACACACTGCCAAACAGTTTCTCCAGGTGTTTGTACAAAGTGCACTCCCGGCCGGGTGCGGTGGCTCACGCCTGTAATCCCAGCACTTTGGGAGGCAGAGGCGGGTGGATCACGAGGTCAGGAGATCAAGACCATCCTGGCTAACATGGTGAAACCCTGTGTCTACTAAAAATACAAAAAAATTAGCCGGGCGTGGTGGCGGGCACCTGTAGTCCCAGCTACTCGGGAGGCTGAGGCAGGAGAATCACCAGAACCCAGGAGGCGGACGGTGCAGTGAGCCAAGATCGTGCGCCACTGCACTCCCGCCTGGCGACAGAACGAGACTCTGTCTCAAAAAAAAAAAAAAGAAAAAAAGTGCACTCCCACCAGCAAAGTGAGATGCCTCTGGGTGCTGGGTATCCTGGTGAACACTTGGTATTCTCAGTTGCTCAGCTGGTGGCGGGTGCGTGATTGTATCACTGCTTTGTAGATTTGAGGCTGCTGGGGATAGCATTCGACATCCAAGACCTGCCTAAGGAGAGGAATCTAATAAGTCTCAGAAAGTTTCAAACTCTTTATTTTCACTCAGTTTTCAAAGACATATGTTAATTAACTGTCCATTACACTGCAGACTGACTGAGCTGGGCTCCCTCTGTTTCTATATGCAATTAAGTTACTCAGGAAACACTTTCTTTTTTAAAAGCTTTGATAAATAGGTTATAAGTATATTTAAAACTACATGGAAATTAAAATGTTATTGCTGTATGCAATGCTATAAATGAGATAAAACATGCAAATCTGATGGAATTCTGTGCCAAATAGCTAGTCTTTCTTTCTTTCTTTTTTTTTGTTTTTTTTCCCGAGACAGAATCTTGCTCTGTGGCCCCGGCTGGAGTGCAGTGGCGCAATCTCAGGTGACTGCAACCTCCACCTCCTGGGTTCAAGCAATTATCCTGCCTCAGCCTCCCAAGTAGCTGGGACTACAGGTGCGTGCCACCACACCCCGCTAATTTTTTGTACTTTTTTTTTTTTTTTGAAACAGAGTCTTGCTCTGTTGCCCAGGCTGGAGTGCAGTGGTGCGATCTCGGCTCACTGCAAGCTCTGCCTCCCGGGTTCACGCCATTCTCTTGCCTCAGCCTCCCGAGTAGCTGGGACTACAGGTGCCTGCCACCACGCCTGGCTAATTTTTTGTATTTTTAGTAGAGACGGGGTTTCACCGTGTTAGCCAGGATGGTCTCGATCTCCTGACCTCGTGATCCACCCGCCTCTGCCTCCCAAAGTGCTGGGATTACAGGCGTGAGTCACCGTGCCTGGCCATTTTTTTGTATTCTTAGTAGAGACAGGGTTTCAGCATATTGGCCAGGCTGGTCTCAAGCTCCTGACCTCGTGATCAGCCTGCCTCGACCTCCCAAAGTGCTGGGATTACAGGCATGAGCCACTGTGCCCGGCCAATATCTTTCAAATAGCAAAAGTAACTCTCAGAACACAGTCTATGCAAATCACAGCACAAAGTGCTCCAGCAGGAGGGACCTGTTCTGTCCACCTATGTCAGCATGATCTGCAGTGATCAGGCAGCCTTGCCATGGGGCAGCAGAAGTGAGAAACCCTGCCATGGGGCAGCAGAGGTGAGACACCATTCCAGGAAATAGATCGAAACTCCAGTGTGTACTAATGGATACTACCCACTGGCTGAAGGCTTGAAACTACCTTTGCAAAATTCTGACAGAAAGGGAAATCTGACATAGCTAACTCCATCTTGCTGTTCTGTGCAGGAAAAGTGCGAGGGGAGAAGAAAAGACACACACACAATACCTTTAAGTGTAAACAACCTTCATCTTACGTGGCAATGCAGATATAATAAGCAAATTATATAATAAGCAAATAATATAATAAGCAAATTCATATAATAAGCAAATTGCAGTGGGAAAGGGAGAAGGCAAAATATATATCCATATGTGTGTGTATATATATATTTTTTTTTTTTTTCGGAGATGGAGTCTTACTCTGTCACCTAGGCTGTAGTGCAGTGGTGTGATCTCAGCTCACTGCAACCTCAATCTCCCGAGTTCAAGCTATTCTCCTGCCTCAGCCTCCTGAATAACTGGGACTACAGGCGTGCGCCACCACACCCAGCTAATTTTTGTATTTTTAGTAGAGACAGGGTTTCCCCATGTTAGCCAGGCTGGTCTCGAACTCCTGACCTCAGGCAATCCGCCTCCCAAAGTGCTGGGGTTACAGGCGTGAGCCACTGTGCCCAGCCAAGATAGATATATATATTTACACTCACCAGGCTATGGAGGATTCACTGCCAGACCGGGAAGCAACAGCCTGGGCTCCAGAGTTGGCCACCCGTCTGTGCACAGACAAGGAGAGGTCTCATGAAGCTTCGATGTGGTCTGGGGTCCTAGCTCTTTTTGTAACGAGCTGTTTGGCGTGAGGCCCAGTCACGAGGGGCCTTTGTGACTGGGCTCAAGGAACACAAAAGGGCCAACTTGCTTTTGCAATTTTCTATTGTTTTTCAATAACTAATGTATAGGAATAGATTGAATTAGAGATTTCTCCAAAACAGCGCTGGATAAACGCCTCAAGGGGCTCACACAACCCGTTTGGGGACTTGGTGGCCATTGTTTGTGTCCATGTTCAATTGAGTTCAAATTTAATGTTTAACTTTTCCTCCACACTTGCCTCTAACCTCCAAGTTGTCCTTGTTCATTTCTGGGCAAAAGCCAAGCTAACTTCGGGAGGAATTTAGTTTATAGTTTAACACTGAAGCAAGGATGATAATAGCCCTTCCAAAACTATCTCCTCTTCATTCAGGAACCAAAACTGTCTTTGTAAAACTAACGAAAGACCCCAAGATTAGAATTATGGCTCAGGAGTCAGGTAGCCAGAGATCACAAGACTTGTAACCTCCCCAGTTGCTCCTATAGATAACATAATTGAAAAACTAAGATTCGTGTCTGATGTATTTTTCAGACCCTGTATTCTGATGGATCAGTTAGAGCCACCTGGATCAGTAGCCCATACCAAGAAGCTGGCTCATCTGGTCTTGTGATCCTACCCAAGAACTGACTCACTGCAAGAAGACAGCTTCAGTCGCATGATTTTTATCTCTGATCCAACCAATTGTTATCCCCATTCCCTAGCCCCATGCCCACCAAACTATCCTTGAAAAACCCTAGGCTCCCAGCTTTCAGAGAGGCTGATTTGCATAATAAGCTCTGGTATACCACATGGCTAGCCTTGCACTGATTAAACTCTTTCTCTACTGCACTACTACTGTCTTCATAAATTGGCTGTCCTGTGCAGCTGGCAAAATTCCATTGGGCAATTACAGGCTCAGCTCATTCTCCATTATAATTTTGTTTAAAAATGGGCCAGGCGAGTGACTCATGTCTGTAATCCCAGCACTGTGGGAGGCCAGGATGGGAGGATCACCTGAGCCCAGGAGTTCAAGACCAGCCTGGGCAAATAGTGGAATCTCATCTCCACAAAAAATTTTGTTAGAAGTTAGCCAAGTGTGGTGGCATACAACAGCTGTCCCAGTTACTCAGGAGGGTAAGGTGGGAGGATCACGTGAGCCCAGAAGGTCAAGGCTGCAGTGAGCCATGACTGCATAAATGCACTCCAGCCTGAGTAACAGAGTGAGATCCTGCCTCAAAAAAAAATTATAAAAAAAGGTATAAAAATGACAGCCGACTCTATGAATATACTAAAACCAGTGAATTGTACACTTTATACAAATGAAATAGCACCAAGTACGGGTGTTGCTTAAAAGGACACCTTTGGATCCTTCATAGGATGTCACCATTAGAGGATCTGGGGAGAATATAGGACTCTATTATTTGCAACTTCCTGTGAGTCTATAATTTTTCAAAATAAAAGTTTAAAAATGGGTTAGATAATAACAAATCTCAGTATTTACTAACTCCAATAGAATAATTGGAGAAATCAGTCAAAATATTTAAAAGTGACCCTGGCCCCATTTTCCAGCACATGCCCAAGGTCCTGGGTGCTGAGGGAGCCGTGGGTCCTCCTTCCCTGGGGTGGAGCCTTCTCTGTCCCTGGGCTCCTGGCACAGACTCCCTCCAGGACCCAGATGGGGTGGGCGGGGTCCTCACACTGTGCCCTCTCCCCACCCTGCCCGCCCCAGCTCAGGGCCGGAATCCAGGGATCCCAGGCTGGGTCCCACCCACGGTCATATCTCCCTGTGGCTCCTGGTCTCTACTGCACCCCCAGCCTCGGCACTGGGTTGACCCTGGAAGGCCTCCTGGGTGCAGGAAGGGGTGGGACCCTTGTCTTTACTCGCATGTGGCGGCATCCCCCTGGCAGCGGGAAGGGCCCTCCCCTGGACACATCTGTGCAGGTTCCAATAACCAGTCACACGGGAGCGTTTGGGCGCAGCATTAAAAAAATGCTCCGAGTTAATTTCCTGGGCCCAGCTCCTTTCCACTCTGGATTTCAGCCTCTTAGGAGAATAAGCCAGCGAAGTGGGGTTGGGCCGCAGACACAGGAGTGGGAGAAAAGTGGAGGGGAGGGTCCATGTAGTCAGACCAATACTCCCACTGAAACCAGATCATATGGTGGACTCAGTGTTTTAATGCTGTGGTTTTGGCCAGGCATGGTGTCTCCCATCTGTAATCCTGGCACTTTGGGAGGCTGAGGCAGGTGGGTCGCTTGAGCCCAGGAGCTCGAGATCAGCCTGGGCAACATAGCCAGACCCTGTCTCTAAAAAAAAAAAAGTTTTTAATTAGCCGGGTGTGGTAGTGCACACCTGTAGCCTCAGCTACTGGAGAGGCTGAGGCAGGAAGATGGCTTGAGCTCAGCAGGTCAAGGCTACAGTGAGCCATGGTCACACCACTGTACTCCAGCCTGGGCAACAAAGAGAGATTTTGTCTCAAAAAAAAAAAAAGTGTCTTTTTAAAAAACTGGAATGCTGGCAAGATAATCACCAGACCCAATGGAAGGGAAGCAGGACTCTGTGGGGTCAGCCAAGCAGGAGGACCCAGGAGAGTTTAGGGGGTGAATGAGAACATTGATTCCCATGGGCTCTGGGGGAGGGAAAACAACACAACCCTTGGGTCCTGGAGTGGGGTGTCTACGGGAAATCCCCTCCACGCTGTACTGGGCGCACAAAGGGAGTTCGCCCAGAAGCACGTGCACAGCCTCTGGGGCGGGCGCCTGCATTGCACCCCTCAAAATATTGCTACCATGATGTGCAAGGACAAGGTGGGGCACAAAGGTAGCCAAGCACCAAAGACAGAAGCCAGGACAAAGAGGGGCTCCAGACCACAGAAACATGCCCACCGGGCGGCAGAGCAGGGGACAGACTCTGTGCCCCCGTACTTCTATTCCATGTCCTGGGTCTCACCTCACACCTTTCTTGCAGTTCATGTGTCTCTCACTGTGTCCACAATGATATTCTACACATCCAGAAGGGTTTGTAGTAATTATAGGGTTTTTTGTTTCTATAACTCATATTTATTTATTTTTATTGGTACACAATAATTGTACATATTTATGGGGTACGTGGGATATTGTAATACATGCATACAATCTGTAATGATCAGATCAGGGTATTAGGATATTCATCGTCTCAAATGTTTGTCACTTTTTTTTTTGAGATGGAGTCTTGCTCTGTCACCCAGGCTGGAGTGCGGTGGCACGATCTCAGCTACTGCAACCTCTGCCTCCCAGATTCAAGTGATTCCCCTGCCTCAGTTTCCCAAGTAGCTGGAACTACAGGTGCGCGCCACCATGCCCAGCTAATTTTTGTGTTTTTAGTGGAGACAGGGGTCTCGCCGCATTGGCCAGACTGGTCTCAAACACTTGACCTCAAGTGATCCACCCGCCTTGGCCTCCCAAAGTGCTGGGATTATAGGTGTGAGCCATGTGGAGGAAAAGTTAAATATTAAATTTGAACTCCATTGAACTTGAACACAAGGAATGGTTATGTGCCAGTAAATAGCCTCTGGGCATCTGCCTGGGAGCTAATAACCTATACTGATTGTTCTGGTAAGGTACATTTTCTACCTTAAGGCAAACAAACAACAGAATCTACAGAATAGGCTAACCTTCCTGTATTCCCTGAGTCCAGTCATGAAGGGCCCTCGTGCCTGGGGCTCAGGCCAAAAAAGGAATACTACAAAAGGGTGAGGGTCCCAGACCCCGCCGAAGCTCCGCAAGAACTCTCCTCGTCTGTGCGCGGACGGGCGGCCGACTCTGGAGCCCAGGCTGCTGCTTCCCTGTCTGGTGATGCTTCCTCCATAGTCCAGTGGGTGTAAATATATACAGATATATCTTTTCTTGTCCCTTTCCCACTGTGATTTGCTTATTATATTTGTGTTGCCATATACTTGGGATGAAGGCTGTTTGCCCTTAAAAGTATCGTGTGTGCCTTTTCTTCACCCCCCGGGCATTTCCCACACAGAAACTTTTGGTATCAGGAACAGGATTCGAAAACGAAAGTATGCCACTTTCCAGTCGCAGGGACTGGGCTGGAGGCTCGGGGACTTCCCACATCCCGGGATGGGAACTTCCCCAGTTCTCCCCCTCGGCGACTGAATAGTCCAGGGGAACTGGCTTTTGTGAAAATTGGGAATCTAAGTTAGTGCATTTTGAACTGTTGGCTGTGTGTGAGGTGCTGCAGGAAATTCTAGTTTGATAAGGGGATGCCGAGGGAATTTCCTGGCATGGATGCTGCTTGCTTACTGCTTATAAGTTAATGTGTCAAGATAGGGACCGGTTGCTACAAAAGAAATGTAAGCTGGAAAAGGAAAATGCTAATTTGACTTCCAGACTGGCCCTGGCCCAATGCCAGGCCTATGTCTTGACTGATCAAGCTCAAAGCTAGTAATGCTTCCTCCATAGTCTGGTGGGTGTAAATATATATAGACATAGCTCTTCTTCTCCCTTTCCCACTGCGATTTGCTTATTATGTCTGTATTGCCATATACTTGGAATAAAGGTGTTTACCCTTAATAGTATTGTGTATTGTGCCCTTTCTTCTCCCCTCTCGCGTCTCCCACACAGAACAATGTCCAGCAGTATTTTTTAGTAACTACAGTTTTTTTTCTAGAATTCATATTTATTTTGTTGGTACACAATAATTGTACATATTTATGGGGGACATGGGATATTGTAATACATGCATACAATTTATAATGATCAAATCAGGGTATTAGAATATTCATCACCTCAAATATTTGCCATTTCTATGTGTTGGGAACATTTCATATCTTCTCTTCTAGCTTTTTTTTTTTTTTTCCTTGAGATGAAGTCTTGCTCTGTCTCAGACTGGAGTGCAGTGGCGCGATCTCGGCTAACTGCAAACTCCGCCTCCCGGGTTCAAGTAATTCTTTTGCCTCAGCCTCCCAAGTAGCTGGGACTACAAGCATACACCACCACACCTGGCTAAGTTTTGTATTTTTAGTAGAGATAGGGTTCCACCGTGTTGGCCAGCCTGGTCTCAAACTCCTGACCTCAAGTGATCCACCCGCCTCGGCCTCCCAAAGTGCTGGGATTACAGGTGTGAGCCATGGTGCCTGGCCATCTTCTAGCTATTTTGAAGTATACAAGAAATTATTTTTAATTATACTCACCCTACTATGCTATCAAACACTAGAACTTATTCCTTCTAATTGTATGTTTGTACTCAGTAATCAATCTCTCTTCATCCCCACGCTGCACCTTTCCCAGCCTCTGGTAACTTATCTTTCTACTTTCTATCTCTATGAGATCCACTTTTAAAACTCCCACATATGAATGAAAACATGCAATATTTGTCTTTTTGTGCCTGGCTTATTTCAATTCACATAATAACCTCCAGTTCCATCCATGTTGCTGCAAATGACAGCGTTTTATTTTTTATGGGCAAATAGTATTCAAATTGTATACACATACACATATATATTCATCTGTTGCTGGACATATAGGTTGATTCCGTATCTTGGCCACTGTGAATAGTGCTGCACTAAACATGTGAGTGCAGGTATCCCTTTGATATACTGATCTCCTTTCTTTTGGATAAATATCCAGGAGTGGGATTGCTGGATCACATGGTAGTTCTATATTTAGTATTTTGAGAATTCTCCATACTGTTTTTCATAATGGCATGCTAATGTTCATTCCCACCAATGTTGTATAAGAGTTCTCTTTTCTCCGCCACCTCACCAGCATTTATTTGTTGTCTTTTTGAAATAGCCATTCTAACTGGGAGGAGATGATATCTCACTGTGGTTTTAACTTGTAATTCCCTGATGATTAGCGATGTTGAGCATGTTTTCATATACTTGTGGGTCATTTGTATGTCTTCTTTTGCTAAATGTCCATTCAGATCATTTGCCCATTTTAATGTGGTTGTTTTTTGGCTGTTGAGTTGTTTGAATCCTTGTATCTTCTGGATATTAGTCCTTTGTCAGATGAATAGTTTGCCTTCATTATGTTGAGGTATGTTCCCTCTATACTTAATTTGTTGAGAGTTTTTATCATGAAGGGATGTTGAATTTTATCAAATGCTTTTTCTGCATCTATTGAGATGATCATATAGTTTTTATTCTTCATTCTGTTGATGTGATATATCACATTTATTGATGTGTATATGTTGAACCACCCTTGCATCCCTGGAATAAATCCCACTTGATCATGGTGTATTATCTTTTTGATGTGTTGTTGGATTCAGTTTGCTAGTATTTGTTGAAGATTTTTGCGTCTATGTTTATCAGAGATACTGGCCTGTAGTTTTCTCTTTCTTCTTTTGTCATGTCCTTGTCTTATTTTTGATATCAGGGTAATTCTGGCTTCATAGAATGAGTTAGGAAGAATTCCTTCCTCTTCCACTTTTTGGAATAGTTTGAGAAGAATTGATGTTACCTGTTCTTTATAATTTTAGTAAAATTCAGCAGTAAAACCATTTGGTCCTCGGCTTTTCTTTGTTGGAAGATGTTTCATTACTGATTCAATCTCATTACTCATTATTTGTCTGTTCAGGTTTTCTGTTTCTTCCTGGTTCAATCTTAGTAGGATATATATATTCAGGACTTTATTTCCTCTAGGTTTTCCAATTTATTAGTGTATAGTTGTTCATAACAGTCTCTAATGATCCTTTGTATTTCTGTGTGTTCATTGTAATGTCTCCTTTGTCATTTCTGATTTTATTTGGGTCTTCTATTTTTTTTGTTAGTATAGCTAGTGGTTCATCAATTTTTCTTGTATTTTTTAAAAACTAACTTTTTGTTTTGTTGATCCTTTGTATTGATTCTTCATCTTTATTTTGTTTAGTTCTGTTCTGATTTTATTTCTTTCCTTTGGTTGATTTTGGGTTTTATTTGATTTTGCTTTTCCAGTTCCTTGAGGTACATCATCAACTTATTTATTTGAAATCTTTCTATTTTTTAATATAGGCTTTTATTGCTATAAACTTCTCTCTTCACACTGCTTTTGCTGTATCCCATAGGTTTTGGTATGTTGTGTTCCTGTTTTCATTTGTTTTAAGAAATTTTTGGATTTTTATCTTAATTTCCTCATTGACCCAGTGGTCATTCAGGAGCATGGTGTTTAATTTACATGAGTTTATATAGTTCCCAAAGTTCCTCTTGTTATTGACTTCTAGTTTCATTCCAATGTTGTCTGATAAGATATGTGATTGATTTTGACTTTTTAAAATATTTTGAGGCTTGTCTGTGGCGTAACATATGATCTGTCCTGGAGAACGATCCATGTGCTGATGAGAAGAATATATATTCTGCATCTGTCAGGTAAAATGTTCTGTAGATGTGTGTTAGGTTCATTTGGTCTAAAATACAGTTTAAATCTATTTTTTTTGGTTGATTTTCTGTCTAGATTATTTGTTCAATCCTGAGAGTAGGGTGTTAAATTCCCTAACTATTATCGTATCGGAATCTACCTCTCCCTTTAGAACTAATAACATTTACTTTATATATCTGGGTGCTCCAGTGTTGGATGCATATATATTAAGAACTGCTTTACCATCTTGCTTAAATTGATCACTTTATCATTATATAATGACCTTCTTTGTCTCTCTTTATAGTTTTTGACTTAAAGTCTGATTTATCTAAGTATAGCTATTCCTGCTCACTTTTGGGTTTCATTTGCATAGAATATCTTTGTTCATCTCTTCACTTTCAGTCTATATGTGTCTTCACAAGTGAAGTGAGTTTCTTGTAGGCAACATAGAGTTGGGTCCTGTACTTTAATCCATTCAGCCAGTCTATACATGTATATCTATATTTTTTGAGACGGAGTTTCTATCTTGTTACCCAGGCTGGAGTGCAGTGGCACGATCTCAGCTCACAGCAACCTCCTCCTCCCAGATTCAAGAGGTTCTCCTGCCTCAGTCTCCCAAGTAGCTGGGATTACAGGTGTCTACCACCTTGCCGGGCTAATTTTTTTTTTTTTTTTGTATTTTTAGTAGAGACAGGGTTTTGCCATGTTGGCCAAGCTAGTCTTGAACTCCTGGCTTCGGGTGATCTCCCTGTCTCGGCCTCTCAAAGTACTGGAATTACAGGCATGAGCCACTGCACCTGGCACAGTCTATATTTTTTAAATGGAATAGTTTTTTTTTAATGTACAGAGTCTCACTCTGTCACCCAGGCTAGAGTGCAGTGGCACAATCTCATCTCACTGCAACCTCTGACTCCCGGGTTCAAGTAATTCTCATGCCTCAGCCACCTGAGTAGCTTGGATTATATGCATATGCCACAACGCCCAGCTAATTTTTGTAATTTAGTAGAGACAGGGTTTTGTCATGTTGGCCAGGCTGGTCACAAACTCCTGGCCTCAAGTGATCCGCCCACCTTGGCCTCCCAAAGTGCTGGGATTACAGGCATGAGCCACTGCACCCAGCCTTAAGTGGAGAATTTAATCCATTTACTTTCAAAGCTATTATTGATGGGTGAGTACTCATGCCTGTTATTTTGTTAACTGTTTTCTCATTGTTTTGTATATCCTTTCTTCCTCCCTTACTGTTTATCATTGTCATGTGGTGGTTTTTCATAGTGGAAACATTTGACTCCTTTCTCTTTCTCATTTGCATATCTACTCTACCAGTGAGTTTTATACTTTCTGTGTTTTCATGATGATAGGTATCTTCTAGATGTTAGACTCCCTTAAGCATTTCTTATAGGACCAGTCCAGTGGCAATTAGTTCTCTCTGTTTTTGCTCATCTGACAAAGACTATTTCCCTTCATTTTTGAGGGATAGCTTTGCAGGCTATACTATGCTTGACTGGCAGGTTTTTCTTTCAGCATTTTGAATGCATCATCACGTTCCCAGCTTGTGAGGTTTCTTCTGGGAACTCCACTGTTAGTCTGATGAGTATTCCCTTATATGTGACTTGACACTTTACTCTTGCTGTTTTTAACATTCTCTCTCTCTCTCTTTCTCTCACTCTCTCTCTCTCTTTTTGAGACAGGGTCTAACACTGTCACTCAGGCTGAAGTGCAGTGGTATAATCATGGCTCACTGCAGCCTCAACTTCCTGGGCTCAAGTGATCCTCCTGCCTCAGCCTCCCAAGTAGCTGGGACTACAGGTGCATGCCACCACACCCAACTGATTTTTTTATTTTTGTAGAGATGGAACTTGCTCTGTTGCCCAGGCTGGTCTTGAACTCCTGGACTCAAGTTAACCTCCCACCTCAGCCTCCCAAAGTGTTGGGATTACAGGCATGAGCCACCATGCCCAGCCTCTCTTTGCCATTGACATTTGACAGTTTGACCATAATGTGCCTTGAAGAAGACCTTTTTGTTGTGTATTTGAGAATCTTAGAGCTTCCTGTATCTGGATGTCCATATCTCTTGTAAGAGTTGGGACATTTTCAGCTCTTATATCATTAAAAAGGTTTTCTACACTTTTGCCCATCTCTTCTTCAGGAACTCCAAAAAGTTGAATATTTGGCAACTTACGGTGTTTCATATATCATATAGCCTTTCTTCTTATTTTTTACTGTTTTTCTTTTCTTTTCTTTTTTGAGACAGGGTCTTGCTCTATCACCCAGGCTAGAATGCAGTGGTGCAATCTGGGCTCACTGCAACCTTCATCTCCCAGGTGCAAGTGATCCTCCCACCTCAGCCTCCCAAGTAGCTGGGACTACAGGCATGCACCACCACACCTGGCTAATTTTTTGTAATTTTTGTAGAAATGAGGTTTCGCCGTGTTGCCCAGGCTGGTCTCACACTCCTGGGCTCAAGCAATCTACCCACGTGGCCTCCCAAAGTGTTGAGATTACAGACATGAGCCACCACACCCAGCACTCTTTTATTTTTTGTTTGACAAGGCTATTTCAAAAGCCGTGTTTTCAAGTTCCAAAATTATTTCTTCTGCTTGATCTAGTCTATTGTTGAAGCTCTTGATTGTTTTTATTTTATTTTATTCTTCAAACCTGGAACAGAATTCTTCAGTTCCAGGATTCCCATTTGGCATTTTTTAATGATGGCTCTGTTTTTTTTTTTTTTAACTTTTTTCATTTATATCATGAATTGTTTCCCTGATTTCCTTTTTTCTTTTTTTTCTTTGAGATGGAGTCTGGCTCTGTCACCCAGGCTGGAGAGCAGTGGCATGATCTTGGTTCACTGCAACCTCTGCCTCCCCGGTTCAAGTGATTCTCCTGCCTCAGCCTCCCGAGTAGCTGGGATCACAGGCATACGCCACCACACCCAGCTAATTTTTGTGTTTTTAGTAGAGATGAGGTTTCGCCACATTCGCCAGGCTGGTCTCGAACTCTTGACCTCCAGTGATCCACCCGCCTCAGCCTCCCAAAGTACTGGGATTACAGGCTTGAGCCACTCCCCCGGCCCCTGATTTCTCTGTATTGTTTATCTTTGCTGTCTTGTATCTCACTGAGTTTTTAAACTTATTTTGAATTTTTTTGAGCATTTCATCATTTCTTTAGGATCTGTTCCTGGAGAAATATTGTGTTCCTTTGGAGGCGTCACGTTTCCTTTGTGTGTGTGTGTTTCTTGTGTCCTTGTGTTGATATCTGCGCATCTGGTGTAACAGTCATTTCTTCTAATTTTATGGATTGGCTTTTGTAGGGAAAGACATTTTCCTGTAGATACACCGATAATGTTGGTTGGTATTGTAGTCTGTTCTCACATTGCCATAAAGAACTGCCTGAGACTGGGTAATTTATAAAGAGGCTTAATCGGCTCACGTTCCCACAGGCTGTCCAGGAAGCACGGCTGGCTAGGCCTCGGGAGACCTTCCATCATGGTGGAAGGTGAAGGGGAAGCCGGCACATCCTTTGAGGCTGGAGCGGGAGGAAGAGGGTGAAGGGGGAGGTGCCACACACTTTTAAACAACCAGATCTTGTGAGAACTCAGTCACTATCACGAGAACAGCAAGGGGGAAATCCGCCCCCTTGATCCAATCACCTCTGTCCAGACCCCTCCTACAATTTAACATGAGATGTGGCTGGGGACACAAATCCAAACCATTCCATTCTGCCCCAGCCCCTCCCAAATCTCATATCCTTCTCACACTGCAAAATACAATCATCCCTTCTCAACAGTCCCTCACGTCTTAACTCATTTCGGCATTAACTCAAAAGTCCACAGTCCAAAGTCTCATCTGAGACAAGGCCAGTCCCTTCCACCTATGAGCCTGTAAAATCAAAAACAAATTAGTTACTTCCAAGATACAATGGGGGTACAAACATTGACTAAATACTACCAATCCAAAAAGGCAAACTGGCCAAAACAAAGGGGCTACAGGCCCCATGCAAGTTTGAAACCCAGCAGGGCAGTCATTAAATCTTAAAGCTCCAAAATAATCTCCTTCAACCCTGTGTCTCGTATCCAGGCCACATTGGCTCAAGGGGTGGGCTCTGCCCTGTGGCTCTGCAGGATGCAGCCCCCACAGCTGTGGTGGCAATGGGGAGCCAGGTGTGCTGATTTGCAGGCCCCTGGGTGGCATATGCAGGTGCTAATGGTGGTGAGTCCAGATAGGCCAGTCCTTGGGCCTCCAGCTTGCTCAGGCGCCACCAGTAGGCAGGGCAGGTGGGCTCCTGGGCAGTGTGTGTGGCAACAATGGTGGCAGAAGTGATGGTGGGCCAACCCTGGAGCCATCAGGCAGCATGTAGCAGTTGGGTGCTTTTCCATCCATCCCAATCACGGAAAATTCCCGATTCCTGTAGAATTAAAGGAGAATTACGAAGAGAATATCAAGATATGCAATGACAGAGCCTTCTGGGTGTAGCTGCTTCCAGCTACGGGGTTTACGCAATAGAGATATGACCAACAACAATTAGCATCACTTCAGAAAAAGTACTAAAGAGACCACAGAAAGCTTTGTGGAGGCGCTGGCTCACACCTGTAATCCCAGCACTTCGGGAGGCCGAGGCAGATGGATAGCTTGAACCCAGGAGTTCAAGACCAGCCTGGGCAACATGGCAGCAACATCCCCTCTCTACAAAAAAATTTAAAAATTAGGGCCAGGAGCGGTGGCTCACCCCTGTAATCCCAGCACTTCGGGAGGCCACGGCGGGTGGATCCCGAGGTCAGGAGATCAAGGCCATCTTGGCCATCATGGTGAAACCCCATCTCTACTAAAAATAGAAAAAATTAGCTGGGCATGTGCTTGTAGTCCCAGCTAATCGGGAGGCTGAGGCAGGAGAATTGCTTGAACCCGGGAGGTGGAGGTTGCAGTGAGCCGAGATCGTGCCACTGCACGCCAGCCTGGCGACAGAGCAAGAATCTGTCTCAAGAAAGAAAAAAAAAATTAGCCGAGTGTGGTGGCACATGCCTGTAGTCCCTACTACTTGGGAGGCTGAGGTGGAGGATCACCTGAGCCCGAGAGATTGAGACTGCAGTGAGCCGAGTTTGCACCACTGCACTCCAGCCTGGGTGACAAAATGAGACCCTGTCTCAAACAATGAATAAATAAAAGCTTTGCAGCCCAACTAAAGTCTCCAGATTCCTTACTTTAAATGGTTTTAGCAAAATGCTTAGGTTTTATATAGCTAATTGCTTAGGTTTTATATAGCTAATTGCTACAAATGTAACTAAAACCAAGATTGCAGTAGCTCAATGTATAGAACTTACAGATAAGCCAATTTTGTAACCTTGCATTTTGGCTTTGGTTTTTGGCTCTTACATTGCTTAAAGTTTTTCAGGTTAATGAATGTCTGGCTGCCTCCATTCCCATCTGGCCTAAAATGTTTAATTGACTGCAAGTCTTTTGGCTGTAAGACCCTTGGCCATGGGGTTCCGCCGAGGGCCTGGATGGACCTGGGGCAGGGAGCCACACCACCCTGGCAACGATATGGGACAAAATTAAAGTTTAGCCACTGATGCTGCCTCTGGAAAATCTTGACCAAAGTGAGGAAAAGAGACATAAAAATTATATCCTAAGCCCCCAACCAACTGAACTGAGCCCTTCTTGGCCAAGGGGACCCCAGAGATACCTTGAAAACTGAGTTCCAGGCCATGATGGGAACGCAGGTCAGACACGGGAGGGCAGGTCAGACACGCTCCCCTTTCCCTCTCCAGCTGCCCTTAGGCTTTCTCCCCTGCGGACTGCGGTCCACAGACCCCACCCCGACATCAACCAGACTCTGACGCTGCCGCTTCCTTTTGCATTTTCAATACAACCTTACCAACCAGCATCCCCTCCTGATAAGAGACCACCGACCTCAGAGTGGTTCTGGCCAGTCTACGGAGGATGCACAGTGAGGGTTTTCTCTGCTTCCCCTTTTGACATCAGAGGCCCAAAAACTCCACCCTTGGACCATGTGAAGGCTACCATTTTTTGAACGTGGGTCCCATGGAGAGGCATGAAGCTCAACTGTGTATGTTCATATTTCTCCTCTCATAAATATTCATGGATCCTCCTAAAGCTTATTGAATATGTATATTTGGCCACCCTGGTCAATATAAATCCCTGTGTTACCATTCCTACCCTCCAAATATCTGTTTCTAGCTTCCAGCCAGAGGCTATGCTTCCCAGCCTGTCAGAACGGCCACCTTCAGGCTGCAACCCTTTAGGAGGAATAAAGCTATCCTTTCCAAACTAGAAAAAAAAATTACTTGTGGGAGTACTTTGGGTTTTGGGGGGTTGTTTTGAGACAGAGTCTCGCTCTGTCACCCAGGCTGGAGTACAGTGGCGTGATCTCGGCTCACTGCAACCTCCGCCTCCCGGGTTCAAGTGATTCTCCAGCCTCAACCTCCCAAGTAGCGGGGATTACAGGCACATGCCACCACCCCTGGCTAATTTTTGTATTTTTAGTAGAGACGGGGTTTCACCATGTCAGCCAGGCTGGTCTCAAACTCCAGACCTCGTGATCCGCCTGCCTCAGCCTCCCAAAGTGCTGGGATTACAGGTGTGAGTCACCGCGCCTGGCCCAGCAATTCAATATTTTTAAGATTTTTAAAAATATGTATTTTATCCAGTTAGTTGTTCTCATTGGGAAATAGTTTAGCCCAGAGTTACTGGAGACAAGAGTTTTACTCCATGCCTGTCCCCCACCTGATTGCCTAGCTGGAAATAGAGGTCTTTGTTTTTATGAGCTGCCTGAAATCCTAAACAGAAGGAAGTGCCACTCAAAGCTTCCTTTTATAACCAATCCATATCCCAAACTGGCATATTTGGGGGTGGCATTTCCTGAACTTCAGTGTTAAGGATTTCTGCCACAGATGAAGGGGGTGTTCTGCCTGGGGGGTGTCAGGTCGCAGGGCCTGAACACCCTCTTCCCAGCCACCATCTGGGGAGACAGTTCTGCTTTCCAGGTGTTACTGAAAGTACTGAAATTCTTGTGGGGAAACTGAAGAACTGCCTGAGGCCTAAAAGACATACAGCCAGTCCCCGAAAGGAGTGTTGAGGACTGAAGTCTTGCCGGGTCTCAGCGCAGTGAAAGGTTTTTTGGTGTTTGTTTCTTTGTTCATTTTGAGGGGACCTTTTATTCTACCACAATATCACACACAATATAAACTGAATACCAGGGTCCTCCACAAGCCACTGCGCGGGCTAGCATTTTCCCTCGACAAAGCTAGGAAGCTTATACAGATAAAAGTTAGTTTTGAGTTTTCACATTTGATTTTGAAAAATGTTCAAATGCCTAAGGCAGAACTAAAGTCTCAGCTCTGCGAGTCCATGGGCTGTAGAGAATAATAATGCCTGGAATTCACATACAGACACACACACACACACACACACACACACTCCCACACACACCCCCCCACACCCCCCCCACACACACAACCCCCCCCACACACACACACTTCCCACACACACCAAAGCCAAACACCAGCAACCTTCCCAAGGTTTTGTTTGTTTGTTTTTGAGACGGAGTTTCACTCCTGTTGCCCAGGCTGGAGTGCAATGGCGCGATCTCGGCTCACAACAACCTCCGCCTCCTGGGTTCAAGTGATTCTCTTGCCTCAGCCTCCCAAGTAGCTGCGATTACAGGCATGTGCCACCATGCCCGGCTAATTTTGTATTTTTAGTAGAGACAGGGTTTCTCCATGTTGGCCAGGCTGGTCTTGAACTCCCGAACTCAGGTGATCCGTCCACCTCAGCCTCCCAAAGTGCTGGGATTACAGGCCTGAGCTACCACACCCAGCCAATTCCCAAGGTTTTACAAACACAGCTAGAAAGGCAAACAAAAAGAGCATCTTTTCTTTACATAATTTCATTCTGTTTAACATTTGCATTATTGTCAAAATATTCAGGTGTTCAGGGAAAAAATGTTGCTTCAATAAACTACAGGGGAAATAATGCTGTTAGTTGTAGAAGCTGATTTTGCTCCATTCTGACAAAAAAAAAAAACAACACCTTTTGAAAGTACAGGGACATTTCAGCAAGTAGGTCAGGCATTTTATATATGTAAATGAAAAAAAAAACAAATCCACCCAGAAAGCTGCAATTCTAGGTTGTAAATGAATCTAAAACGTGTGAAAAACTGTTCAGTTCAGTGCCCTGAAATCTATTTCAAACATAACTGTAACTCTTACAACATTAAGGCTTAGGTCACTGCCAGGCACAGTGGCTCACGCCTGTAATCCCAGCACTTTGGGAGGCCAAGGCAGGAGGATCACCTGAGGTCAGGAGTTCAAGACCAGCCTGGCCAGTATGGTGAAACCCCGTCTTTACTAAAAATACAAAAATTAGCCGGGCGTGGTGCCGCGTGCCTGTAGTCCCAGCTACTTGGGAGGCTGAGGCAGGATAATTGCTTGAACCCGGGAGGGGAGGCAGAGGTTGCAAGGAGCCCAGATCGCACCACTGCACTCCAGCTTGGGCGACAGAACTAGACTCTGTCTCAAAAAAAAAAAAAAAGTATAAGGGTCACATCATACACAAAAGAGAACACCCATCTCTACAGGAGTGCCGGCTCCAGAGTCTTCGGGGTCTCAGAGAAGACCCAGAAACAAGGTCTCCACGAATTAAAGCACCATCAGGAGAGAAAGACCATCCGGATATAGTCAATCAGTGCGAGGCAGCCACATACACAAGTAACCCTTGTTTAAGCGTCAGTGTACGCATTTTCGGTTACATCTTATACGGCACTATGTACGTGAGTAACGCTTAGCTTCAGTTTAAAAAATACAAGGACGGACACTGATTAAGAAAAGCAATTTTTGGCCGGGCGCGGTGGCTCACGCCTGTAATCCCAGCACTTTGGGAGGCCGAGGCAGGCAGATCACAAGGTCAGGAGATCGAGACCATCCTGGCTAACATGGTGAAACCCCGTCTCTACTAAAAATACAAAAACAAAATAGCCAGGTGTGGTGGCGGGCGCCTGTAGTCCCAGCTACTCGCGAGGCTGAGGCGGGAGAATGGCGTGAACCCGGGAGGCGGAGCTTGCAGTGAGCTGAGATCGCGCCACTGCACTCCAGCCCGGGCGACAGAGCGAGACTCTGTCTCAAAAAAAAAAAAAAAAAAAAAAAAAAAAAAAAAAAAAAAAAAAAAAAAAGGAAAGAAGGAAAGGAAAGGCAAGGAAAAGGCAAGGAAAAGGCAAGGCGGCGCAAGGCGGGGCAAGGCGAGGCAAGGCAAGGCAAGTGGGGCCTGTCCTCCACCTGGGCTCCAGCGGTGACACAGGACGTCCCGCCGCTTCCAGCTTCCGCGTACCTGCGCGCACACCGGGTCCCCCGCGGCCTCGCCCTCGTCCATGACCTCCAGAGCCCCGCGCCGCGCCCCCGCCCGATCCGCGGAGGCCTCCAAGCAGCCGATGCCCTCGCCAAGCCTGGGTGGTCCAGAAGGACGCGCCCGCTCCGGGGCGCAGAGCTCTTGAGGTCGTGGGCGGGCGCAGGGCCCCGGCGGATACTTGGCAGAGGCTTGGGGTCGTGGCGGGGGCGCCTCCCTTCCGGTGCGCGAAAAAGCAAACGCGACGCGCGGGCTGCAGAGACTGGGCCGGGCGGAGGAGACCCCCAGCCTGGGTTGAGCGGGGCGGATCTGGGACTCCGAGGCTTCCTACGTGGGGCGGGTTCCCAGCGGACGCCTCTGCCGCACCCCTGGCGGGGACCCAGCTGCGCCCCTTCCCGCGGCCCTCCTAGGGCCTGGGTGCTTGGAGGCTCGAGGCCCCAAGATCCATGTCGCCCGGAATCCCGGTGCCTAGGCCTTGTCGCGGGCCCTGGGACCAACTCGCGGGGGTCAGGAGCTGGGGGTTGAGAGAAAGATGATCAGGTGGGTTGGAGAAAGGAGACGCTTCCCGCTGGGCGAGTGAGCCCAGGACGCGGCAGAAGAGGGCAGACCCTAGGGGACCGCCGCGTCCCCAGGCGCGCACGCGACCCCTCCCCGCGCCGAAAATCCTCTCCCCGCCTCAGTCTCCCCGCCTCCGCCTCCCCACCCATAGTGTCACTCCGACCCTAGCCCTGGGTCCAAACGGGCAGGAGAGGTCGCTGGTGCCTCCGCGGTCCCCGCCGCGCGCAGAACTCGGCCGAGTGCACCGGGGTCTCCTGGCCTCTGCGCGCAGCTGGTCCTGCAGCGTCAGGACCCGAACGACCCCGAGGCCCCAGGGGCTGGGCCCTCCAGCAGCCCCGCAGCAGCCCCGCAGCAGCCCCGGCAGGCACCCTCCAGCGGCCGTGGGCGCCTGGTAGCTATGGAGGCGGTAGAGGTGGAAACCAGGCCTCTGTCTTCACACAGGAGGAACTCCAGGCCCTCGTTTAGGACTCCAGGCCAAAGGCTGTGTCAGCCGCGGGTCCCCCGCCACCCCACGCGCACAGGCGCAGGCCTCACACCGCGTGCCCGACGACGCCCCGAGGGGCCCCGGTCGCAGTTAGTTTGAAGGGAATCGGTGGTACAGATCGTGGCTTGGAGAACGCGGCTTGACCTGCGGCCAGAATCAGACTCATTCCGAACACGCGGCGGCCCTGGCCCAGCTGGCCCCTCCCACGCTCCCGCGGGGATTCTCCTGCAGCCGGAGCCCCTCCCCCCACTCGTGCCCTCTTCCCATCAAGCCCTGGTCCCCAGGTGACCGGCATAGGAGACTCCTGTCCCTTCAGGCGAAGCCCAGCGCCTCCCTCTTCGGGTGGTCTCGCCTTTTGGCTTCAAGAAGTCAATCTCAGACAGTCTAGTTTGTTCAGCTTGCATGAATTTTAAGGTATTTTAAGAGCACTTTTCTTTATATTTTGATAACATTTATTTCTTAAAATTACAAATGCAGTATATTCTGGTTTTGAAATCAGTTCATAGTAGGAGATGTTCAAACAAAAGAATAACCAAACAACCAAGTAAATTACTGAGTCGATCATGGGAGCCACCATTTTTTCTCCAGCCTTTTTTTTTTTCCAGAATGCCTTTTCCTACCAGATTTTATATAATTTAATGTTATCCCTCCCCCCAAATAATTTTTAATAAAAATCAAAAAGAACCACCATCACTGTTTACAACTTGTTTTTTAAAAATATTGAAAACCACCCCCTACCTCCACCCTCCACTTCCAATCCCCCAGGAGTAACTAGTAGTAACATTTTCCAAATATACATATCTATATTGATAAATATGTGACCTTATTTTACATATTCTTATGAGGTGACTGTTCAGGTCTCTTGCCCATTTTTATATTCAGCTGTCTTTTTCTTATTGGTATGTAGTTCTTTCTATATTCTGGATAGGAATACTTTGTCAGTAATATTGGACTGCAAATCTCTTCTCCAACTGTGCAGTTTGCCTTTTTACTCTGTCAATGGTGTCTTTTGATTAAGAGAAACTCTCAGTGTTAACATAATCAAATGTATTATCCTTTCCTTTATGATCAATGCTATGGTCTATGTAATAAGCACTTCTCTTCCCAGAGTTCATGAAAATCTTCTGTTATGTTATCTTCTCTAACCCTTGTTGCTTTGCCTTTTGCAGCTAGAGCTACCATATATCTGGATTTTGTTTTTGTATATTAAGTTTTCTTTGTGTCCACCATCTGTTGATCAACCATCCTATTACATTTGTTGAAAGGACCATTCTTCCCCTACCATCATTAGGCAGTGCCCTCTCTGTTCTATTTGTCTGTCTTTCTACACTATTTGCTGTCGCTTTATTGTAAATCTTATAACTTTATTGTAAATCTTGATGCCTCTGGTGGACCAAAATCTTCCCACCTTATTATTCTTTTTAAAGAATATTTTGCCTAACTTTGGTCCTATGCATCTCTATACAAGCTTTAGAATCAGCTTGATGGACTGCAATCAAAATACTTGCCAGAATTTGATTAGGATTACATTGAAGCAAATTGGTTTCAGAAAAATTAACATATTTTAAATATTGAGTCTTTTAATCCATGAACATGTTTGTCTGTTTCTCTTTAATCTATCACAATAATGTCTCATAGTTTTCTGCATAGAAGTCATGTACATCTTTTGTTAGATTGTTACCTAGGTATTTGCTGTCTTTTGATGCTATTAAAATGCATTTTTATTTTGCTCTTGCTTGTTATTTTTGTATTGTTGGTCTATAGAGTTGCAAATGATTTTTATGTGTTGGCTTTGTAACCAGCAACCTTGTTAAACTCTCTTATTCATTTTAACAATTTATGCCAGGCACAGTGGCTCATGCCTGTAATCTCAGCACTTTGGGAGGCCAAGGTGGGAGGACTGCTTGAGCCCAGGAGTTCCAGACTGGCCTGAACAACATAGTGAGACTCAGTCTCTACAAAAAAAAAAAAAAAAAAAAATTAAGTTAGCCAAGCCTGGTGGCACACGGCTGTGGTTCCAGCTACTTTGGAGGCTGAGACGAGAAGATCA
Source organism: Homo sapiens (assembly GCF_000001405.40). Lineage (NCBI taxonomy): Eukaryota > Metazoa > Chordata > Mammalia > Primates > Hominidae > Homo > Homo sapiens. The sequence continues at coordinate 103,276,390 of NC_000014.9, forward strand.
CTTGAGCCAAGGAGGTCGAGGTTGCAGTGAGCTATGATCGTGCCACTGTGCTCCAGCCTGTGTGACACAGCAAGACTCTCTGTCTCAAGAAAAAAAAGAAATACTAGATTTTTCACCTGGTTAGATGATTAAAAAACAAAGAAGAAAGAAAAAGAAAATGTAAAAAGAAAAAATTATTAGACATTTTTATATTTTCAATGAACATATATCAGCTACATAATGAGAGTATTATGCCTTTTGTTTCTTTTCCTGGCCTTAGTCACATTGTTGAAAACCTCAGTGCAGCGTTAAGTAGAAGTGGAGATAGTGGGAAACTTGACAAAAGTGTGTATAATATTTATTATGTACGGTATGATATTTACTAGAAACTTCCTGTATCTATCTTAAATAGACTGAGGACATTTTCTTTTATTCCCAGGTGGCTAACAGTCTTTTTGTCATGAATGGATGTTGAATTTTATCAAATGCTTTTCCCACAGCTACTCAGATGGTCATATGATTTTTCTTTTCTATTCTTTTACATGACCATTTAAATTTATTTTTAGCATATTAAGTTAATCTTACATCCCTGTGTTAAAGTCCACTTAATCGTAGTGTGTTATCTTTTTTAATTTAACACTGAATTTATTTTATTTAGGATTTTCACACCTGTGAATGTGTGAGTGTATGTGAGACTGGCCTGTAAATTTCCTTTTTCATGATGTCCTTGTCTGATTGATAGCAAGGTTACCCTGCTCTCATAAAACAAGTTCCCTCTTTTTCTAGTCTCTGAGAGAGGTCTTTTCTTTTTTGTAAAATGAACTCTTTTTTTCTCCCTTAAATGTTTGTTACAATTAATCAGAGAAGACATTGGAACCTACAGCTTTCATGTGGGAAGTTTTTAATTATATACTCAATGTATTTAATAGATATGGAACTATTCTGATCTGTTACTTTAATTTTAGCTTAATTAGTTATATATTTTAGGAGTTTTTTCTTTTCATCTAAATTTTCAAAGACCCAACATCTGGCTTTGTTGATCCTCTCTGTTCTTGTTTTCAAATAATTTGTGCTTTATTTTATTTTTTCTTTTCTTTTCTTTTTTTTTTTTTTTTTTTTTCTTGCTAGAGACAGGGTCTTGCTCCATTGCCCAGGCTGGAGTGCAGTATCAGAATCTCAGCTCAGTGCAGCTTTGACATCCTGGGCTCAAGAAATCCTCCCACCCCAGCCTCCAGAGTAGCTGGGACTGGGACTACAAATGCATACCACCTTGTCCAGCTAATTGTTATTTACTTTCTTCTACTTTATTTGGAATTAATTTACTGGATATTTTTCTTCCTTTTTTTTTTTTTTTTTTTTTTTCGAGACAGCCTAGGCTGTCGTCTAGGCTGCTGGAGTACAGTGGCACAATGACAGCTCACTGCTGACTTGACCTCCCTGGGCTCAGGTGATCCTCCCACCTCAGCCTCCTGAGTAGCTAGGACCACAGGCATGCACCACCATGCCCAACTAATTTTGTATTTTTTGTAGAGATGGTGGTGTGGTTTGGCCGTGTCCCCACCCAAATCTCATCTTGAATTGTAGTTCCCATGATCCCTGTGTGTCATGGGAGGGACCCAGTGGGAGGTAATTGAATCATGGGGGCGGTTACCTCCATGCTGCTGTTCTCAGGATAGTCAATGAGTTCTCACAAGAGCTGATGCTTTTATAAGGGGTTTCCCCCCCTTTTGCTCAGCACTTCTTCCTGCCCCCATGTGAAGAAGGACTTGTTTGCTTCTCCTTCCACCATGATCGTAAGTTTCCTGAGGCCTGCCCAGCCCTGCGGAACTGTGAGTCAGTTAAACCTTTTTCCTTTATAAATTACGCAGTCTCGGGTATTTCTTCATAGTAGCGTGAGAACAGACTAACATAGACGTGGTCTCACTATGTTGCCAGGGCTGGTCTCGAACTCCCTGGGCTCAAACGATCTACCCACTTCAGCCTCCCCAAGTGTTGGGATTACAGGTGTGAGCCATCTCACCCTGCCTCCTTTCGACTTCTCGAGATGAATATTTATCTCACTGATTTTTTTGGCTCCTCTTCTTTTCCATTATAAAAAATGTGAAACTGAAATTTGCCCCTAAAAATGGCTTTAGCTGCTTCTCACAGATTTGATGTATGCTTGTTTTTCCTTTTTTTCTTTTTTTTTTTTTTTCTTTTGAGACGGAGTCTCGCTCTGTCGCCCAGGCTGGAGTGCAGTGGCGCGATCTCAGCTCACTGCAAGCTCCGCCTCCCGGGTTCCCGCCATTCTCCTGCCTCAGCCTCGCGAGTAGCTGGGACTACAGGCGCCCGCCACCACGCCCGGCTATTTTTTGTATTTTTAGTGGAGACGGGGTTTCACCGTGTTAGCCAGGATGGTCTCGATCTCCTGACCTCGTGATCCGCCCGCCTCGGCCTCCCAAAGTGCTGGGATTGACAGGCCTGAGCCACCGCGCCCGGCCAACTTGTTTTTCTTTCTCACTGGAGCTGGTTCCAGATTAGATCTGGTCGGACCCGGCAGGCACCTGGCGGGCACTGTGCGGGCAGGGAACCAGGGAGAGCAGGAGGGCGCGGGTCCGGGCCAAGGCTGGCGGGGGTCGCCGCGGCGCGACCGCCTCCTCCGCCCCGGCTCCGTGGGATGCGCGTCCGCCCTCCCAGGCCCCTTCCTCCCGCCCTCCCCCGCCCCCCGTTTTCCTCCCCTCCCCTCCCGACCCGCCCCAGGCCAGACCCCCGCGCGGGTCCTCGCCCTCCCAGGACCCTTCCTCCCTCCCCTCCCCTCCCCGCCGCGTCCCGGACCCTGCGGGCTGGTCCCGCGCCCCGCCAGGGCTGCCGGGGTGTGCTGCTGGGGAGCGTGGAGTGGGCAGGACCACGCTGGACACGCAGTTCGCGTGCGGCCGCTCCCCGAGCAGTGCGCGGCGTGGGCGGAGGAGCGGCTCCGCGAGGAGATCGAGGCGAACGCGGCGCCCGCGTTGCTGGAGGTCGTGGACGCGGCGGGCGCCGAGCACCTGGTCACGCTCCAGGACCTGGACATCCGCCACGGCGACGGCTCCGCGGTGCTCCCGGGCGTGTGCAGCGAGGCCTCGTTCCGGGCCGTGAGGCCGCCGAGCAAGCGCCTGCGCCGGCCGTGGGAACCCGGGGCCGTCCCGCGGGTGCTGGTGGGCACCCAGGCCGACCCGGACGACGGGCGCCAGGTGCTGACGGCGCGGGGCCGCGAGGGGCGCTCCCCGTTCCCGGAGGTCATGGCCAAGAGCCAGCGGATGGTGGACCGGGTGTTCATGCAGGCGGTGCGCGAGACGGAGGCCTTGGTCCCGCCCGAGGAGGAGGTGGAGTGTTGGGAAGTTTTCTGTTGTCCCCTGGACTCCATCCAGAAAAAGATGGCCCTGGTGGCAGCCTCGAAGCGCGGGGAGGGAGGCTAGGACTGGGGCCGCGTCGGGAACTGAGCCTGCCGGGACGCTTCTAACCCGCGCGCTGCCTCGAGTCCCTCCGGTGCCCAGGCCTTGTTCCCCAAGACCCACGGGTGCAGAGCAGAAGCGCGGCCCCAGCGCCCGAGGCCTGAAAGCTGTTCTTTACCTTCGCAGCTTTCCAAGTTACTATAATAGGTAAAAGGCAAGGGCTAACGTCTTAAGTATTTAATCGATTTCCTTATGCAGATTCTGCACTCGTAATTACTAAACGTGAGAGCCCAGGATGAACTATTCGGTGCATTTTTTATTTTTTTGAGACTGTCGCCAGGCTGGAGTTCAGTGGCGATCTCGGTGATCTCAGCTCACTGCAACCTCCGCCTCCCCGGTTCAAGCGATTATCCTGCCTCAGCCTCCCAAGTAGGTGGGACTACAGGCATGTGCCACCACGCCCGGCTAATTTTTGTATTTTTAGTAGAGACGGGGTTTCACCATGTTGGCCAAGATGGTCTCGATCTCTTGACCTCGTGATCCGCCTGCCTCGGCCTCCCGAAGTGCTGGGATTACAGGCGTGAGCCACGGTGCCTGGCCTATTGGGTGCATCTTAAAGCAGCGATATACAGGATAGTAAATGGAAACGGAAACGACTACTTCTGTATTTTAACTAACAACAGTGATTCATTCTGTTGGCAGTTTTTCTTCTTTAAAAGATGCCTTACTGCTTTAAGCCTGAATGGGCAGAATGTGCTTTCTTCAAATGCAATTTGTGGTATGTTTTTTTGAACTACCTGGTTCTGAGAATTACAGTTTGGATTTGGAGCACTTCGCCGAAGTTTAGATCTTAGTTCCATGAAGTTTCCATCTCATTTTCAGTGATGAATTGAGCAATCACTTTTTCCTTTCTGTGTGGTCCTAAATATAGTTACGACCTACTTAGCACAACCTTGCAATTGGATATGTGTCGCTGGCAAATTAATTTTATACCTAAAGTGAGCCCAGCGCTGGCTGTCAGTTTTGTAATTAACATCTGGTTGACTATGCTATGCACAGGAAAATGGAGCACAAATAAATTGTTTTTAAACTTTGCAATTCTTACCATTTGACTTTGTGAATCATATTTAAAGCACTATGTTCCAAGATTTCTAGATGCTGTCGGATGGCTTTACCATTATTTTTCAGGAGTTTGTTTGTTGTAGAGAAAACTCCAGGAGGTGAGAGGAGAGAAAGCACCCGGTTATGCAGCAGGCATTGCACCTGTGTTATTAGCGGCAGCTGCCTTCATACTTTGCCTGAATTCCTGGAATTTTTAAATAGTGAAATAGGTATGGAAACCTATGAAGAATAGGTCATCTTTTTGTTGATTTTTAGCGCAGCAACCTTTATCCAATTCTTTTTTTTTTTTTTTTTTTTTTTGAGACTTGCTCTGTTGCCTAGGCTGGAGTGCGGTGGCGCAATCTCGGCTCACTGCAACCTCCACCACCCGGATTCAAGCAATTCTCCTGCCTCGGCCTCCTGAGTAGCTGGGATTACAGGTGCCCGCCACCATGCCCAGCTAATTTTTCTATTTTTAGTAGAGACGAGGTTTTCCCGTGTTGGCCAGGCTGGTCTCAAACTCCTGACCTTGGGTGATCCACCTGCCTTGGCCTCCCAAAGTGCTGGGATTACAGGTGTGTGTCACCACGCCCAGCCCTGATAATTGTTTTTAAACGCAGTAAGTTTTATGACATTTTGGTTTGGGTGTTTCTTCGCCTTGGGTTGGATAGCTGTTCTAGGAAAACCAATTACTGCAGCTCACTCCGGCAAGGGAGGTGGGGGGTGCTGATCACATTTCCCTGCCTCAAGGGCAAGTTGTCCTCACCAAGCTGCTCCCTCCCTCTGCTGGAAAGGAAGCAAAACACCAGCTGCTTTCTGCTGTGCTCTGGGCTGTGTGGGGAAGTGCAGGGGCAGCAAATGGAAATCAGCAACATCTTGTTCCCAGTCCTGACACCCCTGGCCAGCAAGACCCTGCTGAGCCATGCTGGACAGGATGGGATGGGCCTCACGCAGATGCCACGGCTCTACCCTGCTCGGCTGCTGGCTTGTGGGAATGCTCCGGGAGAGCTCTGTGGCCTGGTCCCTCTGGATCTCAGCCTCCATCCAGGAAAAAGCACCCCATATTCTCTAAACAAGCCAGCTGCTCCTTTGAACTCCTGACGGCATCACACCCTCCCACTCCCATCCAGTTGCTCAGCGGTGAGCTGGCTGCCAGCTGCTGGACAGGCCGAAGGACAGGGCAGTCACCTTCTGCTCATGTGGGCATCTAAGCCACACCCACCCCTTTCCCCAACTTACACCATCTTTCCCTCTCTCTGTCTCTCTCTGTCTCTCTGCCTTTGTCTCTGTCTCCCCGCCCAGACACCTCCCTGCCTATGGGTGCACGCACACACCAGTGGCAGGCCCTGAAAGTGCTTCCTCATTGAGTCAAGATAGTAGATGGGAAGCCATGCCGGGTGAGAGGGCAGAGAATCGGGCCATCCTCAAAGACATGAAGATGCATTTCTATTTATTCATCTCCCACAGTATAAAAGAGGCTCATGGCAATGAGAGTGGACGGCCATAAACTTAACCAAGTGGTAGCCTCAGTCACAGCCGCTGCAGCAGAGGTGGCATCTACTGGAAGAGGTCCACCCTGGCTGGCGCTTGGCGGACGGCCAACCGAGCTAAAGAATGCAGGCCGGGCGTGGTGGCTCACGCCTGTAATCCCAGCATTTTGGGAGGCCGAGGCGGGCAGATCACCTGAGGTCGGGAGTTTGAGACCAGCCCGACCAACATGGAGAAACCCCATCTTTACTAAAAATACAAAATTAGCCAGGCGTGGTAGCGCATACCTGTAATCCCAGCTACTCGGGAGGCTGAGGCCAGAGAATCGCTTGAACCCAGGAGGTGGAGGTTGTGGTGAGCTGAGATCATAGCGCCATTGCACTCCAGCCTGGGTAACAAGAGCGAAGAGCAAAACTCCGTCTCAAAAAAAAAAAAAAAAAAAAAAGAATGCATCCACTCCCACTGGGGATGGAGGATGGAGGGTGTCTGCATTCACCTAGGACAGACAGACGTGCACATTTTTGGGTTCTCTCTTCCCCTAAACCTCCTGAGGTAATCTGTGAAAATGATTCGCTATTCACTTAACCCGGAAAACCCCACAAAATCATGCAAAGAGGTTCAAATCTTCGTGGTCACCTTGGAACACTTGTGAAACTGCCCAGGTCATCAGGGGTATGCATATATGAAAAGCCACTAAGGATCTGAAAGATGTCACTTTACAGAAGCAGTGTGTGCCATTCCAACGTTACAGTCAGGGAGTTGGTAGGTGTGCCCAGGCCAAGCAGTGGGGCTGGACACAACGTTGGTGGCCCCAGAAGAGTGCTGAATGCTTGCTGCATATGCTTAACAATGCAGAGAGCAATGCTGAACTGAAGGGTTTAGGTGTAGATTCTCTGGTCATTGAGCACCTCCAAGTGAACAAAGCACCTAAGATGTGCCACCAGACCTCCAGAGCTCATGGTGGGATTAACCCATACATGAGCTCTCCCTGTCGCATCGAAATGATCCTTACTGCGAAGGAACAAATTGTTCCTAAACCAGAAGATTGCCCACAAGAAAAAGATATCCCTGAGGAAACAAAAACTTATGGCACAGGAATAAATTCAGCACTAAAATAAATGCAATGAAGAGTTTTTTGTTTTTTAAAGTGCACTTCGTGATCTTGTTAACTACCCTGCTCTCGATCACTTCTTCTGAAGGAACTTTAAGGTTCTTGACACTCCACAGAACAGTGTGCGGGCTCCTGGTAGTGAAGACACCGTGTTAACCCATCTGATGGACAGGAAGTGCTGCTCCCGTGCCTGGTGATGGCAGGAAAGGAGCCGCTGCAGCAACTGTGGTCACCGGAAGCTTGGACCCTTCGAGGATAAAGGTCTGAGCCATCCCAGAAACCAACAGCCTAGCCCAGCTGCGTTGCCGTCCCAGAGTAAGGAGGGTCTAAAATGAGTGGTGAGGAAGGAGGTGAGGGACATTACTCACAGCCTTGAGATCAGCGCCAGGGTGGAGACTGTACTTAGACTTGTCCCGCCAACCCCACTGTGTATTTTTGTTTAGAGAGGGTGCAACCAGCCACCGAGGTGAAGAATCAGTCACAGGACAAGGTGGATGCGGGGCTGAGTGGATCCGAGTCGTGCAAGCAGCAGGCACAGAGTGGGCCTCTTGCCTCGGGAGCCTTTGTCTCTGCTGCTGGCATTCTCTGGGCAGAGCTGCCTGCTTGGCCAGGGCCGGAGAGCTTGCATCCCCAGGAACAGCCCACAGGAACCAGTGGCCATGTACCCCAGTTTCCTGAGCCTTGGTGGGGCGGTTCAGAGGGAGATCCTGACCTGATGCTTTTGAATCTCAGCAACCCTGAGGCCGAATCGCTCCTGCTGTTACTTGATTTGGTTGTGTAAACCAAAACTAAAATTCTAAGCCACCCGACGGACTGAATGGACCCACGGACCCCCTTCTTGGCCAAAGGGACTCAAAGAAACCTGAAAAATTAGTTCAGACCATGATGGGAAGGGAGGGGTCAGACACGCCTCGTTATAAGCCCTCCTGCCTTTGGAGTTCAGGCACAGCTGACCAGCATTACATTAAAACGGAGACCTTAAGATGGACAAACAGACTCTTTGCAGCAATAAGATACCAAAATTCCAACCTGACTCTAATATAGTGTCACATGACAGATAGCAGACCCTGAAGGAAATCAAAGTATTTACCCCAAAATATGTTTTTGACATGGTCCTGCACAGCTGCCTCTTGTGGGGGAAATTTGCCTTTTTAGAGAAACTCTTTCCCTTACTGGGTCTTTTCCAGAGAGCCTGATAATCTTTGAAAGGTCTCAACAGGAAGTATTTGCCATCTATTGCCTCTAAGGGCAGCCACCTATGAGACTCATCTACATAATAAAAACCTTGGTCTTCACAACCCCATACCTTATCTGAACCCAGACATTCCTTTCTACTGATTCCAGGTCTTTAGGCAATAACTTAACTCTTTCAACCAATTGCCAATCAGAGCCTTTGAAGCCACCTGTGATCCATAAGTCCCCTGCTTCAAATTGTCCTGGCTCTCCGACCCAACCACTGTATACCTCATATGTATTGACCGATGTCTTCTATCTCCCTGAAACTGAAACGTGTAAGGCCAAGCTGTAGACCAACCCCTTGGGGCACGTGTTCTCAGGAGTTCCTGAGGCTGACTCACAGGTCATGGCTCTCACATTTGGCTCTGAACAAATCTCTTCAAATATTTCACAGAATTTGGCTTTTTCTGTCAACAGTGGTGTGAGCAATTAAGTTCAAAGGGTAGCAACAACTCTATCCCCTTCAGTTTCTCTGAAACCTCTTTTGCTTCTGTAATAGGAAATGTTTATTTGAAAACGCAAGGAATGACGCACTTGATGTTGTGTATGTTGGAGCAAGCTGATGGCATAAAATGAGGAGTGGAGGACTATGTCCCAGGGTCTACTAGAATCTGTGCCCTCTAACCTGGAGGAAGATTTTCAGGACCCATACTTGGGGTCGTTCTGTCTTTACAGAACGTGTCCCAGGCGTGTATGGAAACACACTGGAAACAGAGATCACCTGTGTTTAGGCTCTGACTATATAGCTAGTCATGAAATTTCTCAGTGATAGGGTATAGATATATATGTTCAAATTCTCTAGGAGGCTGGGCACGGTGGCTCAAACCTGTAATCCCAGCACTTTGGGAGGCCAAGGCAGGTGGATCACCTGAAGTGAGAAGTTGGAGACCAGCCTGGCCAAGATGGTGAAACCCCGTCTCTACTAAAAATACAAAATTAGCCAGTTGTGGTGGCACACGCCTGTAGTCCCAGCTACTCAGGAGGCTAAGGCAGGAGAACCACTTGAACCCGGGAGGTGGAGGTTGCAGTGAGCCAAGATCGCACCACTGCACTCCAGCCTGGACAAAAAGAGTGAAACTCTGTCCTAAAAAAAATAAAATAAAATTATCTAGGAGACGCCAAGCTGTTCTCCAAAGTATTGTTCTAATTTACACTTTTATCAGCAGCAGAAGAAAGCTCATCGCTCTTCATCCCTGCCAGTTTACTCTTTTCTGACTTAAAATTCTTGCCACCCTGATGGGTTGGAAATGACATTTCATTTTGGTTAATTTGCATTTCCCTTATCACTAATGCAGTTGAGCATCTTTTTCATTCATTTATTTGCCATTTGTGCTATTTCTGTGCATCTCTGTTTATTTCTTTTGCCCATTTTTCTGTTTGGTTTTTTATCATTTTTATTGTGTCATAGGATTCTTAGGAAAGACAACATGTATAAAAATGTGTATGTCTTTTGTCAGTTATATGTATTACAAATATTTTTGCATAAGTGTACATTCCTTTTTGTAATGTAGTCAAATGTATCAACGCTTTCTGTTACAGTTTGCATTTTTGCCCTATTAAAGATATCCTTTCTCTAGAACCAGAAATACCATTCCACCCAGCAATCCCATTACTGGGTATATATGCAAAGGGTTATAAATCATTCTACTATAAAGACACACGCACAGGTATGTTTATTGCAGCACTATGTACAATAGCGAAGACTTGGAACCAACCCAAATGCCCATCAGAAGAATTTGGAGGCTACGGTTTCTAAAGGATGGTTTGACAGGTGGGGCTTAGGAAATGGAGAATGCTGATTGGTTGGTTCAGGGGTGAAATTGCAGGGTCCAGAGCTGTCTTCTTGCTCTGAGTCAATTCCTGGGTAGAGTCACAGGACTGGGTGAGTCCATTTCTTTGTATGGGTTATGGGTTTGGGCGGCACCAGCTGGTGCCTCAGAATGCAAGTTCTGAAAAATACCTCAAACACCAGTCTTTGGTTTTATCCTAATGATGTCATCTATAGAAGCAACTGAGGAAGTTACAAACTTGTGATCTCTGGCTACTTGACTCCAGAACCATAATTCTAACCTTGTGGCTAATTTGTTAACTTTACAAAGGTGGTTTTTGTCCCCAGGCAAGGAGGGGGTTCATTTCAGGAAGGAACCGTTATCATCTTTGTTCTAAAGTTAAACTATAAACTAAATTTCTCCCATAGTTAGCTTGGTCTACGCCCAGGAATGAGCAAAGATGGTTAGCTTGTGAGGGTAGAAGCAAAATGGAGCCAACTGTCAGGTTTCTCTCACCGTCATAATTTTTGCAAAGGTGGTTTTACCACTAGTCTCTAGTTTACATGGAGCTGATGGTGACAAGCCATAGCCTGGCAGGGGTGGGGGGCAGCTGCAAACTGTGTTCCTCCTTAACACTCGGCGTTGTGGCGGCTGTCCAGCTCCAATTCTGGATCCATTATGTGGCCTCCACCGAGATGACTGGCCTCTCTCAGCCTCAGTTTCTCCCTCCTCAGGAAAACGAGGGTGATAATGATAGCGCTTTCCTGGGGAGCATGAGGCAGGCAGCACAGGCAAAGCTCCATGCAGAATCAGCACTCAATTCAGCGACGGTGGTGGCAGGAGGGGTGCCATCCTCACTCTGTGCTGTGTGGCCCTGGGCTCCTTAGGCCCCTCTGGACTTTGTTTCCTCCTGATGTATCAAACACAGACTCAGCATCCCGACACCAGCTCCCAAGAGCGTCCAGGGAGTAGGCAGGGGTGAGGCAGCCCTGGGGCCCAGGGCATGTGAGGTTGTGCTGGGGGGAGGGCCTGGATGCCCTCCCTCTCTGTACTCACGGGGACGCTGTGGCGAGGTGAATAAGGGCCCCCAAAGGTATCAGTTCCTAATCCCTGGAACCTGTGTACGTTACCTTATATGGCAAAGTCTTTGCAGATGGGATTACATTAAGGATTTTAAAGTGGGAGGGGACCCTGGATCATCCAGGTGGGCCCTAAATCACTTGTATCCTTATGATGCAGGTAGAGGGTGGCTTGCACACAGAGCAGAGAAGGCGATGTGAAGATGAGGCAGAGATCGGGACTACACAGCCAAGAGCACCAGCAGCCGCCGAATCCGGAGGAGGTGGGGAAGAGGCAGGCTCTACCCTAGACCCCCAGGAGGGAGCGAAGCTCTGCCGACCCCTTGATTTCAGCCCATTGATACTGATTGCAGGTTCTGGCCTCTGAAACCGTGAGAGAAGACTTTTTTGTTGCTTTAAGCCACCAAGTTTGTGGTGACTTGTTATAGCAGACACAGGACCTAATACAGACACATGCTGTTCCCAGGAAACACCGTGGCCACCCCCAGGGCCAACACACACACACACACACACACACACACACATCCCCCAGGGCCTGGCCAGAAGAAAGAAGCCCCGCCCTATGGCCCCCCATCACACACAGACAGATCCCCTCTGTCCTCTGTAGGCTTGGCGTGCCCCAGGGAATACCCAAGCCTGACCTGCAGAGGGAAACTGAGGAGCTGGGCCAGGCCTCGGGGCATCTCCTGGGGCTGCTGCAGTCCTGAGTGCACCTCCCTGGCTCAGCCCCGCCCGGGGCCGCAGGGGCAGCTCCACCGGCCTCAACCCTAGCAGCCTCCTCCTGGGTCCCACTGACCCCAGGCTCTAAACAGCCTGTGGCTGTGGCTGCCTGGAGAACCTGGCGATGGGGGGTGCAGACTCCTCCCTTACCCTGGCTTCGTCCCTCCGTCAGTCTTGCTGACTCACAGACGCTTCTGTTCATTCTAGAGCAATTAATTGCATATCTCTTTTAGATACTGCAATTATCGTTGCCTTTTCTCATATCTCTTTCCGATTTGTTCCTGGTGTCCCTGGACAATAGCATCTTAGTTTCGATGTAATTTACAATGATTGTGGCCTTATGGATTATGCATTTGATACGACACTTGATCTTAGCCAGAAGCCCGAGAAGCAATGGGTTAGGCATTTGAATCCTGGTATAACAAGACCTTCTCTGCCTGTATCTTACAAAAATTCTTTTACATTTTCTTCTAGCTTCCTATTTTTACCTTTGACATTTGGAACTTTACTTTCTCTAGAGTCCTGCTTTGTATGTGAGGTTAAGTAAAGATCCATTATTTTCCCACTAAGTTAGAGATCCAGTCTTCTACACCAGGTGTTCCCAACACCCAGGCTGTGGACCAGTACCAGTCCATGGCCTGTTAGGACCCAGGCTGCACAGCAAGAGGTGGGTGGCAGGCGAGTGAGCATTCCCGCCTGAGCTCTGCCTCCTGTCAAATCAGATTCTCATAGGAGCACAAACCCCATTGTGAACTTCACATGTGAGGGATATAGGTTGAGTGCTTCTTTTGAGAATCTAATGCCTGATGATCTGAGGTGGGACAGTTTCATCCTGAAGCCATCCCCCACACCCTAGCAGTCATGGAAAAAATTGTCCTCCATGAAATCAGTCCCTGGTGCCAAAAAGGTTGGGGACTACTGTTCTACACCATTGCTTAAGAGGCTCACTGCTGGCCAGGTGCAGTGGCTCACGCCTGTAATCCCAGCACTTTGGGAGGCTAAGGCAGGTGGATCATGAGGCCAGGAGTTCAAGACCAGCCTGGCCAAGATGGTGAAACACCGTCTCTACTAAAAATACAAAAATTAGCCGGGCATGGTGGCAGGCACCTGTAATCCCAGCTACTCAGGAGGCTGAGGCAGGAGAATCACTTGAACCCGGGAGGTGGAGGTTGCAGTGAGCCAAGATCACACCACTGCACTCTAGCCTGGGTGACAGAGCAAGACTCCATCAAAAAAAAAAAAAAAAAGACTCATTCGTTGGCCAGGCACAGTGGCTCATATGTGTAATCCCAGCACTTTGGGAGGCCGAGGCAGGTGGATCACCTGAGATTAGGAGTTCGAGACCACCCTGGCCAATGTGGTGAAATCCCATCTCTACTAAAAATACAAAATTAGCCAGGCAAGGTGGTGGGTGCCTGTAATCCCAGCTACTAGGGAGGCTGAGGCAGGAGAATAGCTTGAACCTGGGAGGCAGAGGTTGCGGTGAGCCAAGATTGTGCCATTGCACTCCAGCCTGGGCAACGAGAGCGAAACTCCGTCTCAAAAAAAAAAAAAAAAAAGATTCACTCCTTGCCCATGGTGGGATCGTGTGATATTCTCACAATGCTCGCCCTGCTCCGGCCCCACCCCACTCTGCGGGTGGCTTGCTCCTGTTCCCAAAAGCTGCTCCTCCGAGGACGCTTCCTAGTGTGTCTTCACATCTGGGATTCCGCGTTTTCAGCTGGCTTAGCTATTTGTGGCTGTAGTCTTTCCTCCATTTTTAGAGTATTTACTGAGCTCATCAAAGAACCTGAGTGGTATATTGATAGGGAAGACTTTGACTTTGGATTTGTAGATGACTTGGGCAATATTGTCAGGATTCTGTTGACTCACCAGGAGCAGGGTGGGCACCGCAGCACTCTGGTTATGCAGCTGGCCTTGTAGGGGGTAAGCCCCCACCAGCAAAGTGAGTCCGTGGGAGCGGTAGGGTGTTGGGGCACCTGCACCCCTGAACCATCTCCCTGAGTGAGAACATGCCTCTCCAGGATGCTTTCACCACCAGGAACTAACCAGGTGGTCTTGAGACTGGTGAACTCCGTGGACCAAACAGAATCCAGGCTCCAAGCCTCTCCCTGGCAAGCCTCTTGCCTTTTGGTTCATGGCAGGAAGCAACACCTCATGTCATGCTGGGACTGCAGCCCAAGGCAGGAAAGCACCAGCCTTTCTTAGGACCCCATGGGTAGCCCCCAACTTCACCAGCCCCTTTCCTGTGATGTCTCCACACATCTCTTTGGCCAGAGTCCTGTCACAGCCCAGTCCCACAACGTGGACCTGGGAGGGGCTCCAGGGAGGGGTATGGAGGGGATGAGCCCTCTTGTCCACCCCAAAAGCCTGGTCACAGTGGGGACAGCAGCAGGTGCAGTCCAGCTCTGCCCATCTCCCAGCTAGAGCGGGAGGGAGGCACCACAGGGCTCCTCTAGTCCTGAGGAATGAGCATCCTCTGTCCTCCCAAGGCCCAGCCAGGCCAGCTGATATGTGCTGCCCGGGGGCCGGGGTGGGAGCCAACAAACTCCCCCTGACCAGCCACTGTCCAGTGGGAAGCTCTAGCCAGACCGTGCTTAGATCTAGGCAGCGGCTCCCCACAGACACAGGGCTCCAAGTAGCCACACTCCAGAGCCTCTCCAGGACTTCGAAGAGTTTCGCAAAAGTCTAGGGAGAGAAGGAGCACCAAAGCCTCCTTAGTCACAGCCTCTGGGCCTAATGCACTCCCTTCTGTGGCCAACCTCACCTACCCTGTCACCTCAGACTCAGAAGGAGGGCCGCAGAGCCACCTGGACCTGAGCTTCAATTCTCTTAAGGCTCTACCAGGGTGACCCTTCAGCGGAGAATCCAGAGTGGGGGCTGCATGTGAATGAAGCTCAATCATGGGGGGCTGCATCTGAAGCTCTCAAGCAATGGAGGCTGGATCTGAAACTGTCAATCACTGGGGGCTGCATGTGAAGCTGTCAATCACTGGGGGCTGTATCTGAAGCTCTCAATCAGTGGGGGCTGCTCTGGGGCTCTCAATCAATGGGGCTGCCTCTGAGGCTCTCAGTCAATAGGAGCTGCATCTGAGACTCAGTCAATAGGGCCTGCATCTGAGACTCTCAATCAATGAGGACTGCATCTAAGACTCTCAGTCAATAGGGGCTGCATCTGAGACTCAGTCAATGAGGACTGCATCTGAGAGTCAATCAATAGGGGTTGTGTCTGAGACTTAATCAATGGGAGCTGCCTCTGAGACTCTCAATCAATGGAGGCTGCGTGTGAAGCTCTCAATCAATGAGGGGTGCATCCGGGACTCTCAAGCAACGGGGGGTACATCTGAGACTCTCAAGCAATGGGGGCTGCACGTGAAGCTCTCAATCAATGGGGGTGCATCTGAGACACTCAAGCAATGGGGGCTGCATGTGAAGCTCTCAATGGAGGCTGCATCTGGGGCTCTCAATCAATGGAGGCTGATTCTGAAGCTCTCAATCAATGGGGGCCGCATCTGAATCTCTCAATCAATGGAGGCTGCATCTGAAGCTGTCACTCAGTGGGGGCTCCATGTGAACCTCTCAGTCAATGGGGGCTGCATCTGAGACTCTCAATCAATGCGGGCTGCATTTGAGATTTCAATCAATAGGGGCTGCATCTGAGAGTAATTCAGGGTTGTGTCTGAGAATCAGTGCGGACTGCCTCTGAGACTTTCAGTCATTGGGGGCTGCATCTTAGACTTTCAATCAACAGGGGCTGCATCTGAGACTTTCAAGCAATGGGGGCTACACGTGAAGCTCTCAATCAATGGGGGATGCATCTGAGACTCTCAACCAGTGGGGGGTGCATCTGAGACACTCAAGCAATGGGGGCTGCATGTGAAGCTCTCAATGGAGGCTGCATCTGGGGCTCTCAATCAATGGAGGCTGATTCTGAAGTTTTCAATCAATGGGGGCCACATCTGAATCTCTCAATCAATGGAGGCTGCATCTGAAGCTGTCACTCAGTGGGGGCTCCGTGTGAACCTCTCAGTCAATGGGGGCTGCATCTGAGACTCTCTATCAATGGGGGCTGCATCTGAGACTATCAATGGGGGCTGCTCTGGAGCTCTCAATGGGGCTTCCTCTGGGGCTCTCAGTCTATGGGGCTGCATCTGAGACTGCCAATCAATGGAGGCTGCAGTTGAGACTTCAATCAATAGGGGCTGCATCTGAGAGTCATTGAGGGTTGTGTCTGGGAATCAGTGGGGACTGCCTCTGAGACTCTCAGTCAATGGGGGCTGCACCTGAGACTTTCAATCAACAGGGGCTGCATCTGAGACTCAATCAATAGGGGCTGCATCTGAGACTCTCGATCAATGGGGGCTGCATCTGAGACTCTCTATCAGTGGGGCTGCCTCTGGGGCTCTCAGTCTATGGGGGCTGCATCTGAGAGTCAATCAACAGGGGCTGCATCTGAAACTTAATCAATGGGAGCTGCCTCTGAGACTCTCAATCAATGGGGACTGCATGTGAAGCTCTCAATCAGTGGAGGCTGCACCTGGGGATCTCAACCAATAGGGGCTGCATCTGAGACTCAATCAATGGGGCTGCATCTGAGACTCAATCAGTGGAGGCCGCATCTGAGACTCTAATCAATGGAGGCCGCATCTGAGACTCAAAACGGTGTGGGAGTGCACGGCAAATCTGGCCTTTGGTGCCCTCTGGTGGGCATTGCATGCCCTGCTGACCAGTCTGAGGACAGAGATGAGGGAAAGAAATCAGGGTAGCGTGGGGCTGTCCAGGGTTTTCCCCACCGACATGGATGACAGGGTGACCCTGAAGAAGTCACTCTTTTCTCTTAGCCTTGGCTTCCTAATCTGCAAAGATGGTGACAGATACATTCCATTTCAAAAGGCTGCCAGGGTCTAGGCGCAGCTGCTCATGCCTGTAATATCAGGTGCACTTTGGGAGGCTGAGGGAGGAGGATCACTTGAGCCCAGGAGTTTAAGACCAGCCTGGGCAAGATAGTGAGACCCCCATCGCTACAAATAAAATAAAATAAAATAAAAATTAGCTGGGTGTGCTGGTGTGTGCTTGTGGACCCAGGTCCTCCGGAGGCTGAGGTGAGAGGATCACCTGGGCCAGGGAGGCCAAGGCTGCGGTGAACCATGATTGTGCCACCACACTCCAGCCTAGGTGGCAGAGTAAGACCCTATCTTTAAAACACAAACAAAAAACAAACAAACAAAACTGCCAGGGATGAGATAGTTCAGGCAAGACTGTGCAAGTCCACAGCCCTGGCAGTTCCTTCCTGTGTCTCCCAGACAGAGGGGCTGAGTTCCAGAAGAAGAGGGTTTCACCGTCCCGCGCCCTCCCCTCCATCCTGTGTCTGGCTGCCAGGGGATGTTCCTAAGCCCTTCAGGTTCCTGCTGGCCATAGGACAGTCCCCGAGTGCTCTGGCCTGGCTCTCGAGGACGGGGATGCCCTGCCTGTCCCTTCCCCAGCCTCAGCTGTGCTGACACCTTCCATCCCCACACACACCTATACTGTGACCACCTCCTGGCCTTTGCCCCTGCTGACCCCCTTGGTCACTCCCTCCCGCTGTCCCCTTGCCCTCTGACAAATTCCTATCTTCCTTGTAATCCCAGTGTGGGTGGGCATCTTCTCCTCTGAGAACCTTCCTGGATCCCACTGCTCACCCCCACCCCGCCCCGGCCTCCCCTCTCCCCGGCCCCACCCCGGGTCTTCCCTCTCCACAGCTCCGCCCCAGCCTGCAGTCCACTCGCGTCTTGTCATATGAGACCCTGGGTGTCTCACATCCGACACGGCTTTAATTTTTATCTTCCTTACATGTTGTTCTCCCTTGTTGAACTAGGAGATCCCCTGACCTTGGTTTTCTTCCAGGCCCCGGAGACGCCTGGCCTGTGTTGAGAAGGGTACAAGTGTGTTGAAACCTCTGTCCGACTGAGGCGGCACATCAGCAGAAAGGAGCCAGGGAGCCCAGGGACGCCTGCGGGCAGTCCCTCTGCCCTCCTACCCACACCTGCTTCTGGGCAGCCAGTGTTCATCTCTCGGAGGCCATGGGCCTGGGGACTGGGTTCAGGTGAGCCATGCTGCAGGTGCTCCCCACGCCTCGCAAAGCTGGCAGGAGAGGACTAGCAGCCTGCACTCCCGGTGCCCACCCCGGGTCCAGCTGGGCCAGAACTTTTTGTTCAGAAGAAAGCCAAGGCTGTTCTTTCCAGAATCCATGTTGAAGGGTTTCCTCTTCTCCCGGGACTGCAGCTCACAGGGACCTTCCTTCAGTTGTTTAATTTACTCTATAAGTTATAGCAAAAAGAACATTGATTCAAGACAATCCCCATCAGAGTCTCAGCTGGCTTCTTTGTAGGAATTAAGCTGATCTTAAAATTCATGTAGAAACTCAAGGAACCCAGACAGCCAAAAAAAAATCTTGAAAAAGAGCAAAGATTGGAGGATTCACACTTTCTGATTTCAAAATTTACTACAAAGCTACAGTAGTCAAACCTGTGTGTGCTTGTATAAAGACAGACATATAGACCCATACAATAGAACTGAGATTCCAGAAAGAAACTCACATTTAGGGGTCAGTTGATTTTGATGAGAGCCAAGGCACTCTCATCAAAATCAATTGACCCCCAAATGTGAGGGTGAAGTGGGGAAAGAACAGTCTTTTCTTCAGCTGGGAGAGCGGAGAGCCACCTGCAGAAGAACGAAGTTGGAGCTCTACTTCACATCATATACATAAAGTAAATGAAAATGTACAAGACCCTTTCAGTTTAAAGATTATAATCTCGAATCCACATTATAACTAACCTTTAATCCACATTTTAACCAATCTTTGATTATAACTCATCTTTTAAAGAATCTTTAAATAATCATGATAACTAATCTTTAAACATCTCCAGTTTTGGTGTGGTATCAAAGAAGGATAGTCACAACTATCTAAAGACTGTATTGAATTACTCATCCTTTTCCAACAGCATGTCTGTGAGCGGCTGAATATTCCCCACAAACTTCAACCAAAACAACGTATCACAACAGACTCATGCAGAAGCAGATATGAGAATCTACCTGTCTCCTATCAAGCCAGACCATAAAGATATTGACAAAAATGAAAACTAATGCCACCCTTATTGTTAACTTTGTTGTTGTGGTTTCAGAACATACTTATTTTTCATTTAAAAATAATGACTAATGTTAACATGTTATGGCTTTGTCATTCTTTTAAAATAAATATTATTTCTAAACAAATATTCTTTTTAAATAAAAATTTATTTTCAAATGTATCTATGTATACAGTCATGTGTTGCTTAACAACAGGGATACATTTTGAGAGGTGTCATTAGGCAATTTCGTGGCTGCGTGAACATCATGACAAAGACCTAGATGAGGCAGCCTACTACACACCTGTACAACGTGGGACTGTACTGAATACTGTAGGCAATTGTGACACAATGGTAAGTATTAATATTTGTGGATCTAGGCCAGGCATGGTGGCTCACGCCTGTAATCCCAGAACTTTGGGAGGCCGAGGCAGGTGGATCACCTGAGGTCAGGAGTTCAAGACCAGCCTGGCCAACATGGTGAAACCCCATCTCTACTAAAAATACAAAAATTAGCTGGGGATGGTGGTAGGTGCCTGTAGTCCCAGCTACTTGGGAGGCTGAGGCAGGAGAATCGCTTGAACCCAGGAGGTGGAGATTGCAGTGAGCTGAGATCATACCACTGCACTCCAGCCTGGGTGACAGGGCCAGACTCTGTCTCAAAAAAAAAAAAGTATTTGTGTATCTAAACAGATACAAACATAGACAAGGTACAGTAAAAGTATGGCATAAAAAGTAAAAAATGACACACAGGTTTAGGGCACTTACCATGAATGGAGCTTGCAGGACTGGAAGTGGCTCTGGGTGAGTCACAAGTGGGTGGTGAGTGAATGTGAAGGCCTAGGACATTACTGGCCACTACTGTAGACTTTGTAAACACTGACACTTAGGCCACACTAAGTTCATAAAAAATATTTTTCTTTCTTTGATAACAAATTAGCCTTAACTTACTGTAATGGTTTAACTTTATATACCTTTTACTTTTTAAAAAACATTTGGACTCTTGTAATAACACTTAGCTTAAAACACACATTGTACACCTGTATAAAAATATTTTCTTTCCTTTTTTTTTTTTTTTTTAATTTTTGAGACAGAGTTTCTGTCTTGTTGCCCAGGCTGAAGTGCAATGGCGTGATCTCGGCTCACTGCAACCTCTGCCTCCCGGGTTCAAGCGATTCTCCTGACTCAGCCACCCAAGTAGCTGGGATTACAGGCATGCACCACCACGCCCTGCTAATTTTGTATTTTTAGTAGAGATGGAGTTTCTCCCTGTTGGTCAGGTTGGTCTCGAACTCCTGACCTCGGGAGTTCTCCCGCCTCGGCCTCCCAAAGTGCTGGGATTACAGGTGTGAGCCACTGTGCCCAGCCATATATTTTTTCTTTATATCCTTATCCTATAAACTACATACTGTTTTCTGGGTTTTTTGTTTGTTTGTTTGTTTTTGAGATGGAGTCTCACTGTCGCCCAGGCCAGAATGCAGTGGTGCGATCTCGGCTCACTGAAACCTCCGCCTCCTGGGTTCAAGCAATTCTCCTGCCTCAGCCTCCCAAGTAGCTGGGATTACAGGCACGTGCAACCATGTCAGGCTAATTTTTTTTATTTTTAGTAGAGACAGGGCTTCACCATGTTGGCCAGGCTGGTCTCAAACCCCTGACCTCAGGTGATCCACCCGCCTTGGCCTCCGAAAGTGCTGGGATTACAGGCGTGAGCCCCCGTTACTCCCCGGGCGCTGTTAAGCGGCTTTGCGGCAGCCTCACACGTAGCCCTCACAACCACTAGGGACAGCGGCTTCTCACTGCTGGCTCCAACCCACAGTTAAGAAACACGTGGGTATTTACAATACATGCCCACAAATGCACAGGCAATCACATTTCCCCTGCACGCCCTGGCCCCTTCCCACACTTTCTCTTCCATTCTACTTAGGATTGCCAGATTGAGCAATACAAATACAGGACACCTGCTATTTGAATTTCAGGTAAATACTTTTTTTTTAGTGTGTTCCACCCCATAGAATATTTGGGACATACACACTTTAAAAAAGTTACTTATCTGAAATGCAGATATGACTGGGTATCCTGTAATTCACCTGGTAACCCTAGTTCTACTCCGTTTTTTTAAAACTGCTGGTTGTAACCCCCAACCCAATGTTACAGCCTTCAGTGAGTCCCAGCCCCCGCTTCCTTAGGCCAGGAGACCTGGAGTATCCCATTCCACAGGGGAAGCCACAGCTGGGAGGAATTCAGCCTCCTCCTTCCAAGGCCCACGGGTGAGCAGATTCGGATGAGCATCTCAAGGGCCTGCGGATGCCACAGGAAGAGGTTTAAAGATGTTTAAAGATGACTTCTGGCCGGGCGCAGTGGCTCACGCTTGTAATCCCAGCACTTTGGGAGGCTGAGGCGGGCGGATCACAAGGTCAAGAGATCGAGACCATCCTGGCTAATGCGGTGAAACCCCGTCTCTCCTAAAAATACAAAAAAAAAATTAGCCGGGCGTGGTTGTGGGTGCCTGTAGTCCCAGGTACTCGGGAGGCTGAGGCAGGAGAATGGCGTGAACCCGCCAGGCGGAGCTTGCAGTGAGCCGAGATCACGGCACTGCACTCCAGCCTGGGCGACAGAGCAAGACTCTGTCTCAAAAAAAAAAAAAAAAAAGACTTCTGCAGGCCGGGTGTGCTGGCTCACACCTATAATCCCAGCACCTCGGGAGGCTGAGGCGGGAGGATCACTTGGGGTCAGGAGTTTGAGACCACCTGGCCTACATGGTGAAACCCCGTCTCTACTGCAGAAATTAGCCAAGCATGGTGCTAGACACCTGTAGTCCCAGCTACTGAGGAGGCTGAGGCAGGAGAATCGCTTGAACCCAGGAGGCGGAGGCTGCAGTGAGCCAAAAAAAAACAGAAAGAAAGACTTCTGTGCACATAAATGACTAGTGGCAGTTACTTCGGTTTTAAAATATATATATTTAAGGTATTAAAGTTCTACACTTAAAAACCTAGTTTTTCCTTAAGTGTTGAAGATCAGCTTAAAAACCTGACCATGCTGTGGATAAATCCAGCCAGTTCTAACAACTGTTTACAGAGGGGCTTGTGGTTTACGTTCAGTCTCATTTACAAGCTGGTTTAAATGAGAACTCTTAAACCTTTTAAATTATATATTTAATTGCTTCAAATACTGCAATTGAATAACAAACAAAACATTCCCTAGGTCTTTGGTCCTTAAACATTGGCCACACTCCCTTTACTAAATTCCTTTTAGTTTCAAACTAAAATATCATAGGACTAAATTAAAATACTCAATTAGGCATTGCAAATCCATGTCCCTTTCTAGGTGGGTTTAGTTCCCTGTGGGTCAGAGTCACTGACTGGGAGCCAGGCCTGGAGCTAAGGACAGCCACCAGATGGCTTTTTCATGACAAAAAGGGACAAGTTTTATATTCTCCATAAAGCCAATAGGGGGCCAGGTGTGGTGGCTCAAGCCTCTAATCCCAGCACTTTGGGAGGCCAAGGCAGGAGGATCACTGGACCCCAGGAGTTCAAGACCAGCATGAGCAATGTAGCAAAACCCCATCTCTACCAAAAAAAAAAAATTAAAAATTAGCTGAGTGTGGTGGTGCACGCCTGTAGTCTCAGCTACTTGGGAGGCTACAGTGGGAGGATCGCTTGAGCCTGGAAGTTAGAGGCTGCAGTGAGCTGTGATCACACCACTGCACTCCAGCCTGGGTGACAGAGTGAGACTGTCTCAAGAAACAAAAAAAAAAAACCCTGTGTAAGGCTCCTCCACACAGTGAAGCCTTCCTGACATGCCCTGCCTGCCCCACAAAGGAATCCTTCCCTTCCCCACCAGACGGATTCTGGATCTTGTGCTCTGGACCCCTTTGCCAATGTAGTAAAAACTATAGAGCCCTTTTCAGGGTACCATTTATACAGCATAACATAAAATACATAAGGTTACAAATGAAACCAAATATATTGAAAATATTACCAAGTGTTTTTAAAACAGTAACTGGGTGATATAATGATCTTTACTGTTATTAGGCAGGTCTATGGCTGATCTAATAGCTGCTATGGGTTCAAATGGTGAGCCTCACTGACACTTCTAGATCTGCTACAACTGAAACGCAGCAGGACAATGTCTGTGATGGTAACAAACTCAGGGACCCTGCTAATACTACTCTGGTTTGTTGCCTATGTTCGTGATTAAAGAAAATGCTAGATTTCAGGTAGAAATTAGTGAGACTAAAGATACAAGTTTCCCCTGCACTCATGGAACCCCTGAATTCTGTCAACAGACCCCAGGACAGGAAGCTCTGCACCATTTCCATACCTTCTGTGAGCTCTGTTCTTCTCTGGATATTCCATCTCTCCCTGGACGATGGTGGGGGCGCTCTTGTTAAGAATGATGGCAGGACCGGACGTGGTGGCTCACTCCTGGAATCCCAGCAATTTTGGACATTGAGGCAGGCCCATCACTTGAAGTCAGGAATTCGAGACCAGCCTGGCCAACATGGTGAAACCCCGTCTCTACTAAAAATATAAAAATTAGCCAGGCTTGGTGGTAGGCAACTGTGGTGGCAGCTACTTGGGAGGCTGAGGCAGGAGAATCGTTTGAACCTGGGAGGCGGAGGTTGCACTGAGCCGAGATTGCACTGCACTCTAGCCTGGATGACAGAGTGAGATTCCATCTCAAAAAAAAAAAAAAAAAGAAAGAAAGAAAAAAAAGAAAGAAAGAATGATGGCAACCAGCGTTTGCAGAGGGCTTAGTATAGGCCAGGTACTACGAAAAGCCTTTCATATGCATTATTTTCTCCAGTCCTCCCAGCAACTATTAGCTTGGTGCAAAAGTAATTGTGGTTTTTGGCCAGGCACGGTGGCTCACACCTGTAATCCCACGACTTTGGGAGGCTGAGGCAGGCAGATTGCTTGAGGTCAGGAGTTCGAGACCAGCCTGGCCAACACAGTGAAACCCTGTCTCTACTAAAAATACAAAAATTAGCCGGGAGTGGTGGCGCATGTCTGTAATCCCAGCTACTGGGGAGGCTAAGGCAGGAGAATCGCTTCAACCCAGGATTGCGGTGAGCCGAGATCATGCCACTGCACTCCAGCCTGGGACACAGAGTGAGATCCTGTCTCAAAAAAAAAAAAAAAAAGCAAACAAAAAACAAAAGCAATTGCGTTTTTTGCCGTTGGAAGTAATGGCAAAAACAACGATTACTTTTGCACCAACCTAATAGTAGGCTTTGGATGCAGGTTAGTCTGACATTCCATTCTGCTGTTCGTCAACACCAAGCCAGTGTGTCCACATGCCTGCTTCTCCCATTAGACAGTAGCCCTTCAACAGCAGGGATGATCAGAGTCATCTTGGTGTGTGCAGCTAACACAGATGCCTGGCACAGAAGAGGCACTTGCTTTCCACCTGCTGGCTGGTCACGAAGACGATGCACACACATGCACAGACATGAGCACACAAGCACACACAGGAGTGGACCAGGCCGAGTGTGGGGGGACACACGCCTACCCTCTTTAGAGCCCAGCCATGCTGACCTCCAATCACACATCCTATTCACTCGCCTACTTCTGCTGCCACCTAACCAAACTTCCTGGCTTTCGGTATAAACAAATCCTTTCTAGAGAAATAAAGCATTCCTAGTTCACTTTTGAGAAAGGTGAGCCCCCTGGGGAACTGCAGTGCTGAGAAGTCTGGCGGGAAGGGCACATTCATGGGACTTGATGACAGGGAGGGACTGGCTGGATCTGCTTTGAGCACAGTCCAACCATCTTTATAGTTCATCACAACCAGCCTTTAAAATGCTTCGGGAACATCAGGATAGTGATCACCAGCAGGGCACCGAGCACAGGGCGTAAAGGGGGCTTCTGAGAGGGGGTGTGATGTTCTGTTTCCCGATGTGGGTGCCAGTTCCTCCAAAGTGGTCGGTGTATGAGTGGTCATGGGGCCACACTTAGGTACCTGCGGTTCTCTGTATGTATTTCATATTCCAATACAAAGCTCCAAAAATTGCTTCAGAAGTCAGTTAAGCTTCTCTTCCTCCAGATTCCAAACTCATATGCCAAAAGTTCATTTCTCTGCAGGCCAAAATGGAGCAGCCTTTTATAAACAGGCTTCCTAGAGTTTTGCCCCAAAATATTCCTGTATCCCAGCAGCAAGCACCCTGATGCCCACCCAGTGGTCTGTATCTGTGTCAACCAGCGGTTCTCAGCCTGGCCTCATCCAGGGCCTGAAGCCTACTACAGAACCCCCAGCAGCACGTGGGGTGCACAGCAAAGATCAGCCCTGGACACAGCCGGGTGCTCAGGGCGGGGTGAGGGGGCAGGAGGCAGGACGCAGGAGGTGAGCTGTCCGGGCGGGGCAGGATGAGGGAGTCCTGCATTGCAGAGCTAAGGGGGAGAATCATCAGCACCCTAATTAGCTCTTGATGGCTTCCAAAGCCTTTTAAGTCCTTTTTTTTTTTTTTTTTTTTTATCCCTACAAGAACTCTGAGTGGTAAACAGGACAAGTAACATAATTCCCAGGATACAGGTAAGGACACTAAAGCCCAACCCAAACTGGTGGGTAGCAAGGCCAGGCCCAAACCCAGAGCTCTGGGCTCTAAGCCAGCACCTACTCCCCAACACAGAAAGGAGGTGGGAGCAGCCGGGCCCTAGCCAACCACTCCCGGCCCCTTGGCAGATCAGGCAGAGTGAGGGCACAGGAGGGAGAGAAGACCTCTATGCAGACCAGTGCAGCCAGGCAGGGGTGAGGAGCCCCTGCCACCACCACCAAAGACAAAACTGAGCCTCGATCCAATGCAGACTCCAGGAAATATGGGGCAGGTCCATGACCTTGTGAGAAGGGAATCAGTCAAATCCAAAATGTGGGACATGTACGGGACAACTGACCCAGTTTCTTTAATGAGTCAATGGCATTAAACTAAGGAGGGGTGACAGTTCTAAATTAAAAGACACTTTCAAAGGACCTCAAGACGGCAGTGCATACCGTGAGCAGATCTTATTTAGATCCTGATTTAAGTAACTCAACTATAAAAAGACGTTTTTTTGAACAGAGCAATTTAATTTGGTACTTGGTACATTTAATGTGGCAGTTGGATATTCAATGATATTAATCTTCAATTTACCAGCAGGGTCCAGTGAGTTCTTTTTTTTTTTTTTTTTTTTTTTTTTGGAGACAGAGTTTCACTCTTGTTGCCCTGGCTGGAGCGCAGTGGCACAATCTTGGCTCACTGCAACCTCTGCCTCCCAGGTTCAAGTGATTCTCCTGCCTCAGCCTCCTGAGTAGCTGGGATTACAGGCATGCAACACCACACTCAGCTAATTTTTTTGTATTTTTAGTAGAAGTGGAGTTTCACCCTATTGGTCAGGCTGGTCTTGAACTCCTGACCTCAAGTGATCTGCCCGCCTCAGCCTCCCAAAGTGCTGGGATTATAGGCGTGAGCCACCACTCCTGGCCTATTTTTATTTTTTTAGTTTACTTTTTGAGTAGTTCTAGCACTGTATAAGGATTAATAGTTTGTGAATTTTATTCTGTCTTAGAGACCTTCTACAGAACAAAACCCATTCTGTCTTGCAATTCCTACAGGGATTGGTTCAAGCCTTTTGTAAATCTAAGATATATTTTGGAATCAGGAATCTTATTTTTCCTGTATCTTGAAATATTTTTCTATTTCATCATCCTGAGAATTATTTCATCATCACTCATTTAAGTATTTCCAGTTATGCTAAAAGAGACTAAAATAACAAAAAAATGAAAAGCTGATGCACTTGCCTAAAAAGCAGAATGAAATAAACCATCTCTGCCACAGTATCCTTCCGTTTTCTCACTACATTGCTAACAGTATTGCATCAACTTTCAAGAAGGTAGAAGATAATTCTGGAGATGACAGGCTTTCCTTTGTTTCACTCTTATTGAACAATACAATCAAGCATTCTGAATTTTTCATTTTTCACCCATAACAGCAAGGAGAAGAAAGTTGACTGAGGGAGACATTCATAATTATAGGCAATTAGAAGCGGGGGAAGGCCCAACACAGTGGCTCATGCCTGTAATTCCAGCACTTTGGGAGGCTGAGGTGGGCGGATCACTTGAGGCCAGGAGTTTGAGACCAGCCTGGCCAACATGGCCAAACCCATCTCTACTTAAAATACAAAAATGAGCCAGGCGTGATGGTGAATGCCTGTAATCCCAGCTACTTGGGAGGCTGAGGTGGGAGGATTGCTTGAACCTGGGAGGCAGAGGTTGTGGTGAGCTGAAATCACACCACTGCACTCCAGCCTAGGAGACACAGCAAGCCTCCATCTCAAAAAAAAAGAAAGAAAAGAAGAAGAAGAAGAAGAAGCAGCTAGGGGAAGGCCAAGCTCCATGGCTCAGGCCTGTAATCCAGCACTTTGGGAGGCTGGGGTGGGTGGGTTGCTTGAGCCTAGGAGTTCGAGACCAGCCTGGGCAACATGACAAAACCCCACCTCAAAAAAAAAAAAAAAAGAAAGAAAGGAAGGAAGAAAGGAAGGAAGGAAAAGAAAAATTGTCCAGGTGTGGTGGTGCATGCCTGTAGTCCCAGATACTCCAGAGGCTGAGGTGGGAGGATTGCCTGAGCCTGGGAGCTAGAGGCTACAGTGAGCTATGATCACACCACTGCACTCCAGCCTGGGTGACAGAGCAAGACCCTGTCTCTTTAAAAGAAAAAAATATATATATATATGGTAGAAGGGACAGACAGCCACTCTGTCCCATTAGCCAGAGGCTAATGATGATGGTGAAATCAATCAAATGGGATAAATTTCAGTGAGCATTCAGATGACCATATCCCAGACAAATTTTCTCAAATCCATATTTCTAATGACACAAAAAATTTGCATTCAATTAACAGGCAAGACTTCACTCAATATTTTGTAATAAGAACTTGGACCACTGCATTTTTTCTAAAAGGATGTATGATGGTATACTTTCACATTTTTTGATGTTTGTGAACAAAATGGGATACATTTCATAAGTGGACAAATGCCAAAAGCAGGTGTTTATACAAAGATACTGAGAGGAAATAGATAATGCAAAATTTTAAATTAATTGATCATTCTAATGGGTGTTTATAGATCAAAAAATGAAAATGTTTTGCAATCATGGAACAAAGAAAATGGCCACACTGTCTCCAACAAAATTGTAAGTGTCAACGATTTCAAAAAGTTCATCCAAATATCACATTTTGACAACATCAGTGCAAGAAGAAGGAAAAGTAATGTTAGCTTAGACACCCCTAGAAGTGCAGTTGAAACCTGGAATTAGCACTTTTAAGGTGGATGAGTTCCAGGCTCATGCAAGGCAGGTGATAAGTAGCCAGTTGCATTCAAAGGATGCTACCAATATACCTTCAAAATCACAAACATGGAATAAAAAGTTCAGTTTGCTATGTCTTCATTCTAAAATGTCTAATGAAGTTGTATTTCACCATCCCTTTATTCTTACTTCTGCAAATGACCAACAGGGACGCCTCAGAGATACTGCAGGTTCTGTTCCAGACCACTCAATAAAGCTAATACTACAAGAAAGTGAGTCACAGTTTCCCAGTGCATATAGAAGTTATGCTTACGTTATAGTATAGTCTATTTATAGTCTATTAAGTGTGCAATAGCATTGTGTCTAAAAAAACAAAGTACATACCTTAATTTAAATATTTTTATTTCTGGCTGGGTGCAGTGGCTCACACCTATAATCCCAGCATTTTGAGAGGCTGAGGCAGGAGGATCATTTGAGGCCAGGAGTTTGAGACCAGCCTGGCAACACAGAGAGATCACATCTTTATATATATATATATAATTGCTAAAAAACATGCAGACAATCACATGAACATTCAGTGAGTGGTAATCATCTTGCCGGTGGGGGTCTTGGCTCAATGTTGATGGCTGCTGACTGATCAGGGTGGTGGCTGCTGAAGGTTGGGGTGGCCATGGCAATTTCTTAAAATAAGACAGCAACGAAGTTGGCTGCATAAAGTGACTCTTCCTTTCATAAAAAAATTTCTCTGCAGCATACAATGCTGTTCGATAGCATTTTATCCACCGTAGAACTTCTTTGAAAATTGGAGTCCATTCTCTCATACCCTGCCACTGCTTTATCAACTGAATTTATGTAATATCCTAAATCCTGTGCAGTCATTTCAACAATGTTCACAGCATCATCACTAGGAGTAGTTTCCATCTAAAGAAACCACTCTCTTCGCTCATTCATAAGAAGCAACTCCTCATCTGTTCAAAGTTTTCTCATGAGATTATAGCAATTCAGTCACATCCTCAGGCGTCATTTCTAATTCCAGTTCTCTTGCTATTTCCACCACATCTACAGCTCTTTCCTCCACTGAAGTCTCAAACCCCTCAAAGTCATCCATGAGGTTGGAATCAACTTCTTCCAAACTTTTGTCAATGTTGGCTGGGCGCAGTGGCTCATGCCTATAATCCCAGCATTACAGGAGGCCGAGGTAGGTGGATCACTTGAGCTCAGGGGTTCGAGACCAGCCCAGCCAAAAAATACAGAAATACAAAAATTAGCCAGGTGTGATGATAGGCACCTGTAGCTACTCGGGATGCTGAGCTTGGAGAATCATTTGAGCCAGGGAGGAGGAGGTTGCAGTGAACTGAGATTGCGCTGTTGCACTCCAGCATAGGCAATGGGAATGAAACCCTGTCTCAAACAAAACAAACAAACAAACAAACAAAAAACCCAATCAAACTCTTGTCAATGTTTGTTGATATTTTGACTTCTTCCCATGAATCACAAATCTTCTTCATGGCATCTAGAATGGTGAATCCTTTCCAGAAGTTTTTCAGTTGACTTTGCCCAGATCCACCAGAGGAATCACTATCTATTGCCTTATGAAATGTATTTCTTAAATAACAAGACTTGAAAGTCAAAATCACTCTTTGCAGAGTGGACGTTGTGTGAGGAGGCATGAAAACAATATTAATCCCCTTGTACATCTCCATCAGAGCTTTTGGGTGACGAGGTGCATCGTCTATGAGCAGTAATATTTTGAAATAATTTTTTTTTTTTTCTGAGCAGTAGGTCTTACCAATGGACTTAAAATATTCAGAAAACCACACTGCAAACAGATGTGCTGTCATCCGGGCTTTATTGTTCTATTTATAGAGCAGAGGTAGAGTCAATTTAGCATATTCTTTTTGTTTGTTTGTTTATTTTGAGATGGAGTCTCACTCTGTCACCCAGTCTCGAGTGCAGTGGCACAATCTCAGCTCACTGCAACCTCCACCTCCCGGGTTCAAGCAATTCTTCTGCTTCTGCCTCCCCAGTAGCTGGAACTACAGGCACGTGCCACCACACCTGGCTAATTTTTTTTGTATTTTTAGTAGAGATGGGGTTTCACCATATTGGCCAGGCTGGTCTCAAACTCCTGACCTCATGATCCACCCACCTCAGCCTCCCAACGTGCTAGAATTACTGGCGTGAGCCACCACGACTGGACATTTTTTTGGAGGGGGGGTCGGGGGGCTATGGGGTCTTGCTCTGTTACCCAGGCTTTAATGCAGTGACACAATCTCAGGTCACTGCAGCCTCTGCCTCCCAGGTTCAAGAAATTCTCCCACCTCAGCCTCCCGAGTACCTGGGATTACAGGGGTGCACCATCATGCCTGGCTAATTTTTGCATTTTTAGTAGAGATGGGGCTTCGCTATGTTGGCCAGGCTGGTCTTGAACTCCTGATCTCAAGTGATCTGCCCACTTCGGCCTCCCAAAGTGCTGGGATTACAGGCGTGAGCCACCACGCCCGGCCAATTTAGCATATTCTTAAGTGTCCTAGGATTTTCTGAATGGTAAACAAGCACTGGCTTCCATGTAAAGTCACCAGCTGCATTAGCCACTAACAAGAGAGTCAGCCTGTGCTTTGAAGCTCTGAAGCCAGACATTGACTTCTCCTCTCTAGCTATGAAAGCCCTCTTTCTATGAACCAACCTCTGGTGGCTTTCAACTTTTCTTCTGCATCTCCCTCACCTCTCTCAGCCTTCACAGAATTGAAGAGAGTGAGGGCCATGCTCTGGATGAGGCTTTGGCTTAAGGGAATGTTGTGTTTGGTTTGATCTATCCAGACTCCAACTCCCTCCATAGCAGCAGTGAGGGTGTTTCACTTTCTCATCATCCATGTGTTCACCGGAGTAGCACATTTAAATTTCCTTCAAGAACTATTCCTTTGTGTTCACAACTTGGCTGTCTGTCGCAAGAGACCTAGCTTTTGGCCTATCTTGGCTTAAGGAGGCCTGAGGAGTTGGAGAGAGATGGGGGAGCGGCCGGTCTGAGGAGCACTCAGAACACACAACGTTTATCCATTAAGTTCACTATCTCAGAAGAACACGGTTTGTGGTCCCCCAAAACAGTGATGATGGTAACATCACAGATCATCGTAACAGATATAATTCTAATGAAAAAGTTGGAAATACTGTAAGAATTAGCAAAACGTGACAAGACAGACATGAAGTGAGCACATGTTGTTGGGGAAAAAATGATAGATTTGCTCACAGACCTTGAATTTGTTTAAACATTAAAACAATATCTGCAAGATGCAATTAAGTGAAATGCAATCAAATGAGGTTTGCCTGTATTTCTAAAATGACTTAAACGTTGAAAATGTAAAGGGTCCTTTGGACCCACAGAGCCAGTGGTGACGCTGAGGGGGAAGCAATTGCTGTCGATGCTGTAAGGTGTAACAGGGGCCCTTTAGTTACTTAAGAAAATGACCTTGGCCAGGCGTGGTGGCTCATGCCTGTAATCCTAGCACTTTGGGAGGCTGAGGCAGGAAGATCCCTGGAGTCCAGGAGTATGAGACCAGCTTGGGCAACATAGGGAGGCCCTGTCTCTTAAAAAGAAAGAGAGGAAAGAAGGAAGGAAGGAAGGAAAGGAGGGAGGGAGGGAGAGAGAGAGAGAAGGAAAGAAAGAAAGAAAGAAAGAGAGAGAGAGAGAGAAAGAAAGAAAGAAAGAAAGAAAGAAAGAAAGAAAGAAAGAAAGAAAGAAAGAAAGGGAAAATGACCTTCTTTGGGCTGGGCGTGGTGGCTCATGCCTGTAATCTCAGGACTTTGGAAGGCCGAGGTGGGAGGATTGTTTGACCTCAGGAGTTTGAAACCAGCCTGGGCAACATAGCAAAACCTTGTCTCTACTAATAATACAAAAATTAGCGAAGCACAGTGGCAAGTGCCTGTAGTCGCAGCTACACAAGAGGCTGAGGTGGAAGGATCACTTAAGACTGGGAGGTAGAGGCTGCAATGAGCCATGATCATGCCACCATGCTCCAGCCTCAGTGACAGAGTAAGATCCTCTCTTGAAAGAAAAAGAGAGAGAGAAAGAAAGAGGAAGGGAGGAAGGGAGGGAGGAAGGGAGGGAGGGAAGGAGGGAGGGAAGGAGGGAAGGAAGGAAGGAAGGAGAGAGAGAGAGAGAGAAAGAAAGAAAGAAGAAAGAGAGAGAAAGAAAGAAGAGAGAGAGAAAGAACAGAAAGAAAAGAGAAAGAAAGAAAGAAGAAAGAAAGAAAAAAGAAAGAAGAAAGAAAAAAGAGAGAAAGAGGAAGGGAGGGAGGAAGGGAAGGAAGGAAAGAAGGAAGGAAGGAAAGAAGGAAGGAAGGAAAGAAGGAAGGAAGGAAGGAAGGAAGGAAGGAAGGAAGGAAGGAAGGAAGGAGGGAAGGAAAATAAATGACCAGGATGCTTTGTTGAGATGCTGGGCAAAGCGAGGGTGGCTGGCAAGGCCGAGTGGTTGCCGTGAGTGCTGCTGTTTGCTCTGCTCCTGTGAATGTCGGACCTCTCCATAATACTTTTCTTCAGAAACGAGAACAGGAGAATGCTTCAGCAATGCAGCTGTCACTCTGCACAACTGGGAGTGCAAATGACATGCCCTAGTCAGGCCCTGGCATGGAACGTGTCCACCTCCACACTGGGAATAGCAGAAGCCCCACCGGCCGGTCTATCCTGGCTGCCCCAGAGCCTGAGACCCAGTCCTAGCCCAGCAGGTGGTCCAGAGGGAGAGGAGCTCAGGCCCCCAGGGAGGCTCCAAGGCGGGTCTTATCAACACCACTCAGTCAACCGGCCTTGAGAAGGTCAGTCTGAGGGTAGATGGAATCCCAGCTCCTGTCCATCAAGGCACAGGCCTTGATCTTAGGACAACTACTGGTGGGGGGCTGTTCCCTCCCCAGCACAGCAGCTGACAAATGGGGATCCCAGCAAAAACTGCCAGAATCCCTGAAGTTAAAGCTCCATCAGTGCCATGTTTTTGGGTACCTCCTTCCCCAGGCAATGGCAGCAGAAAAGTTTGTGAGAAACCAAGGCTGGCAGGTGCCCAAGAAGGCCAAGAGTGGATGCCATAGGAAGGCTGGGGAAGCCATGGAAGGCACTGCCTTCTCTGCCAGGCCACCACAGTGGTCCCCAGGGCCAGGCTTGATGACAGGCCCCTACATGCCCTTACCCAGCTCCAGCCAGGGTGCCGGGGGGTCAGGCAACCCATCCAGGCCGGTCTCCTTCACAGCTCTGCCCAGAGTCTCTCCAAGATGTGCAGCTGCTTTCTAAGCTGAAACGTCTCCTGGTCCAGTGGGGCCCACTAGCACAACCAGCTCGTCCTGGTTTTAGCAGCGAAAGCCCTGTGTGCTCATCCTGGGGCCTGCTTGCCCATCATTTAAATAACCAAGGAAGGCTGGGTGTGGTGGCTCACGCCTGTAATCCCAGCACTTTGGGAGGCCAAGGTGGGCGGGTCACTTGAGGTCAGGAGTTTGAGACCAGCCTGGGCAACATGGTGAAACCCCATCTCTACTAAAAATACAAAAATTAGCCTGGTGTGGTGCTGCACGCCTGTAATCCCAGCTATTTGGGAGGCTGAGGCACGAGAATCGCTTAAACCCAGGAGATAAAGGTTGCAGTGAGCCGAGATCACACCACTGCACTCCAGCCTGGGTGACAGAGTGAGACCCTGTCTCAAATAAATAAATAAATAGATAAATAGATAAATAAATAAATAAATAACCAAGGGAGGCTGACCCAAGCAATTCTTCCCAACATTCTTCTAGCCTTTCCTGATCACTCTTGAAAACTGCTGGAAAATTCTCTACCTTAAGAACGCTGGGAAAATCTATCTCCACACTCCCCCTGCCCCATACATACCCACATATGGATGGAGCCTCTCTGAAGGCTTCTCAAGCTTTTGACTGTGACCCCACTATAAGAAATAGGTTTACATTATTGCCCAGTGCGCACACACAAGTACACACACACATGCACACACTCAGGAGTCATAATAGTAAGTACTTAGAGACAATGATAACAGAGACAGGTTGGAGTCAAATAACCAACCCTTCTCACCAGGGACCCAGGAATAGATGCGGCAGCCCCTCGCCGCAGCCTCCGCCTGGGGACAGCTTTTCTGGGGGAAGGCCTCAGGGCAGAATGCAGCCTCCACCTTCCCAGGGCTCAGCTTGGGGGTCAGTGGGAAAAGTCAGAAAGCAAAGATGCAGGGCCAGCCTCTATTCCCCAATCAGGAAGAAACACCGAGAGGGAGAAGCCTCTGCCCGAGACAGGAGGCCCCGGCTGTTTTGTGGGCTGTGCCAGGAGCATCCGGTTTCCAGCCTTGGTTCCCAGGAGTGGTTTCTCCTCCCAGGGCCCCTCTGGCCTCATCTACAAAATAACCTGCAACACCGTGGCACCACTAAGCGCTGTCTTCAGATTCGGAGAGTTTACAAAGATCGTTCTCTCCCTCACTTATTCTACAAATCTTTGTTATGTTACCCAAAAACATCAGACACTGAGCCAAGCACTAGAGCTTAAAAAGACAAAGAAGTCACAGTCCCAGAGCCCACAGAGTCTCAGAGCCCAGCCCAGAGGCACGGGCTCCCCGACCCAACACGCTGCACACGGATCCATATGTGCGCCTGTGTGTTGGGGACGGGGGTGTGGGCAGGGCACAGAGCTGCTCATGGTGGCCAGGTCCCCTGTGCTACAAGTAAGGCAGCTCCTGCCATTGCCACCTCGTCCTCTAGAGAAGCCTTTCCACGAGCCACGCTGTGGTGTTGCCTTTTCCCCGGATGGTCCACGGAGGTTGCAATGCTCAATTAACACGCTCTGAGAATGGAAGTGACAGTGTAGCACAAAGCAGAGGTGACACGCGTGAGCTCACGGCCGGGTCCCCTCCAGCGTCCACCCCCCAAGAAGTCCCCCGCTGTCTGGGCCACCAGTTTCATTCAGCAAATACTATTCTATAAACAGCTGACCCAGATTCTCCGCTTGAATTAGGACGTTTCCCAGGCAGTTGAGGATGTACAGGGATGAATTTCAATGTTGCTTAAAAGCATTAAAGCTTGAAGGCACACTCAGGCCACTCTTCCATGGGGACAATGCTGCTGGCACCATCCGAAGGCCACAGCCCCCAGGCAGCCAGGACCCTCCCAGCGCCTCTCTCGCTCAGGGTTGACTCAAGGAACCTCTGCGGAAAGAGGCGTTTTAAACTTTAATTAACCTACGTTCTTCCCTACGCCTCGTGACCTGACTTTCCATCCTCTCTCCAAAGGGACCTGCAGCAGCAATACAGTCACATTCCATTTTAACCCCAACGCCCGTCAAACGTGGCTTGGCCCCCAGAGCAAAAGACAGGAGCATCAGCAAGTAGGGAGGAAGCGGGGACAGACGCACAGGCCAGGGCCACAATCCCCTTGACCCTCCATGCATCCTCACGGAGGCAAGGTGAGGGAGAGGTCCAGCTGTTCACGCTGGGGGAGTGTGGAGGCTGTGAGAATGCACCTCCCTCACCCCCCACAGCCCCAGGAAGTGTCATCGGCCCTGGTCCCAGGTGCTGGGCTCTGAAATCCATGTTCCCCCAGGCTGCTCCCAGCCAGTGGTCTGGCACGGCAAGGGTACCGAGGCAGGCCCATTCCCAGGGGACAGGAGATTTGCCAATGGCCCTGTGGGCCCTTTCCTCAGGGCCGGACCTGCAGCACAGATCCATAGCCCTCCCCAGCTCCTTCTAGGAGGGCCCAGGTTAACAAACAGACCAGCCACCGACACCACAGCTCATGCCGCCGCCATTCCTCACCCAGTGGTGGCACAGGCGTCCCAGCTGGCAGCCCCTGACACCCTGGCCCCCAGGCTCCATCCTCCATGCAGCGACCAGACCAACCCTTCGAAAACATGAATATGAGGCCAGGTGTGGTGTAATCCCAGCACTTTGGGAGGCCAAAGTGGGAGGAGAGCTTGAGCCCAGGAGTTTGAGATCAACCTAGGCAACCAGAGTGAGACCTTGTCGCAACAAAATAAAGTTTTTTTAAAAAAGTAAGTTAAATTAAATGATTACAAAGACTTGTGACCGAAAGGCTCACAGAGCACCAAAAAGAAGACCCACGCCCGCAGACTAAGAGGAAAAGAAAATCTAAACAGCCAAGACCAAGTGGAGAAATCTATGTCTGAAACAATACAGAAGTAAAAGACCAGAAGTTGTTAGTACAAGAGGAATCAGGGCATCCTGGGAGACCAAAGGATGCGGGCAGCTGGTGTGTCTGTGTCTGCTCAGGAGAGCACACAGAAGTTAATTCAGAAAACAGACAGCATTGAAAAGAAATACAGGGCCGGGCATGGTGGCTCACACCTGTAATCCCAGCACTTTGGGAGTCTGAGGCAGGCAGATCACGAGGTCAGGAGATGGTGCCCATCCTGGCCAGCATGGTGAAACCCCATCTCTACTAAAAATACAAAAATTAGCTGGGCGTGGTGCCGCATGCCTGTAATCCCAGCTACTCGGGAGGCCCAGCCAGGGGAATCGCTTGAACCCAGGAGTCGGAGGTTGCAGTGAGCTGAGATCATGCCACTGCACTCCAGCCTGGGCAACAGAGCAAGACTCTGTCTCAAAAAAAGAAAAAAGGCTGGGCGCAGTGGTTCACACCTGTAATCCCAGCACTTTGGGAGGCGGAGGCGGGTGGATCACGAGGTCAGGAGATCAAGACCATCTTGGCTAACATGGTGAAACCCCGTCTCTACTAAAAATACAAAAATAAAAAAATTAGCCAGGCGTGGTGGCGGGCGCCTGTAGTCCCAGCTACTCGGGAGGCTGAGGCAGGAGAATGGCGTGAACCCAGGAAGCGGAACTTGCAGTGAGCGGAGATCGCGCCACTGCACTCCAGCCTGGGTGACAGAGCAAGACTCCGTCTCAAAAAAAAAAAAAAAAAAAAAGAGAAGAGAAAAGAAATACAGAAAAAGTGGGACCAACTGATGTAACAGATTAAAATGGTAGAAACGGGTCTAAATAGATCAACAATTACAATGAAAGAAAGTGGACTAAATCTATCAGTCAAATGACAGACACAGATGCTGTGGATTTTTAAAAACATCATGACACACACAGTTTCCCAAAGACACACATAAAGCCTAAGGACACACAGAGGTGGAAACAAAAGGCGGAAGTGATGAAGCCGTGAATGCTTGCCAAGGGATGATATGATCAGCTGAAAGAGACTCTGAGACAAAGCTTCATTGGGGATAGAGATGGCCACTAAGTAAGATAAAAGGTTCGATTCACCCTGATGACAAAGCGATTTTAAACCTAAGTGCCCCTGACAGAGTGGCCTCGAAAACCATGACATGCACAGAGAAACAGGCGAGCACCGATCTTACTGGGGGGGGTCTCAACACATCCCTCAATATATTGATCGTTCAAATATCAACAGAAAAGCAGCAAGGGCTGAGATCTGAAACTCAGTCAACAACGTGCATATAGTGTTTTGCAGCCCAAGAAGAAAAAATGCTCACAGGGGCCATTTTCGGAAATCTGTCACGGACTACCCCTGGCCACAAGAAAGGGCTTCCGTGCCCTTCAAAGACCAGGTCTCCCCCAGACCATGAGCCTGGACCAAGCACACGAAGACAAGATGTTCCCAACAAAAGGGAGAGATTTTAAAAGAAGATCTCGCATGTTTGTTTTGGATAGCATAAAACACCACTAAGTCATTCACGGGTTAAAGAAAAATATCAGAGTGGAAATACCTATAACATAGTTGGAATTCTGGAAGGAAATTGGCAATGGCTAAGTTTTCTAGAATTGAGAAAAGAAAGATATTGGCATCCAGCTTCAGAGAGCCCAGCTCTTGCTCTCGGGAAATGAGGCAGAAACAAGACTCGGTACCAAACATGTGAGGCCAGGAAACAGAACAGCAAGTGGAACCTACAAGTGTGCCCTATAGGTCCTGAGAGTGAGAGCCCCCAGGTGGTGAGTGGGGCAGCTGGGCAGCCAGGGGTCAGACGTCTGTTTACACACAGACACACACGACAACACGCACACAAGGAACCGCCCCTCCTGCTCCGTTCTCTGGCATGCACGGCCTTGATATCTGTTTTTCAGGTTGACTGGAGATTGTTGGCCACATTTGCCAAGAAAAGATAAGCAATCCTCACCACGGGCTCACCCATGGTGCACAGAACTCCCAGCCCGGAGATCCAGCCACTTCTGAGAACAGAATCAACAGCCACTTAGAAGGCTCAGCCTAGGCTGGGCATAGTGGGTCATGCCTGTAATCCCAATACTTTGGGAGGCAGAGGATCACTTGAGCCCAGGAGTTCAAGACCAGCCTGGGCAACA
Source organism: Homo sapiens (assembly GCF_000001405.40). Classification (NCBI taxonomy): domain Eukaryota; kingdom Metazoa; phylum Chordata; class Mammalia; order Primates; family Hominidae; genus Homo; species Homo sapiens. The sequence continues at coordinate 103,314,976 of NC_000014.9, forward strand.
TGGTGAAAGCCCCTCTCTACAAAAAAAAAAAAAAAGCCAGGCATGATGGCCTGCACCTGTGGTCCCAGCTACTCGGGAGGGGGAGATGGGAGGATCGCTTGAGCCCAGGAGGTCAAGGCTGCAGTGAGCCGAGATCAAACTGAACCACTGCACTCCAGCCCGGGAAACAGGAAAATACCCTGCCTCAAAAAAAAAAAAAAAAAAAAAAAAGAAGAAGAAGAGAAGAAAAGAAAAAGAAAATGAAAATGAAAAAGGAAAAGAAGGCCCAGTCTAGGTGCAACTTAAGCCCACCAGCATCCTTCGAACCATAGCAGATCAAATTAAAACAAGCCATTGGCCCAATTCTAACTTTCTTATGGGCAAAATGGAAAAACGTCTGGCCTGAGAAGGAAATGCCATGTTACTCCTAGGGTGGGCTGATTAAGTCACTCTTCCCATCCGGGGCCAGAGCAGGATCCGTCAGGACTCAGCTTGTTGTGAAATGAGGCCTTTCCTGGAAATGCTGTTCATAGAACGCGACGAAGCAGCCGTGACATAAGAGCTTGGCATTTTGCTGTGTACAAATCCAGACCTTTCAACAGGATGTTGGGGTGGCCAGCCTGCTCTTTGGAAACACGGGGCTGGCAGAGGCTGCCCCTGCCCCTCGTCCTTGGCCCAGCACTATATTGTCTTTGTGTCATGGACAGAGACCAACACTTCTCCTACGTCCCCTCCTACTTGGAGTTAATCCCAGCCCAGCCAGTGCAGGGGAGACAGGTGTCGCCACAGAATCACAGTGGCTCCACTCTCTGCCCTCCTGAGCCTCTGGGCAGTCCCACACTGCCAGGTCATCTGCCCAGGAGCCTTCCCAGACCCCGGGCCCCCTCTCCTTCATCTGTATCCAGGCACGTGCCTCGTGACAGAAGCCTTCCCAGACCCCGGCCCCCTCTCCTTCATCTGCATCCAGGCATCAGCCTCGTGACATCTCTTTGGGTTTCAGGCTAATATTAAATACACTAATCATGGTGTGGAAAGAGTTTCTGGGTCAACAATAACCAAAGGCACACAGAGACAAGGATTCGAGGCAGGCACCGCGCTGTGTCCGTCTGTCCTCCACCTCTCCACCCCTGGGTACTTCAGGGGCCCCCTCACAGACTACGGGGTCCTAGGGGGCAGGACAGTGGCCAGTTTACCTGGGATTTCCCAGCAGGGCCTGGCCTGAGGCTGATGGCGCTCAGAGACTGTTCGGGATGAGCAAGCCGGTGCCTCCCTGTACCTCTACATCTGCTCAGCTCCCCGCCGCCAGCCTGACTGGGGCCTCCTTCCTTGGGCTGGCAGACTGCTGGCCTCCCCTAGTCCCCCCACGGGCCTGGCAAAGGGCAGCCTGCCCAGAGCACTGTCCCCAGGGCCACCACTCAGAGCCCTGGGGTGCTCACTTCCACCATGGTTTTTGCTTGTTTGTTTTGTTTCGTTTGAGACAGAGTCTCGCTCTGTCGCCCAGGCTGGGGTGCAATGGCACGATCTTGGCTCACTGCAACCTCCACCTCCCAGGTTCAAGCGATTCTCCTGCCTCAGCTTCCTGAGTAGCTGGGATTACAGGTACCCGCCTCCATGCCCAGATAATTTTTGTATTTTTAGTAGAGACAGGGTTTTGCCATGTTGGCCAGGCTGGTCTCAAACTCCTGACCTCAGGTGATCTGTTCATCTCAGCCTCCCAGAGTTCTGGGATGACAGGCGTGAGCCACCACGCCTGGCCCCACCATGGTTTAAAGTCTTCTTCTTCCCGTGCCACAGAGTCCTTGTGCCGCGAGGCCCAATCACTCCCCAACATCTGTACGTCGGACTTGGACACCCCACCTTCACGCCCACCCCAACTTCACGCCCAGCCACCTTCACGCCCCGCCTCTGCAGCCCCTGTCCCGCCTCTGGCACGCCTCCCACTCCAGGAGCCTTCACAAGCGCTGCTCCCTCTGCCTGGAAAGGCTTTCCTATTCTCCCATCCAAGTACTAACCAGGCCCGACCCTGCTGAGCTTCCGAGATCAGAGGAGATGGGGTGCGCTCAGGATAGTATGGCCATAGACAACCCTCCCCTATTCTGTTCATCTGGCCGCTTCCTGCTCAGCATTTGGGGCTTCATTTAACTGGCAGCTTCCTTAAGGAGGCCTTCCCTGACCCCCTTCCCTTCCCATTCACCCCGGCCCACAATGCACATTGATTCCCTGAACTCAGGGTACTCCTGAAGTACCAATCATCACGTTGCATCATAATTGTTGGTTTCCTTGGAGGCACAGGGTCAGGCTCCGCATGGGCAGGAGAAGTCTTCAGGGTGTGTTTGCTGGATTAACGACAGGTCGATGCCAATACAGGACACCCCTGCAGGTGAGGATCCCCCTCCTCAATCTGATCCTGAGAAGACGCCTTCTCCGGCCCTTTGGTCCCACCCACCCTGACTCTCCCAGGTGAAAAGCAGCTGTTGGTGATATTTGCATGACTGTGCCAGCTGGAACTTTTACTGTAGGGCCGTTTCCTAAGATCATTTCCTAAGACTCTCTCACCACTCTGATGGGGACAGGAAACTGCTCTGGGCACAGCACTTGTGCGATCTCCAGCCACAAAAAGCCGTTAATCTGGCCAAGAGCAGAGGCTTGCGGGTGAAGGGAGTGGAGGGGCTGCTGAAGATGGAGATGGTGCTTAGTTTTTTTTGTGGGTAGAAGAGTGCAGAGAGGCCCCTGCTCATCCCAGGAGAATGAAGTAGGCTTTTTGTTCTAAAGGGCCAGGTCTCTAAAAGCAACGGATTATATTGTTCAGGCTGCGTCAGTGGTGTTTGTGTTTTCAAAAGCAATAGTGGGACGGGCGCAGTGGCTCATGCCTGTAATCCTAGCACTTTGGGAGGCCGAGGTGGGTAGATCATTTGAGGTCAGGAGTTCAAGACCAGCCTGGCTAACATGGTGAAACCCCATCTCTACTAAAAATACAAAAATTAGCCAGGCATGATGGCGGGCACCTGTAGTCCCAGGTACTTGGGAGGCTGAGACAGGAGAATCTCTTGAACCCAGGAGGTGGAGGTTGCAGTGAGCCGAGATTGCACCACTGCCCTTCAGCCTGGGCGACAGAGTAAGACTCTGTCTCAAAAAAAAAAAAAAAAAAGCAAGAGCAGAAAGCTACCAGGCAGTTGCAGGGGGCTCCCTAAAGCCAGCTTATAACCAGGAACCAAAAATAGGGCTTGGCACGAGGAGGGGAAGAGGGGTGTGTGTCTCAATGAGGGGAATGGCAACATCTCTTTGTGCTCTACAGGTTTAAAAAACAAAATGGCCAAGGCTCTCCCCAGGTGTCGATGGGGTGGGAGGCATGGCCCAACTCCTGAAGATGTCATGGCACAGTGGGCAGCCACCATGGGGAATCCGGCCGGGATGACAGAGACAGCCCTGCAGCACGGCACTGCTCATAGTGGGGCCAGGCCCTGGAGGAGTCTCCTGAAGCCACAAACATACATAGTCCGCACCCTCCCCTGCCCCAAACTCAGCGTGTAGCAGATCAACCTCTGTACTATCAGCCAAGCCAATACAACAAGCACAGTGATTGTGGACTACTCCCCAAGAACAAAACATCGAAGAACAGCCAAGCTAGCACGCTGGCTCACGCCTGTAATCCTAGCACTTTTCAAGGCCGAGGCAGGCGGATCCCTTGAGCCCAGGAGTTCGAGACCAGCCTTGGCAACATGATGAAACCCTGTTTCTACAAAAGGCACAAAAATTAGCTAGGCGTTGTGGGAGGATCACTTGAGCCAAGGAGGTAGAGTTTGCAGTGAGCCTTGATCGCACCCTGAACTCCAGCATGGGTAACAGAGCAAGACCCTGTCTCTAATAAATAAATAAATGAAAATAACAGCCATTCATCAGAACAGCCATTCATCAGAACAGCCATTCATCCCGGCTCTCAGCACCTCCAATCTGCACCCTGTACTGGTCAGCCCAAGCTATTCTAGAGAGTGCTACCCCACAAGTCTCCCTAAGCAGTCTGACCATAATTACAGCTAAAGATAGGTGCCTCTGATACTTCATATACTGTGCCAGGGGAATCCCACAATTTACTCACCTGGCACTGGCACCAACCCTCCCAGACGGGCACCATAACTGCCCCCATCCCACTGCTGAAAAACAGGCATAGAGAGACTAAGTAAGTGCTGGGGTTTACTCATCCAGTAAGCAGGAGCACAGGTTCAGACCCCAACCCCTCCTCACAGCCTTCCAGGGCTCCACCCCGCCCATGGTCTCACCACCCTTCCGGTCACTGCCACCCACCTGCCCCCTCCCGGGCATCCTCCACACTCCTCACTGTCCCCTCAATCCCTCCCCCAATACTCTTGGCCTCTGTTGGGTTTTCTCCCTTCTTTCCCTATCTTCCAGGGTACCTGACCCCAAAAAGCCCTTCCAGGCTCTCCCTAACCTGATGTGCCTCTTCATCCCTTGAACTCCCAAAGTCTCTCTCAATCTTTTGTCACCACAACTCACAGTTAGGGAAGAATTTTGCATGACAAACAGCACACACATTCAAATATGTAACTGAAACAGAACGTTTCCCAGAACGATACTGTACTTACCGTCACCAGATGCAAAGCACCCTGACCTACTCTGTGCTGCTTTTATTTTTAAAAATGTTTTGCTGCATAGAATGTGCGACACCAAGAGTGAGCCCGAATGTAGCATGGACCAGGTGGTTACAATGTGTCCATGTTGGGTCATCAGGGGCAATCAATGCGTTACCCAGGGAGACGCTGATAACAGGGCAGGCTCTGCATGTTGGGGGTGCTGGGGGCACTTGGGATAGTTTGTATCTTCCTCTCAATTTTGCTATGAACCTGGAACTGCTCTAAACTGCTCTAAAAAATAAGATCTTTTTTGTTTTTTGAGACAGAGTTTCACTCTTGTTGCCCAGGCTGGAGTACAATGGCAGGATCTCGGCTCACTGCAACCTCTGCCTCCCGGGTTCAAGTGATTCTCCTGCCTCAGCCTCCCCAGTAGCTGGGATTACAGGCACCCTCCACCATACCCGGCTGATTTTTGTATTTTTAGTAGAGACGGGGGTTTTGCCATGTAGGCCAGGCTGGTCTTGAACTCCTGACCTCAAGTGATCCACCCACCTCAACCTGCCAAAGTGCTGGGATTACAGGTGTAAGCCACCGCACCTGGCCAATAAATTTTTTTAAGAGATAGGGTCTTGCCCTATTGCCCAGGCTAAAGCTGGGCTGTTGCCCATTTCCTCCGTACTTCCTGATGCTCCTGTCTTTTGCTCTGGGGGCCAGGCCAAGTGCAGCTCACTGCAGCCTTGATCTCCAAGGCTCAAGAGATCCTCTTGCCTCAACCTCCCAAGTAGCTGGGACTACAGGCACACAACACCATGCCTGGCTAATTTTTGTGTTTTTTGTAGAGGTGAGGTTTCACTATGTTGACCAGGCTGGTCTTGAGCTTCTGGGCTGAAGCAATCCTCCTGCCTCTGCCTCCCAAAGTGCTGGATTACAGGTGTGAGCCGCTGCGCCTGGCCAAAAAAAAATTTAAATGCTCCTCTGGCCCCACTAAATTGATTGTACATCTTGGCTGCTCCCTGCAGTGTGGACATTCCCTAGAGAACTTGATCATTCTTTTGGGCAAGTTTTTTATTTTCTCATTCCACTTTATTTATTTATTTTTATTTGTATTTTTATTTTTTTTTGAGACAGAGTCTTACTCTGTTACCCAGGCTGGAGTGCAGTCTCCAGCTCTCCAGTGCGATCTCAGCTCACCGCAACCTCTGCCTCCCGGGTTCAAGCGATTCTCCTGTCTCAGCCTCCCAAGGAGCAGGGATTACTGGCATGTGCCACCACGCCCGGCTAATTTTTGTATTTTTAGTAGAGACGGGGTTTCACCATGTTGGCGAGGCTGGTCTCAAACTCCTGACCTCATGATCCACCCACCTCAGCCTCCCAAAGTGCTGGGATTACAGGCGTGAGCCACCATGCCCGGCCTGGAAAAAGGTATTTTGAAGCATAGTGCTGGCGAGCATGACATGCCTACAGAGGCCCTGCTCATCCCAGGCCTGCCAGTTTGTGCCCCGGGTTAGAGTTCTACTAAAACAATCTAAATTCTCACAGTACATGTTAATAACCTGAGAACCAAAGATAAAAATCCGTCTGTCTCAAGACGTGTAAAATTTCATAGAAGGCCAACAGAATCAGAGATACAATAATGTTCACAATAAATTCTTTAGACAATTTAATCCAAAGAACCAAATAAAAACACTGTCATTGCAATTTTAAAAGGCTCGTAGGCACATAGTATGCATATCAGAATTTCTGTTGAACATTGAATGCTGGGTTTTGTTGGGAGGTGGCAGCTATCATTAAAATAGAAAAGTACTAGGAGCTGACTTGATCTGGGCAGTAACACAAAATTAAACAAATGTATCTACGTTTAAAAAAAGATTCAAATTCAAACTTGGAAGGATACATTATCTGAAAATAAAAAATGTTTCTAGCTGGCAGGGAGGTAGAAGAGAGCCCTGAAAATAATTGTCTAACACCTGGATTCTAGACCAGCTCTTCCTAAAGCAGCCCATATATTAGTCATGGTTTCTCTTCTGAAAAATAGGGGTTGGGACCAAAAGGCCTTCCATGTCCCTTCTAGATCTAAGCATCTCTCACTCTAAAACAGAAATTGCAGGCTGGGTGCAGTGGCTCACGTCTGTAATCCTAGCATTTTAGGAGGCCAAAGCAAGCAAATCACCTGACCTCAGGAGTTCAATACCAAGACAATGTGATAAATACAAAAAATTAGCCAGGCATGGTGGTGCATGCCTGTAATACCAGCTACTTGGGAGGCTGAGGCACGAGAATCGCTTGAACCCAGGAGGCCGAAGTTGTAGTGAGCTGACATTGCACCTCTGCACCCCACCTTGGGAGACAGAGTAAGACTCTCTCAAAACAAACAAACAAACATATAAAAATTTAAAAATATATATATATACAAAATTAGCCAGGCATGGTGGCCCATGCCTGTAATCCCAGCTACTCGGGAGGCAGAAGCAAGAGAATCAATGGAACCTGGGAGGTGGAGGTTGCGCTGAGCCAAGATTGCACCATTGCACTCCAGCCTGAGCAACAAGAGTGAAACTCCATCTCAAAAAGTAATTAATTAATTAATTAATTAATTAAATTAAAAAGTGAAGCAGAAATTGCAAACCGGTGGCCCACTGGCCAGATAAAATCCGTCCAAGTTTTGTTTGCCCTGCATGGAGTTTTTGTTTTTTTCTAACTGAATATAAATGCCTCTAAATTGAGGCCCTCCGGTTTGCCACAATTACTGCTGTTCCTTATTGCCTTGCCCCAGCCTGCTTCCCACTTTGCCATCACCTGCTTGGCCCCTGAAGGACTCGGGCTTGGGACTGCCGTGCTATGGGGCTAAGAGATTTCCAGCACTGCACTTGTTCCCATTACCACTTAAACCCTACTGAAAGATGATCTCAATTTACTTTGGTTTCTACCTGCGTTGCTGAGCAAATTTCACAGCTTTACAATTTGGACAGGGGTGGGCACCCTGTAGAGTACTATCATTCCTATTATACAGGACACTAATAGCTCAAAATACAAAAGAGACTTGTTCAAAGTCACAGAGTTAGTAAGTCAGAGAGTTAAAATAATTTCTGTTTGCCAAGGAAAGTTTCAATTTGAAAAATCTGGAAATATACAAACCAAAAGCAAATTTCATATATACATGATTATAATTAATATTTATGGCATACATCATGTTTAATTGCAGAAATGTAATCATTTATATATTCACCATTTTGTATATATTTGCTTTTTTTTTTTTAAGAGATGTGGGTCTCACTCTGTTGCCCAGGTTGGAAATAAGTGGCTATTCACAGGCGTGATCATAACACGGCACAGCCTTGAACTGCTGTGCGTGCAAGTGGTCCTCTTGCCTCAGCCTCCCGAGTATCTGGGACTATAGGTGTGCAACGCCATGCCCAGCTTTTATGTTGCATATATTTGGATGTAGTCACTTAGGCTATTATTGTAGGGTAGTGGCTTTTTGTTATTGTGGTAAAATAATGGTTAAAGTTTACCATTTTAACCCTTTTCAAGTGTACAGTTCAGCGGCATTAAGTCTATTTACATTATTTTCAACTCTCACCAACATTCATCTCCAGAACTTTTTCATCTTGTAAAACTGAGACTCCGAAACATTGAACCATGACTCCCTCTAGCCCCTGCCCCAGCCTTTCTGTCTCTATGAATTTGCCTGCTCTGGGTACCTCATACTAATAGAATTCTATAGTAATTCTCCTTTTGAAACTGGCTTATTTCCCTTAGCTTAACGGATGAACCCCGAAGACATTATGCTAAAGGAAATAGACCAGTCATGGCTTTAAATTCTGACTGTGATTTTATCGCAGCAAAGGTGTGTGTTAAAAATGGCTATGAACTTTGTAGATGCCTAGCAAGAGAGCATGGAATGTGAATGACCCAGCCCGGAAGACTTCCTTCTGCATGAAATACCCAAACATACAAGTAGCCTTTATGAGCGAAACTAAAAAAAGGATTTCTGAGCACAGGCTCCTGGCACATAAAGCTCAGAATAGCTGAGCTTCACTTACCAACTATAACAGCACAAAATGTCACGCCGGGAATATTGAATGTGGGAGTTCAGTGCTCAAGGAAAAAAATCGCTCACCTAATTTAAGGAAACCCTAAATGAATCAATTTTTTTTTGTTGTTAAAAACTCTGTATTGCAACAGTCCCATCTGGTGCTAACTATATTTGCTTAGAGAAAGCAGTACCACAAAAGAAAGGTTATTTAGAGCATGCAATGGTTTCTGGATGGTTCTTCCATCTACTAGAGAACATGACAGAGACCTAAGAAATTGACCCTAAATATGGACATAAATTTGTGTAAACGTAAGGTTAGAAACATCACATTCTGGGCCGGGTGTGGTGGCTCACAGCTGTAATCCCAGCACTTTGGGAAGCCAAGGTGGGTGGATCACTTGAAGCCAGGAGTTGGAGACCAGCCTGGCCAACATGGTGAAACTCTCTACAAAAAATACAAAATACAAAATACAAAAATTAGCCAGGCGTGGTGACGCATGCCTGTAGTCCCAGCTACTTGGGAGGCTTCGATCACTTGGACCCAGGAGACAGAGGCTGCAATGAGTCTAGATCAAGCCATTACACAAGACCCTGTCAAAAAACAAACAAACAAACAAAAAAACAAACGGGCACAGTGGCTCATGCCTGTAATCCCAGCACTTTGGGAGGCCGACGCGGGCGGATCACAAGGTCAGGAGTTCGACACTCCTGACCAGGAGCCCAGCCAATATGGTGAAGCCCCTGTCTCTACTAAAAATACAAAAATTAGCTGGGCATGGTGGTGTGCACCTATAGTCCCAGCTACTCAGGAGGTTGAAGCAGGAGAATCACTGGAACCTGGGAGGCGGAGGTTGCAGTGAGCTGAGATTGTGCCACTGCACTCCAGCCTGGGCGACAGAGCGAGACTCCACCTAAAAAAAATAAAAATAAAAAAAGAAATATCACCTTCTGGGTCAAGAAGATAATCAGATTCGTTTTACCTTATACCAGAAGCCCTTGCTTCTGTACTGTCCGTCTCCTTGTAAGATGGTCACCCTGGGAAATTGGCAGGATAGCCTGTCCTACCTTGTGAGGGTATTTAAATGACGGCAGACTTGATTTCAGGAGAGTGACCAAAATATAGGTTAGTTTCCTGCTGTCCACATCACAAGAGAGGAGTCTGATGGGAAACAGAACGCAGCCTGCTGGGCTTTACCAGGAAACACACGCTGTTCATCTCTCAGGACCCAGCCTCCTGCCCGTATCCACACACCAGCTCTGCTCAAGTGATCCTCCTGCCTCAGCCTCCAGAGTAGCTGGGATTATAGGTGGGCAACACCGTGCCTGGTTTTTATTTTGCATATATTTGGATATAGTAACTTAGGTTTTAACTGTAGCCTCGGTCAAGCTGTATAACCCCTCTGTGCCTCAGTTTCCTCATCTGTGCAGAAGTGGAGCAGCAACAGAATCTCTGTCAGAGGACTGCTATTGTGGGGATCCAGTGATGAGTGTATCTGAAGCAACAAGGCCACCAAACCACAGCTGCCGCCGGGCACTGGCTGACGCTTTAGGAGTCTCCCAGAGTGGATGATGAGCAAGGGCCATGCTCTACATTTCGTGTGATTTGAAGTTTTTTTAAATCATGTCCCCAAAGCGATATGTTCTCTCACTAGACCCTCCAGAAGAAAAAACAAAACAAAACAGAATCTAATATGTTTAACACCTAACCCCAGGTACCTGTGAACGAGACCTTATTTGAAAATAGGGTTATTGCAGATTTAATTGAGTTACAATGTGGTCATGCTGGAATAGGGCAGGTCTTCAATTAAATATGTCTGGTGTCCTTATAAGAAGAGACACAGAGGCCGGGTGCGGTGGCGAGGTGGCTCACACCTGTAATCCCAACACTTTGGGAGGCCAAGGCGGGTGGATCATCTGAGGTCAGGAGTTCAAGACCAGCCTGGCCAAAATGGTGAAACCCCATCTCTACTAAAAATACAAAAATTAGCCAGGCGTGGTGGCGGGCGCCTGCAATCCCAGCTACTGAGGAGGCTGAGGCAGGAGAATCACTTGAACCTGGGAGGCAGAGGTTGCGGTGAGCCGAGATCGCATCACTGCACTCCAGCCTGGGCAACAAGCACGACACTCCATCTCAAAAAAAAAAAAAAAAAAAAAAAAGAGAGAGAGACACAGAGAGGAAAACGCCAAGTGAAGATACTTTACGCAAGGGCAATGAAACCAAGTGATGACAGAGGCGGATTTGGAGCTCTATGGCTGCAAGCTGAGAAACGCCAAAGACTGCCGGCAGCCACCAGATGCTGGAGAGTGCATGCAGTGGCCAACCCAAGGATTTTGTACCCTCTGGACTATGGAACTGTGAAAAAATGAATTTCTTTTTTTTTTTTTTTGAGACGGAATTTCACTCTGTCGCCCAGGCTGGAGTGCCGTGGCGTGATATCAGCTCACTGCACTCCAAGGTTCAAGCGATTCTCATGCCTCAGCCTCCCGAGTAGCTGGCATTACAGGCATCCACCACCACGCCTGGTTAATTTTTCTGTTTTTAGTAGAGATGGGGTTTCACCATGTTGGCCAGGCTGGTCTCAAACTCCTAAAGTGATCTGCCTGCCTCGGGCTCCCAAAGTGCTGAGATTACAGACATGAGCCACCGTGCCCAGCCAAAAACTAAAACTGAATTTCTGTTGTTTTAAGCCACACAGTTTCTGTTGCTTTGTTAACAATAGCCCTGGGAAACAATGTCTTAGCTGTTTAAATCCTCTAGGGCTGGCAGATAGAGGGCATGTGGTACATATCCATTGAATGAATGAATAAATGAGTAAAGATAAACACAGAGGTAAGGCAAGCAATGGGGAATAAATGATGGGGCAGATGTGGGTGCACACACACACCTGGAGGGGGAGAGCCCACACACACACCTGGAGGGGGACAGAGCACATGCACACCTGGAGGGGGACAGAGCCCACACACATACCTGGAGGGGGACAGAGCACATGCACACCTGGAGGGGGAGAGCCCAAACACACACCTGGAGGGGGACAGAGCACAGACACACCTGGAGGGGAATAGTGCATACCCACACCTGGAGGGGGGACACAGCACATGCACACCTGGAGGGGGACAGTGCCCACACACACCTGGAGGGGGACAGAGCCTACATACACACCTGGAGGGGGACAGAGCACACGCACACCTGGAGGGGAACACTGCACACCCATACCTGGAGGGAGACAGAGCCCACGCACACCTGGAGGGGGAGAGTACATGCACACCTGGAGGGGGACAGAGCCCATGCACACCTGGAGGGGGAGAGTACATGCACACCTGGAGGGGGACAGAGCCCAAGCACACCTGGAGGGGATACAGCCCACGCACACCTGGAGGGGGACAGAGCACACGTACACCTGGAGGGGGAGAGCACAAGCACACCTGGAGGGGGAGAGCACACGCGCACCTGGAGGGGAACACAGCACACGCACACCTGGAGGGGGACAGAGCACACGTACACCTGGAGGGGAGAGCACACGCACACCTGGAGGGGGAGAGCACACACACACCTGGAGGGGGACAGTGCACACGTACACCTGGAGGGGGAGAACACACGCACACCTGGAAGGGGAGAGCACACACACACACATGGATAGGGAGTCACTCGTTCTTTTCTATGAGCATTCAGTCCCCAACTTTGGGTCTAAAAGGTCAGCTGAAACTTGGCTCCTGGAAAATCTATCATGTCGGTATGTCCCAGAGTACAAGGGCTTCCGACTGTCCAAGGAACCAGAAATCTGAATTTTTAGGTGAAATCTTCCATGTTTTTCTTTTCTTTTTTTGAGACGGAGTCTCACACTGGCGCCCAGGCTATAGTGCAATGGCACGATCTTGGCTCACTGCAAGCTCAGCCTCCCGGATTCAAGCGATTCTCCTGCCTCAGCCTCCCGAGTAGCTGGGATTACAGGCACCCGCCACCACGCCCGGCTAATTTTTTGTATTTTTAGTAGAGATGGCGTTTCACCGTGTTAGCCAGGAAGGTCTCAATCTCCTGACCTCCACCCACCTTAGCCTCCCAAAGTGCTGCAATTACAGGTGTGAGCCACAATGCCCGGCCTAAAATCTTTCATATTTTTCAATGCTGTCTTACAAAAGAAGTCCCCACTCTGGGGTCCATTTGCATCTCCAGTGTCTGGCGCCCCCCGGGCAGGATATGCAGTGGCTAATGAAAATCTGTAGCATAAAGGAAAACGCATCCTCACAGGTCTGAAGACAGCACACCTGAGTGGATCTTCTGGGATAGTGTTAGCTATCAGGGTTATGACTTGGATCCTGCCTCCCCTCATGTGAAACTTTCAAAAGCACTGGAGTAAAGGAAATCCAGCTGAGGGAAGAGAGGCAAATCCCTGGGACCCAGATGCACCACACAGGACTATTAGTCCCTAGTCAGGGGGAAGAGCTCTGAAGCTGGGAATCAGGACACCTGACCCCCCAACTGGAGGCAAATCATCTCTCTGAGTCTCGGCTTCCTCGTCCATAAAATGAAGGAATAAAATGTATACTTGCCACCTCCCAAGGTGTGAGGAGGACAGTGAGAGAGCATGGGTGACGAGGCTTTGTCAGCACGGCAAGGCCATTGGCACCTTCCTAATTCTAACAGCCATGATCAGTCTAATGCCACTCCCATCACGTCGCCATTAGACCCGGGGACCACTTCTCCAACACACCCATTGGGGCAGAGATTTTGTTCTTCTTATCCACAGACTATCTAAATTAGGGCAGCTCGAATATCTCAAAAGAAAGCTGCTGAGACTATGCTGACGGGAAGAAGGGTATTTGGGTTCCAACATCATGGGCGTCCCCCAGTTTTAAGGCACAGGACAGTCCTGGGATCAGCAGCTCCTGCAACCCCTGAGAATTTGTCACTGGGGTGCTGTGTGTGTCTTCAATGTGACCAAGACAACACCAATCCAATATTGTAGGGCCTGCTCTGATCCATCCACATTTCTCTGTCATCTGCTACACGTAGGACGCTGCGCAGGCAGAATCAATGCCATTTTGTGTTTTTTTCTTTTTCCAGGAATGGGACAATGCAGGATGGCTGCTGGGTGGGATCACAGCTCCACACTTCGGAGGAGGAAGACTTTGTGTCAGTCTCCAGTGATCCCTCACCTGGACCCCTATCTTTCCTCAAACACCTCTGCTTCCTGCCTCTGTCCCTTTTGGAACTAAAGGCCTGTTCCTCAGCCAAAGTCCAGAATCCTTTCTTCTCAAGCATGAGTCCCCTGCCCTCCAGTTGCTTGGCCCAGTAAGGAAGTCAGAGAAGGAAACAGGCAACTGCAATCAAGTGACATGAATGCCAGTGGTGTGGCGTAGGTGCAGCCTAGCCATGGGATGGGCAGGTCACGAAGGCAGGGAGACATGCTGTTCAGAGCATCAGAGATTTCACGAAGGGCAAGCTTCAGTGGGGTGTCCAGCAAGCAGATATTTGCCTCTACTTGTTTACATGTGACCTCCTGGGCAGGGTCTGTGATGTAGGCGGGCCTGCACCCTCACTGCCTAGCACAGAATTATGTATTGATAGGGATGCACTAGATTACCATGGTTTAGGACACCAGCCCTCACGTCAGCCGATGCCTCTGTACTCACCAGATAACCTTCAGTTCCCTTCCAGCAGCTTCAAATGTCTGCTCTATGAACACCCCTGTGACTGGCTGGTGCTAGAAGAAAAATTATGCATATACCCTGTAGCTTGTCCTGAAGTAGGGGGGACAAGAACTTCAGTTAACAGTGTGCAGCTTTAAAAGTTGAGAGGTTGGGCACGGTGGCTCACACCTGTAATCCCAGCACTTTGGGAGGCCGAGATGGGCGGATCACCTGAGGCTGGGAGTTCGAGACCAGCATGACCAACATGGAGAAACCCCGTCTCTTACTAAAAATACAAAACTAGCCGGGCATGGTAGCAGGTGCCTGTAATCCCAGCTACTGAGGAGGCTGAGGCAGGCGAATCACTTGAACCCAGGAGGCAGAGGTTGCAAGAGCTGAGATCGTGCCATTGCATTCCAGCCTGGCAACGGAGCGAGACTCCATCTCAAAAAAAAAAGAAAAAAAAAAAGTTGAGAGGTGGGTGTCACAGAGGAGGACCACTGCCCCTCACAGTGTACAATATCTGAGTCCATTTGAGAGCTCACAGCTCAGAAACACAAGGCTCTCAGTCCATGCAGAGTTGATCTTGGTGGGGGGTGGGAGGGAGGGGACACTCATTCACATTCAACAGAGTCACAGCCAATGTGTAAACAACCAGAAGGCCAGTTTACCAATCTACCTTTCCAGCAGCTATTCCTGTCATCAGGGCATGCACTGAGGTGTGCAATTCATGCACTCATTCAGCAAGGTTTTGACAAGCACCAAGTGTCCATTAGTGCACGGACTGTGAGCACCTGACTGGGGAAAATAATGCAGCCAAATGAGGTGGAGATCCAGAAACGGGAAGTGGAATTGTGCAATGAGCTTGGCGTCACACAAGCTGGAGTTCAAACGCTGTCCATCATTTATTAGGGAGGCGACTTTGGGGAAAATTGCTTAACCTTCCTGAGTCTCTTTCCTCACCTGTAAAATGGGTATAACAACATCTCCTTACATGATTATTAAAGAATGGGATTACATATGTAAAATGCCTAGTTTTGTTTGTTTTTGTATTTATCTGGAGAGGCCATGCCACATAATTTTTAAGGGAACAGGCTTTGGGATCAGACAGAGCTGTCTTTAAATCCTAGCTCTGCCACTTACTAGGTACATGATTTGGGTAAGTTGCTTAATTTTTTTCCACTAAGCCTTGGTTCGCTCATTTGTAAAATGGAAATACGAATTCCTCATAGGGCCTGGGAAATAAGATAATGTATTCCAAGAACTTAGAAAACTCCTAGGATATGATAAGCATTTAACAAATGGTATGATTAAGAGTAATTTTTAGGTGCCAATATCCAGAATAAACAAGGAACTCAAACAACTCAGTGACAAAAAATAAATAAATCTGATTTTTAAATAGACAAACGATCTCAATAGATATTTCTCCAAGAAAGACATACAAGTGGCCAACACATGTATGAAAAAATGCTCAATGTCACTAATCAACAGGGAAACGCAAATCAAAACCACAAAGACAAAAAATAGCAAATGCTGGCAAGGGTGCAGAGAAAAGGGAACTCTGATGCACTGTGGGTGGGAAGGTAAATTAGTACAGCCATTAGGGAAAACAGCATGGAGGTTTCTCAAAAAACTAAAAATAGATCTTCCATATGATCCAGCAATCCCACTACTAGGTATTTATCCAAAGGAAATCAAATCAATATTATCAAAGAGATATCTGCACCCCCATGTTTATTGCAGCGCCAGTCACAATAGCAAAAGATATGGAATCAACTTAAGCGTCCACCAACAAATGAATGGACAGGCTGGTTGCAGTGGCTCATGCCTGTAATCCCAGCACTTCAGGATGCCGAGGTGGGAGGACTGCTTGAGGCCAGGAGTTCGAGACCAGCCTAGGCAACATAGTGAGCCCCCCCCCCACCCCTCCCGCGCCATCTTATTATTTAAAAAAAAAAAAAAAGGATAAAGAAAATGTGTTATAGGCTGGGCGTGGTGGCTCACGCCTGTACTCCCAGGACTTTGGGAGGCCAAGGCAGGTGGATCACACAGGAGTTCAAGACAGACCAGCCTGTCCAATACAGTGAAACCCTGTCTCTACTAAAAAAAAAAAAAAAAAATTAGCCGGGCTTGATGGCACGCACCTGTTGTCCCAGCCACTTGGGAGGCTGAGGCAGGAGAATCGCCTGAACCTGGGAGCCGGAGGTTGCAGTGAACTGAGATCAGACCACTTGCACTCCAGCCTGGGTGATACAGTGAGACTCCGTCTCAAAAAAAAAAAGTTTTACATATACTGGAACACTATTCAGTCATAAAAAAATAATGAAATCCTTTTATCTGAAGCAACATGGCTGAGACTGGAGGACAGTATCATATTAAGTGAAATAAGTCAGGCACAGAAAGATAAATACCACATATTCTCATTCATATGTGGGAGCTAAAAAAAAATTCGAGTTCATGGAAGTAGAGACTTGAATTGTGGTTTATTAGAAGCTGGGAAGGCTAGTGGGAGGAGAGGAGAGGGAGAGGTTGATACAAAATTGCAGCTCAATAAGTTCTAGTGCTCTGTAGTATTTCAAGGTAAATATACTTAACAACAATCTATTGTATATTTTCAAAAAGCTAGAAGAGAGAATTCTGAATGTTCCCAACACAAAGAAATGATAAACATCTGAGGTGATGGATATGCTGATTACTGTGCTTTGATCATTACACGTTGTATACATGTACTGAAATATCACTTTGTATCCCACAAATGTGTTATTATGTATTAACTAAAAATAAAAGGGAGAAAAAGAACACAAAAGTATTTTTTTAAGTTGTCCATGGTTGCATACAAATGAGTGGTACACATATTAAAAAGCAGTTAAAATTATTACAAACTTCAACGAAATTAAAAATTGTGCCACTAAACATACAAAAAAGCTAATTACTTCGTGTTTCATTAAAACTTTTCTGAAAAGGCAGGCCTCTCACCTCAGACTAGTTTCATGCCTATACTTTCCAACAGAGTTTCTAAAATAACATCATTTTTGTGCTGCCAAGCAAAAAGTCAGATCTGTTTCAATACTGCTAAGTCATGCTCCACAGTGAAACAGCAGCAGCATGTCTGGGATCCCCTTTTCTAGTTTGTCTGATGGGAACCCTGGTACTCACAAGGCACTGTGCACTTGGCTTAACAACTATACACCAAGGTACACACTGCGGGATTATAAAAGTCCCTGCCCTAAAGGACACAAATCACCTCTCAATTCTGGATTGTGCCTTTATTTCTTCCTACCAACACTGCCAATTTTTAAGTTGTTTATAAAGCTTTTAGTTATGGAAGCACGATCTTGGATTTTGATATAAAAATCAACATAGCTGCCAATTCTAACCTCAGTGCAAATGCAACTGGTCCAAAACAAAGGGCAGCCCCTTATCTACCTCATCCTGTCCTCAGCAACATTTCTCTTTTCCAGATCGGGAAACCTGCACGGCCGCTCAGGACTTCTCGATGACTGCACCTTAGAGACCAGAGTGCAGGTTAGCGGGGCTCTCGCTCCATCAGTCAAGTGAGGTCTTCAAACTTCAGGGTGAACTATGGATGTGTTTTTAAGACTCAAGTTTTCACAAAAAAAATCCAAGTTTCAGAAAGAATGGGAGAGTTTCAACAGAACTAAAATATGAGAGCCTCTCTCTAAATAATAAAAATTTTCTTTTTTTTTTTTTTTGGAGACAGTCTCGCTCTGTTGTCCAGGCTGGAGTGCAGTGGTGTGATCTCGGCTCACTGTAACCTGTGCCTCCCGGGTTCAAGGATTCTCCTGCCTCAGCCTCCCGAGTAGCTGGGATTACAAGCGAGCCACCACGCCCAGCTAATTTTTTGTATTTTTAGTAGAGACAGGGTTCCACCATATTGGCCAGGCTGGTCTCAAATTCCCGACCTCAGGTGATCCGCCCACCTCAGCCTCCCAAAGTGCTGGGATTACAGACGTGAGCCACCGCGACCGGCCTAAATAATAGTAATTTTCAACGGAATACATTGGAATCTCATTATAAATGCCTGCTCTGGGCTACGATTTGCTTATCAAAGAATTCACAAGTCATAAACTAGAGGGGGTGGACTCGACGTGATGCCCACTAGGAGAAAGGTGACAAGAGAAGCACGAAGGATAGCGCTTTTCAACCCTGGGAGAGCAGGGAGGCCTTCACCAGAAGGTGGGAACCCACCACGAAGCGCCTTCAGGAGGCCCCAGGATTCCAAACCAATTAAGGGCCTCCTCTTCCGAAAACGGGAGGCGACGCGCTGAGCTAAGCGCGCAGGCTGGGTTGCGGGCCGACACCGAGGCGGCGCGGCCTCGCGACCGCCCTGGGCGGTCACTGGCGAGTCACGGACTCGTTCCGCCAGCGGCCAATCCACCCCGAGTCCGAAACAGAAGACGTCCCTGGGATGAAAGACCCAGGCCTGGGGCTTAAGGTGGAAAAACAACTCATTCCTCGAGGCCCGGAGTCGGGCGTCCCGGGAGAACGGGAAAGGGAGATGAGCGCCCGCTGCGGGGAGAACGCGGTCGGGTTCCTCTCCCCGAAGGTGGCAGCCGCAAAAACACGGCCTCGAAAGCAGTTTCGAGGACGATGGCTCCTGCGTCCCGGGAGTCGCCATGACGCCGCGGCCTGTCCCAGACCCGGCGAGGGAGGGGACCAACCACCATCTCCCCCTCAAGGCCCAAACCGACAAAGAACGGCCCCCGGTACCCCGGCCCCGCCACCAGGGCCACTCCGGGTCTCGCGAGACCCAAGGGCTGCGCCGCGAAGACCTCTGGGAAAGGCGGGGGGAGGGGAGAGGAAGGAAGCGAGACCGGGGCTGGAGGCGGGCCGAGGCCGCGAGTTGAGCCTCAGGAAGCAGAAGGGGCGCGGAAAGATGCGATTGACGTCGCAAGCGAACCAATGACGAGCGAGCTGTGGCAGGCCTCCAGCCAATGGGCAGTGAGGCCTGACGCGGGGGGCGGACGCTGGGGCCGAGGGTAGCTTGAGCGCGGCGGCGGCGTTGTTCAGTCAGAGCGAGAACATTCCAGAGGTGAGTCCGGTGAAGGGGCGGCCCCCTGCCCGGTGCTTCCCGCCCCCTCGACCCCTCGGGCCGCTGGCTGGCGGGGAAGGTGCACTCCCCGACCGCCCACGGCTCACGGCGCCGTCTCTCCGCGCCAGGTCGCCCAGCTCCGGCGCTGACGGGTGTGGACCGCGGACGTCGCTGGGACAGCCCCTCCCCGCTGCTCGGCGGCGGCACCTGGCCCGGCCGCTCCTCGCTGCGCTTCGCCTCCGCCTCCTCGGACTCGGACTCGGGTTTATATCGCGCCTCACTTCATCCCAGTCCCGGGCGAGCAGCGTTGGGTTTATGTCTTTATTTGACGAAAACGGTGAGTCGCGGGCGCGGCGGGCCAGGAGATGGCGGCCGCACAAGATGGCGGCGGCCGCCGCGTGACCCCGCCGCGGCGTGTGGCGCAGTTTGGGCGGACGGCGGGCGGGCGCGGGCCCGGGCGCCGGCCGCCCCCTCCCCGCGCGCTCCCCGGCCCGGCCTCGCCCCCTCCCCGGCATGGCGGGAGCGCGTCGCGCGTGCCCGCCGCTCGGGCTGACTCAGGCTTCAGCTGCTGCATTTGTGAGTCATCGCGCGCTCTGGGGCGGGGGCGGCCCGATCCCGGCACCCCTCGGCCGTGTGTCGCTTCCCGGCTGTGCACCCTCCGGGGCCGCCGGCTCTCGGGGGACGCGCTGGGGATGGGGCCAGACGCCCCGGTCGCGCGCCCCCCTCCTTCGCGGAGCTGCCCGGTTCGCCAGCCCCCGCGGAAACGCCTCGGAGCGCGGTAGCCATGGGGACCAGGGCGAAGGTTAACCGAGTATTTGAATAGCGAGGAAAAGGGAGGCCGGGGCGAGCCTGGCGTTCGCTCGCGCTCTCTTGCTTAATGGCAAATTGTGGGCGAGCGCTGCGTTTAAGGAAGTGCTGCTTTGAAGTAAGCCATGGTTGCCGAAGCAACGATTAGTTGTAGAGAACAGTTCCCTAGGTTGCCCTTAAAAATGAAGACGAACGGGGGTGTGCCTGAGAAGTTTGCTTATCCAGGCGGGGTGGGCGGCGGAGAGGGCTCGGGTTCGTTCTTCAGCACTTCCAGGATGGCCGCAGAGGCAAACCTGCTGATTGCCCTCGGTCTGATGGAATCTCACGGCGGCTGAGGCAGCACAGCTTGTGTTTTCTTGTCAGGCATTTCCCTACCAGTCACAGCTTAGTCGAAATGGAGGCCTTTTTATGTTCCCGCAGATTGTACTGTGTTACATGAGAATGGCTGTTTGCATGTGATCTCAGATGCTTTTTAAGGTGGAGTTAAGCAGAAGCATAACTAGGATGTAAAAAGGAGGCGTTTCCATCCAGCGATGATGTTAAACCTGGGGGGATTTTTGTGTGTTCTTTCCCTTTTTCTTTCAGAGCTGTTGCGCAGCCATTGGTACCTGTATTGGGGAAACATAGCATACAAGCAAGAAGCTTACAGCCTCAGTGGCGAAAATTTTTTCATGTCAGAGACCGAGAACTCTTGCAGTCGTTTATGTCATCCCTTCTTCTCCAGACAGAAGATACCAAAAAGTTGCAATCAAAGATCTCTTCATCTTATTGATAAAGCCACTAATAAGCCAAAATGTCTGTCAATGTCAACCGCAGCGTGTCAGACCAGTTCTATCGCTACAAGATGCCCCGTCTGATTGCCAAGGTAATAAACTGCTCTTCAATTTAGTTGATAGCTCTTTTTGTAGAATTTTGAAGTTTGCATTTGTCAGGGGAAACTGCACAACTAAAATTCTTATTTCCTTTAGGTTGAGGGCAAAGGCAATGGAATCAAGACAGTTATAGTCAACATGGTTGACGTTGCAAAGGCGCTTAATCGGCCTCCAACGTGTAAGTAAAGCTTGGAAAAGTCCACAGGGCATATTATGGATAGAGTCTTCAAAGTCTTTGAGCTGCAAAACTTGTTCTAATTGTATGCTAGCTAATTACCTTACAAGTTAAGTGAGGAACCGTGGTTTATTGGTTGCCATGAGTTTACAAAACTACCAGGGGAACGCATTTAAAGAGTGGATGGCTGGGCGCGTTGGCTCACACCTGTAACCCCCAGCACTTTGGAAGGCTGAGGCAAGCGGATCGCGAGGTCAGGAGTTCTAGACCAGCCTAGCCAACATAGTGAAATCCTGAGTCTACTACTAATACAAAAATTAGCCAGGCGTGGTGGCATGCGCTTGTAGTCCCAGCTACTTGGGAGGCTGAAGGGGGAGAATCGCTTGAACCCCGGAAACGGAGGTTGCAGTGAGCTGAGACCACGCCGTTGCACTCCAGCCTGGGTGACAGAGTGAGACTCTTGTCTCAAAAAAAAAAAAAAAGTGGTGTTCGTACAAATGTGAGTGAGTAGCCAGAGATCTAGTTAACTGTAACGATCCAAACTCCTTTTTCATTCAAATAGATCCCACCAAATATTTTGGTTGTGAGCTGGGAGCACAGACCCAGTTTGATGTTAAGAATGACCGTTACATTGTCAATGGATCTCATGAGGCGAATAAGCTGCAAGACATGTTGGATGGATTCATTAAAAAATTTGTTCTCTGTCCTGAATGTGAGAATCCTGAAACAGATTTGGTAAGTGCTTTTGTGGTTGTCGAAAGAAAAAGCCATATACCTGCTTCTGTGATACCGCTAAGTCACCTTCCTGAGAAGGCAGAGCAAATGTAATTTTAAATCAAACACAAAACTCCAGTTTTCGAGATATTTCCATTCTTTTTTTTAAAGTAGGTCACTGTGTGAAAAAAGTTTTCTTTGCATGTGAAGCTGTCTGTGGTTTAGATGTCCTCTGATTAGATATTTTCATGTTATATTATGGATAACATTTGTTATTTTTTTGGCAGCATGTCAATCCAAAGAAGCAAACAATAGGTAATTCTTGTAAAGCCTGTGGCTATCGAGGCATGCTTGACACACATCATAAACTCTGCACATTCATTCTCAAAAACCCACCTGGTGAGTCTTCCATGATGAACTCCTAAGATCCTAAGATAAGTTACTAACTGTTGGGAACAAAATAGAAGGTTTTTTTGTAATAGGAATGTAAGGGAGACTGGGCACGGTGGCTCATGCTTGTATTCCCCGCATTTTGGGAGGCCAGGGCGGGCACATCACTTGAGGCCAGGAGTTCAAGACCAGCCTGGCCAACATAGTGAAACCCGTCTACTAAAAACACAAAAACTAGCTTAGCATGGTGGTGTGCTCCTGTAATCCCAGCTACTCCGGTAGCTGAGGCATGAGCGTCGCTTGAACCTTGGAGGCAGAGGTTGCACTGAGCTGAGATCGTGCCACTGCACTCCAGCTTGGGCAACAGCGACTCTGTCTCAAAAAAACAATATAAGGAACCTTTTAGTCCTTGTACTATATTTTATCAAATCTAAGACATCTTTCAAAAGTGTATTGTTAATTACCATTAAAGGTGAAAAATAGGCTGCCAATTAAACTGTGCCATATCAATTAAGACATTATCTGAGGGTAGATGAAGTAATGACTAAAATTCTGCTGGAAACCCAGCAAAGTTTCTTTTACTGGCATTGTTTGGTAAAGAGGGCCCCCTTCATTAAACTTGAATATTGCAAGCAACACTCTGTGGCAGATGATCAAAACTGTCTGACACAATTTGAGCTTGCTATAGCAAGAAAGTCTAACCTATTCCGGTGTTCTCTCTCCCATGAGACAAGCCGTTATATAGACTTAAACAGTGTTCCACCTGTTGGCTAAAGCTGGGTTGAGTTAATGACTTTGTTCATGAGGGATGACAGGGATCCTTAGGGCCACCTCTCCCTAGTGGAGGCATCATCACTTCATCTTACTCTTTCTTAGCAGTTACAATACCCCTAATATTTTGTGTCACTCCATTCTTAGACTAACATTCTTACGTATGAAATACATGATGAATTTGATCTGTGAAGCCTCTTAGGTAGCATTGTGTGTGCTGTGTGGTTTTTCTGAGGGGATCCATAGGAAAATAAGGGCAGGGTTTTAAACGTTAATGATGGGCAATGAGGTAATGTAAGTTATGGGGTTAAATTTTTATTTCCCTTTTTTTCTGTAGAGAATAGTGACAGTGGTACAGGAAAGAAAGAAAAAGAAAAGAAAAACAGAAAGGGCAAAGACAAGGAAAATGGCTCCGTATCCAGCAGTGAGACACCACCACCACCACCACCACCAAATGAAATTAATCCTCCTCCACATACAATGGTGAGTGCAGGGTTGATGGCCTAGTGGGCACTAAAGTTGTGTAAAGTATATGGCATTTGGTTGAGGTGGGTGGAAATGTTGAAACTAGCCTTCAGTGTGTAATACACTAATATTGTGGATTCCAAGTACTGTTTGTTGTTTGAATTAAGGTGAACCCAATTTTGGATGGAGATGGACTTGATGCCATTAACTTGGCAAAATCTGAACCTTTTTGTTGTTGTTTTTAAGGCCTTTGATCAAGTAGCTCTGTTTTCATAAACAGGAAGAAGAGGAGGATGATGACTGGGGAGAAGATACAACTGAGGAAGCTCAAAGGCGTCGAATGGATGAAATCAGTGACCATGCAAAAGTTCTGACACTCAGTGATGATTTGGAAAGAACAATTGAGGAGAGGGTCAATATCCTCTTTGATTTTGTTAAGGTAAAACATTTGCTTGGTCTGTAAATCAGCTTCAACCCAGCCTTGTTTGTGCCTTTAGATATATGATACTTTAGCAGTGTAATTAGGATTACTCTAATGCACGACTTTTTAGAACTCTTGTTCATTTAAATATTTTTTGCGCGTGATTCCAGGCACTATGTGTCACAACTGCCAAATTAGGCAGGAAAAATATGTTCATCAGAGCAGGGACTGGCTGGTGTCTTGAGCCTGGCAAAGTGTGCCTCCATTGCACTGAATTGTTTTCCTTTTCTTTGCAGAAAAAGAAAGAAGAGGGTGTTATTGATTCATCTGACAAAGAAATCGTTGCTGAAGCAGAAAGACTGGATGTAAAAGCCATGGGCCCTCTTGTTCTAACTGAAGTTCTTTTTAATGAGAAGATTAGAGAACAGATTAAGAAATACAGGCGCCATTTCCTACGAGTAAGCAAAGTGCTCTGGATTCATAAATGAGATTACAGTTGTGTGGCTTTCGAGATGGTCATATTAACCACTTTTGCTTGTCCTGTCATGCTTGAAAGTGGGGAAATTGACCCACCTTACAAGCCTCTGAGTATCTGAAAGTGCCATACCTAGGCCCTTACAAAGTAACAGGGATGTTTATGCATTGACCTTTTTGAACAACTATGGTATGGGCCATGCACTTGCAGACACTCTTATTTGGGTAATAGAGTTGTCAACTTAGAACACATAAAAAAGATTGTTAACACCAAGGTGTCTATTTGCAGTTTTGTCACAACAACAAAAAAGCCCAACGGTACCTTCTTCATGGTTTGGAGTGTGTGGTAGCAATGCATCAAGCTCAGCTTATCTCCAAGATTCCACATATCTTGAAGGAGATGTACGATGCAGACCTTTTAGAAGAAGAGGTCATCATCAGCTGGTCGGAAAAGGTGGGGAATACATAGGTGGGCTCTTAAAGTTCACAGGTTTTGGGGGGTTTTTTTGTTTGGTTGATTGTTTTTGGAGACGGAGTCTCATTCTGTTGTCCAGGCAGGAGTACAGTGGTATGATCTCAGCTCCCTGAAACCTCCACGTCCCGGCTTCAAGTGATTCTCCTGCCTCAGCCTCCCAAGTAGCTGGGATTACAGGCACCTGCGATCATGCCCAGCTAATTTTTGTATTTTTAGTAGATGGGGTTTTACCATGTTGGCCAGGTTGGTCTCGAACACCTGACCTCAGGTGATCCACTGGCCTCCCAAAGTGCTGAGGTTACAGGTGTGAGCTCCTGCGCCCAGCCGTTCACAAGTATTGAGACGGCTTTGAGATGAAGAAAAAATGTCTTAATATCTATAGCTAAAGTTCAGTGCCTGTGCTGTAGATTGTGATTCGCATCATGTCAGATTTGTAGTCATAACAGACTGCTGAGACTAACGTGTTCACTGAGTACATTGATTCTGTTTGAGGATTCAGACTTGTTAGGACCCAGTCCCCTCAGCTCAGTAAGGGGGATTGTATAAATAATCAAAAGTTGTTAAAATTCCTCAACTAAGAGACTTGTACTCACATTTTTTAGGCCTCTAAGAAATATGTCTCCAAAGAACTTGCCAAAGAGATTCGTGTCAAAGCAGAACCATTTATAAAATGGTTGAAGGAGGCAGAGGAAGAATCTTCTGGTGGCGAAGAAGAAGATGAAGATGAGAACATTGAGGTAAACATTGGGGGAGGAGGGTATTGGATACAGTGCTGGCATGGGTGTTTGAGATTTAAAAAGGTTTGTGAGGAGTGATATAATGGCAGTTTGGGGTAATTTCAGGTTTAGAATTTAAGATGCAGTAAAATACAGCCTCTCAATAATTTGGAAAATAATAGAAAGGGTGATGGAAACTGTGTTCCTACTCCTACACATTATAGTCTATAAAAAAACTTTAAAAATGCTCTTAGACTGGAGCCTGTGTAAGAGAACTTGCAGTGTTTGCATAACAGAGCTGTTCCGTGAAGAAGAAATAGCTGCATCTAGGCAGTTTCCTCCTCTGTGACCACAATTTACATTGATTTGTTTTATAAACAGATTTATCAGCTTATGTTGAATAAAATCATTCCTCTTAACAGGTGGTGTATTCGAAGGCTGCCAGTGTACCGAAAGTTGAGACTGTAAAGTCAGACAACAAGGATGACGACATCGATATTGATGCCATTTAAAGGGATGGATGCAACCTAGCTTAACAGTATAATGCTGCAAATTTTCCTCCATTATCAGCCAGAAGTGCAACATGTATGTGCAAAAGCTAAAATGGCTTAACATCATGCTACACTTTACACTAAAAATCTATTACTGTGAGTGGTCTGTTATTAAGCCCAATGAGACATCTAGGGAGTCCATACACATCAGTGAGCAGATGTAGTTTGCTTATTTATAGCATGTTTCTTTTTGAAAAACTAGTGGTGGACACATTTGGATCACATTTATACAGTTATAAAAATAAAGGTTTGATTTTGGTCGTTCTTCAGATGTTTGGCTCTGAATGACTTAAGCTGAAGTAACTGGCTCCTTACTTTAAATGTTCTGCCATCATTTCACCTGATGAGCATTCTTGGAGCCTGCCAGATATTGTTAGGTCCTGGGGCTGCAAAGAGGTCCTCAACAGGATGTAAAGCAAACTTAATTGTAATTAATTTATTCAGCCCATTAAGAAAGTACTAAAGTTTTATCTCTGTAGTTCCTCAAATTGGCATCTGGTAATGTACATTGTGAGGTAGACTGATAATGAAATGACAGTGTAACATCTTAACCAAGAAGTAAATATGACCTCAGTGTCCTATAAATAATGTAAGAGCAGGATTTGAAACTTGGAGAGCTGTTTTCTCATTTCATGTACACTTGCCCCAAATTGTCTTTGAAGTCGTGTGCATTGCACGTTGGATGAGCCAGGGAAATTATTACATTAACAAGCATTTTGTGTGTACGTAGTAGTTACTTTGTACTGAGAGAACTTGCTTTGGGGTGCAATTAATAAACTGATTTTATTTGGGAGAAACAAGGAAGGGTGCACTTAACTAGCAACCTAAGCATGATTTTTCAGCTTTTGCCCTTAGGGTTTAAATTACAATTCCAAAATGTTAGACATACTGTATTTTTTCGTTCAGTGTGGCTTTAATTTTCCCCTCTTGCAGTTTGTTCTGTAATGCCTTTTACATTTGGACACATAGTTTATGCTTTTTAGATTTTGGTTGCTTTCTTGCCAAAATAAGTGTTAACTGTGTTTCAAACTTGATTTTCTTTCCTTTTTCTTTTTTTTTTCTTCCAGAATGTCTTATTTAAAAAGAAAGCTAAAAGCATACTTCTAAGTCAGAGCCTCTATTTTGGTGTAAGACTTGGGATATTTTTTACTTCACATTGAATATAGCCAGGCACCCAAGAAGTCTGATGGCCACCTGAGTGCAGGTGACAAGGACCTGACAGAGCCCATGCAGGGCTTTAGATTTGGACACACAAGAGTTGATAACTTCCTCATGAACTCCTTGCCTGATCTAAACTCATATTATGGGTTCTGACTGTTTGAGTAATCATCTTCAAGGTTAAACCTCTTGGCAGTTACCCTTTTCACAAAGTGCACAGTGGGAATCGAGAATCGATAGGGTTAATTTTGGAGCAGTGGCTTATACCATTCACCTCTGTTTTTTTGTGATTATTTCACAGATAATGAGACCTTAATAACAAATAGGCGTAAAAAAATTTTCACATTGAAATGATAGAAACATTTGATGTAATAAAACTTGGTTGGCTTGATATTTTAAGGAATTGAAACCTAGCAATCTTATTGGAGAGACAAGAATTGGTCTCCAGCTGCCTTTGATCAAGATTCGGGTGCAAGTGGAGCAGGAGCCATATACCTGGAGGGAATGTGCTTTGTCACACCAAAGAGGATTTTTTTTTCTTCAAACTTGTATGTTGCCTAGGTTTCAAATTCTTTGCCGCAAGGCTGATCTGCTTTCATTAACTGGAATTCTGTAGGAGATACTGGTGACCTAAGCTAAGTTGCACTCAGCATACTCAGTGTCAAGCTAATGAGGTTCTATTATAAAGGTTCTACTTTTAATCTGAGGGAAAACATGTTCAGGGCTTCTAGAACACTAAAAAATTTGGCTTAAACCAGTGTTCAGTCTGGTGCCAAACTTCGAATGGAATACAAATTCACATAATCTGAACTTTGTTCACAGGTTATCCTAATAGAGTAATTCTTCACTTTGCTCTATTGAACTGTCTTAAGGATTTGTTTAAACAGCTAAGTTACTTGATTAAAATAATGATAAAATTGTATTTTGTCTTTGCTTTAATATTAAAGTTAACAAGTTTTCATTTTATAATGAGATCAAAGCATTGGAATCTGCCCTGTTTTGTAGCCGTTGCTTTGGATTTGTGTTGGATGTATCCTGCAGTTACACTTGCCAGCCCCACTCACAAAAGTTGTTCATTTCATTGGGTCACTGGCTTTATTTGCTAGTCTTGTCTGTGAACTGAGCATCTGCCTCAGTTTTATTACTTGAAATCTTGGCAGGTGCTTAATAGGGAACATACATACAGCTATGTAACTGTGAATAATTGTATATATCTCTAGTTAAGAATGAGGGAATGGGGAGGTTTGCTTTCTAAACAAGTGCATTCTGAAATTGACTTAAAAATTTTTAGTGTGGGTCCTAAAGTTTAGAGATGGGCAAGGAGGTCTCTAATCCACCGCTTCCCGCTTGAGAAGGGAGGGGTATCAAAATTGAGCCCCAAGCTGTTTGTTCCAGTGTACCAAGCACTGACTTTATGCCTTTGGCCTGGAGATGGCAGAAGTGAAAGCTGGCCATCTGCAAAAAGCAGATAAGTGAGTTTGAACCTTTTGCATTTTGTTAGCTCAGTCAGTCCTCATCGTGGTCCTGAGGCATAGGTACTGTTGTACCAAGGTCACTTATCTAACAAAATAACCCTTCATGTATTTTAAATTTATTTGACAAGTCTGCAGACAATCCTTATCTAACCAGCTATTTTCTTAATTGCTACAGCTTGACCTACCAGTATTCCGGAGTAACCAGCAAATGCAAAGTTGACCTTGTTCCTGCATCATCTTTTTGATGGTTCAAATTTCAGCCTCCCTGACTACTACAAAGCCAGAGCAGTCTTAGTACCAGAAACAGTGTTGCACTTTCGTTGCATGTGCTGTGTGACCCCAAGGGGACAGGGAGTCACTTTGGTCATCTCTGTCCCCAGTACAGATCTTGATTCATAGTGACATTCCATAAGTGGGGTGACAGCAAATGACTTGCAGGTAGTCTCATTGTAGGTTTGTGCACCAGAGTGACCCTGTGAGCCTTTGTTAATAGGTTGGGAGCTCAGGGTGTTTATGTCCACCTGTCTGGTCTAGCCAAACAGTTTTTTTCTGGGAATCAAATTTCTGTGGTTTTTATGGCCAGAAATTTTAAGGACTTGTGTGTGCTGGGATATGAGAATAGAAGCTACAGAGTTCTTTTCTTGGGACCTAGACTGGGAGGTGCAATGTCAGGACCTCCAGGTGAATGGTAGGATCTGAGTTGACCCTGCAGTTCGGTTATGCAGTCAATTATTTCTTTTTAAGAGGAGGAGGATTCACTTGGGTGTTGGGATCAAATTTGGATTCTGTCCCAGGCCTTACTGTAAAACTAGGGGATTGCCTTTCCATATCTGCTGGGGGTGGAGACCCTTATGTGCAGCACTCAATCCCACTGGAAGCCTAATGCTGCAGTCAGAAGCAATGCCTGGCTGGGGCAGTAGGGGAAATTCCACCCAATTTTGCTATGAGCCTAAAACCTCTTTAAAAACGGTCAGTTAACTAAAAAATAAAAATCAAGTCTTTAGGAGAGTAGAAAACACAATTAACTAAAAAGCAGGGACATCTGAAAGAGACGTATTAAGTTAACATTTTTAAAAATCCAAATGAAAGTAAATGGAATAAATGTATCAGGTAAAGGACAAGTTGTAAGCTTGGATTTTTAGGTCTAGCAATACACTGTTTACAAGAGCATCACCTAAAATGTGACAAAAGATGTTGAAAGGATGAAAAAAGGTATAGTAGACATACACTAACCAAAAATGTAGCTCTTTGAATCTCAGAAAAAAGTAGATTTTAATAAAGTGTGAAAGTTGTCAATCAAAGCGGAGTCACTTGTGTTCAAGAAACAAAAAAACAACCCGAACAAATAGAGTAGGGTTTGCAGTCTTGCGATGGTGAAGGGTCTCATGCTGGTATGCCCAATAACGAAATTATCACAAAAGATTGCAAAAACCACAGCCTTGCACAAAAAGCATCACAGCCTTATGCAAAAAATACTTCAAGGACATCTACCCAGCAACAGCCTGTCCAGCTGTGGACTTGCATCGCCCTTGTTATGGATCTTTGTAGCCACAGGTGGTAATCTCAAAACAGTTATGTAATCTTCATTTATCCTTTAAAAACCATTCTCGGCCACGCGTGGTGGCTCACGCCTGTAATAACAGCACTTTGGGAGGCCGAGGAGGGTGGATCACCTGAGGTTGGGAGTTTGAGACCAGCCTGACCAATGTGGCGAAACCTCATCTCTACTAAAAATACAAAAACTTAGCCAGGTGGGGTGGTGCATGCCTGTAATCCCAGCTACTCGGCTGAGGCAGGAGAATCGCTTGAACCTGGGAGGTGGATGTTGCAGTGAGCCGAGATCGTGCTACTGTGCTCCAGCCTGGGCGACAGAGTGAGACTCCATCTCAAAAAAAAAAAAAAAATTCTCTCCCTTTACCTCCCTAAAGTACACACACAGCTCACAATGACGTGTATTCCCATTGCAATGCCCTATTCCTGAATACATATCTTTCTTTTAGAGAGCTCGTCTCTCTCATTTAATTGACATAAATGGGGTCAGAAATGGGACCTAAAGAAAGATGACTATCAGAAAAAAATACTCTTTTTTGGCCAGTATGCATGAGCCCTTTGCGCTGTAGGCTTCCATGGCTCAAATTTTTGTCCCTGGTGAGTCTTCTCTCAGGCCAGCCCTCCCTGTTTTTGGTGGAGGCTTTGTTTTTCTTTTCT
Organism: Homo sapiens; assembly: GCF_000001405.40. Taxonomy (NCBI): domain Eukaryota; kingdom Metazoa; phylum Chordata; class Mammalia; order Primates; family Hominidae; genus Homo; species Homo sapiens. Next base: position 103,345,933 of record NC_000014.9, read on the forward strand.
TTTTTCTTTTTTTCCTTTTTTTTTTTTTTGAGACGGAGTCTTGCTCTGTAGCCCAGGCTGGAGTGCAGTGGCGCAATCCCGGCTCACTGCAAGCTCCGTCTCCTGGATTCACCCCGTTCTCCTGCCTCAGCCTCCAGAGTAGCTGGGACGACAGGCGCACGCTGCCACATCCGGCTAATTTTTTGTATTTTTAGTAGACACGGGGTTTCACCATGTTAGCCAGGATGGTCTCGATCTCCTGACCTCGTGATCTGCCCGCCTTGGCCTCCCAAAGTGGTGGGATTACAGGCGTGAGCCACTGTGCCTGGCCTATTTTTTTTTCTTTTCTTTTTTTTTTTTTTTTGGTAGAGGCTTTTTGATATTCAAGATCAGGTTTGGTTATAAGGCCACCTTAATAAAGAACCTTACATCCCTCCTGAGATGATAAAAGACTGACTTTTCTGGTAAGTCCTTTCTGGTATAAAGACAGAGGTCTCTAGCTTGAGTATTCTGGTTTCTATTGAATTCACATTCTATCTGTGAGGCATGTCATTTCTGGTGAATTCACTTTTGGTCTGAGCGTGTAATTTGATCTGCATGCCTGGGTTAAAATTTTGTGAACACTCATCTCTTGGTGTCCTGTGATTTGGTTTCACTCGTTTCCCTGGGTTTTTTTCTAAACACCTTCCACGTTTTAAATAGTGGGCTCAGGATGTCTAATTAAAAGCCACTAGGGCAGTTGCCACCATCTAAAACACCAATCCAAACTCCTGACATTCTCTCACAGGATAAAAAAGATATTCTGGTCGGGCACAGTGGCTCACGCCTGTAATCCCAACACTTTGGGAGGCTGAGGTAGGAGGATCACTTGAGACCAGGAGTTTGAGACCAGCCTGGGCAACAAAGTGATACCCTGTCTCTACAAAAAAAACTGAAAAATTTAGCCAGGCACAGTGGCCTGCACCTGTAGTCCCAGCTACTCAAGAGGCTAAGGTAGGAGGATCCCTTGAGCCCAAGAGTTCAAGGTTGCAGAGAGCTATGATCGTACCACCGCAGTCCAGCCTGGGTGTCAGAGCAAGACCCTGTCTCAAAAAAAGAAATTTTACAGAAGTACAACTCCTAACAGAATAATGCTGGCCTGGCGCTTTGAAATGATTGCAAAAAAACTATGGAACAGACAAAATTGAACTCAATAATGGACTCTAAGTAGACTTAGCTGACAGCCACTCCCTTCGAACCTCCCTCGTTGTTCACAGGTGGCTAGAAGGTTTTGACACTGGCTCCTAGTCCCCAATCACTCCCTGCAGTGTGGGACAAGACTGGCAGCCAGGACAGATCCACCCTGGTATCAAGGGACAATCAAGACCCAGCCACAGGATGACTGACCAGCGATGCTTTCAGAGAGAGATGCTGACCAGAGGCGGAAACGTGAAGGCTGTCAGAATGAGAATGGAGTCATTTGTATTTTAAAAGGCAAACACCAAACAAAAAAAAACCCTGAGAAATAGAGCCAGGTGAGGCTGTGAAGAGAGCATTCTCATGCTTGTTTGTCCTATCACGACTGTCAACGATCACAAAAGACTGCAAAAACCACAACCTGCACAAAGGCCGTCACAACCTTCCACAAATAATACTTCTACAAGGACATCTACCCAGCAACTGCCTGTCCAACCTTGGACCGGCGTCGGCCTTGTTATTGACCTTCATGGCCAAGGCTGATTATCTCAAAACAATTATGTAATCCTCCTCACTTTTCCTTTAAAAGCTATTCTCTCCCTTTACCTTCCTAAAGTACACACATAGCTCACTATGACATGCATATTCCCATTGCAATGCCCTGTTCGCAGATACCTTTTTCTTTGAGAGAGCCTCTCTCTGTTTATTTTGTTGACAAACCAAGAAAAGTCATTAGGAATAAAGAGGATCAGCACAATGTGATGAACAATTCAACACATCAGAAATAAAAGTTCTGACTGGGCACGGTGGCTCACGCCTGTAATCTAAGCACTTTGGGAGGCCAAGGCGGGTGGGTCACCTGAGGTCAGGAGTTCGAGACCAGCCTGGCCACTACTAAAAAATACAAAAATTAGCCAGGCGTGGAGGTGAGTGCCTGTAATCCCAGCTACTCAGTAGGCTGAGGCAGGAGAATTGCTTGAACCCCAGGAAGCAGAGGTTGCAGTAAGCTGAGATCGCACCACTGCACTCCGGCCAGGGCGACAGAGCAAGACTCTGTCTCAAAAAAAAAAAAAAAGAAATAACAGTTCTATCACTGAATGCACCGATGAAATACTCTCAAAATATATAAAGCAAAAGTTTACAAAAGAGCCGTAGTGAAATACCACTACACACCCACCAGAACAGCTGAAATTTGAAACTTGACAACACCAAATAGATGGTGAGGAAGTGGGGCCACTGGAACTCTTACATACTGTGGGTTGGTATGTAATATGATACCAACACTTTAGGAAAAGTTCTAACAATTTCTTACAAAAACTGAACATACACCTGCCTTCTAAACCCACAATTCCACTCCTAGAGAACTCCACACTTAATAGAAATGAGGCCAGGCGCTGTGGCTCACGCCTCTAATCTCAGCACTTTGGGAGGCTGAGGGAGGTGGATCACGAGGTCAATAGATCCAGACCATCCTGGCCAACATGGTGAAACCCTGTCGCTACTAAAAATACAAAAATTAGCTGGGCATGTGGCACACGCCTGTAGTCCCAGCTACTCGAGAGGCTGCGGCAGGTGAATCACTTGAACCCAGGAGGCGGAGCTTGCAGTGAGCTGAGGTCGTGCCACTGCACTCCAGCCTGGTGAAAGATCGAGACTTTGATGCAAGAAATACATAAATAAATAAATATGAAAGCAAGCGTTCCTGAAAACACTTATGAGAATGGCTATTGCAGCTTTTTTTCATAATAATCCCAAACTGTAAACATCACAAGGACCTATTAACAGGAGAATGGATAAACAAACTGTACCATATGCTCAAAATTGGATATTAACAATAAAAAGGAATGAATTACTAATGTGCACAACAAAAGTTATGAATCTCAAAAATGTACTAAATGAAAGAAGCCTTAACAAAGAAGAATACGTATGTACAGTTCCATTTATATGAAGTTCTAAAACAGGCTACACTGATCTGTGGTGAAGAAATCAAGACAGTGATTGCTTCTGTGGATGGTGTGGGGTGGGGATTGATGGGAAAGGGCACAGGGGAACCTTCCACGGTGACAGCAATGTTTTATATCTTGATAGAAGTTTGGGTTACATAGGTGTATGGGTATATGCATTTGTCCCAAATTTGTTCATTTCATTGCATGTAAATTTTACCTTAGGCCGGGCACGGTGGCTTATGTCTGTAATCCCGCACTTTGGGAGGCCCAGGTGGCTGGATCACCTGAGGTCAGGAGTTCGAGACCAGCCTGGCCAACATGGTGAAATCCTGTCTGTACTAAAAATACAAACATTAGCTAGGTGTGGTGGCAGGCATCTGTAATCCCAGCTACTCGGGAGGCTGAGGCAGGAGAATCGCTTGAACCCAGGAGACAGAGGTTACAGTGAGCCGAGATCGGCCATTGCACTCCAGTCTGGGCGACAAGAGCAAAACTCTGTCTCAAAAAATAAAACAAAGTACAAAAAACTAGCAGTATGTGGTGGCACATGTCTGTAGTCATAGCTACTCAGGAGGCTGAGATGGGGAACTCGCTTAAGCCTGGGAAGTTGAGGCTACAGTGAACCATGATCATGCCACTGCACTTGAGCCTGGGGGACAGAGTAAGACCCTGTCTCAAAAAAAAAATAGATAAAATAGATATACAAGATATATATTGTATATACAGATATTTCAATTAAAATATATAAAATATGAAATTATGTATTTCATTACATGTCTAAGATTCTCAGAGTGGCCATGGCAACCAGTGTCTCTCAAGATGGCAGCTGTGGTGTCAGCATGGGTCCCAGAATGGGTGGAGCAGAGCGCCCAGTGGACCCTCAAGGGAGCTGGAACATCAGTGAGAAATCACCTTTGTTGTAGGAAGTCACTGAGACAGGGACAGTGTGGTCAGCAGAGCCTCCTTGACTGAGGTGTGCCCGACGCTGAGCGTGTCCTTTTCTAAGTTCTCCTTTCAGTCTACGTCAGTCTGCATCAGTCTATGTCAGTCCATGTCAGTCTATGTCAGTCTACGTCAGTCCACGTCAGTCTATGTCAGTCCACGTCAATCTACATCAGTCTATGTCAGTCTATGTCAGTGCATTTCAGTCTACATCAGTCCATGTCAGTCTACAACAGTCTACGTCAGTCCACGTCAGTCTACGTCAGTCTACATCAGTCCATGTCAGTCTACGTCAGTCCATGTCAGTCTACGTCAGTCTACGCCAGTCTGTCAGTCTATGTCAGTCTATGTTAGTCTATGTCAGTCCATGTCAGTCTATGCCAGTCTATGTTAGTCTATGTCAGTCTATGTCAGTAAGTAAAAGGGATTTTTGCTGAAACATTTCTTTGTCATGCCTGTGGCTAGCCGCCCAGATACCCTCTACAGAAAAGAGTCAATGTTATCAGAAATAGTTTATGCATATTCAAGCAAAATCATACTTTTTCTCCTTTTTTATAACACAAACGATTGCATGTTTTACATCCTGTTCTGAACCCTGTTTCTTTCGCTTTATATTTTGGAAATTATTCCATAGTAGTACATGTATATTTTCCTAATCAGTTTTTATAGCAAAATAATATTCCATTGCTAGAAGGTAGCAATATTTATTTATTTAACCAGTGCCCTATTGATGGACCTTTGAGAAGTTTCCAGTCTTTTGCTATTACAAACAATACTGGGTTAACCTTTAGTATACTGGAAAAAAGAATTATATAATAATTTACCTCGGGTCCAAAGGACCCTTTTAATTTTATTTATATTTTAAGTAGCCTCATAATAATTTACAGAAGAATAAAGGGATCATAACAAACAACCTTATTAGAAATTATAATAAGAATGTAAGTGTAGGAAACCCAAATTTCAATCCCAAATTTTCCTGTTTTGAAAGTATATATACCAAGAAAGGGCTGGGCACGGTGGCTCACACCTGTATCCCAGCACTTTGGAGGCCGAGGTGGGTGGATCCCTTGAGGTCAGGAGTTCGAGGCCAGCCTGGGCAACATGGCAAAACCCCATCTCTACAAATAAAACAAAACAAAACAAAACAAAAAAAATAGCTGGGCATGATGGTGCATTCCTGTAGTCCCAGATACTTGGGGGGCTGAGATGAGAGGATCACTTGAGCTGAAGAGGCACAGGTTCTCAGCTGAGATCGAGCCACTGCACTCCAGCCTGGGTGACAGAATGAAACGCTGTCTTAAAAAAAAGAAAGAGGTGGCTGGGTGCAGTGGCTCACGCCTGTAATCCCAGGACTTTGGGAGGCTGAGGCGGGCGGATCATCTGAGGTCAGGAGTTAGAGACCAGCCTGGCCAACGTGGTGAAACCCTGCCTCTACTAAAAATACAAAAATTAGCCGGGTGTGGTGGCGGGCGCCTATAATCCCAGCTACTTGGGAGGCTGAGGCAGGAGAATCGCTTGAACCCGGGAGGCAGTTTGTGGTGAGCCGAGATTGTGCCATTGCATTCCACCCTGGGTGACAAGAGTGAAATTCTGTCAAAAAGAAAGAAAGGAAAGAAAGAAGGAAAGAAGGAAGGAAGGAGGGAAGGAAGTAAGGAAGGAAGGGAGGGAGGGAGGGAAGAAAAGAGAAGAGGAAAGAAAAAAAAGAAAAGAGAAAAGAAAGAGAAAGAAAAAGAAAGAAAAAAAGAAAGAAAGAAAAAGAAAAAAAAGAAAGAGGCCAGGAGTGGTGGCTCACACCTATAATCCCAGCACTTTGGGAGGCCAAGGCAGGTGGATCATCTGAGGTCAGGAGTTTGAGACCAGCCTGGCCAACACAGTGAAACCCCATCTCTACTAAAAATAAAAATTAGCCGGGTGTGGTGGTGGGCACCTGTAATCCCAGCTACTTGGGAGGCTGAGGCAGGAGAATTGCTTGAACCCGGGAGGCGGAGGTTGCAGTGAGTCAAGATCGCGCCACTGCACTGTAGCCTAGGCAACAAGAGCAAAACTCTGTCTCAAAAAAGAAAGTATATATACCAAGAATGGACTGAATACAATGACTCACATCTGTAATCCCAGCACTTTGGGAGGACAAGGTGGAAGGATTGCTTGATCCCAGGAGTTCAAGACCAGCCCAGGCAACATAGCAAGACCCTGTCTCTGTTAAAAAAAAAAAAAAAAAAAAAAAAGACTAGGCAATGTCCTTTGCTTTCCACTTACTGCTCATGCCCTGTCTTGTATGTTGAATCTAGAACATATCCATCTTGTAAAAACTGCTTCCAGATTTCAACTACATCTTTAGTAGGTTTTAGCTTATCATGACTTCTCACTCTTCTCTTTGAATCTGTGAAACCCAATACTTTTGAAAACTTTGACACTCATAATTTTGTTGAGAGGATGGCCATCTTCTTTGTTCCATAATTGTGAAATATTGTCATGGTTAGATTTATAAACCCCAATTAAATGGTCAATCCAATGAATTGTTTTCATTTCTTCATCATCTATTTCCTTCCAATCACCCCCGTGTATCCAACTTTATCATCCACTTACTGAATGTATCAAGTAAAGTATGTACACAAACATCGTAAAAGATGAAGAAATATTATCATGCATCCTTTTAACAAAATGTATCCCATTTCTTGTCACAAAACGTTGTGTTGCTAGTTCTTCCTGTTGAAGGACTGAATATGGATATGAGAATCCATAATTCAGCCGGGTGCGGTGGCTCATGCCTGTAATCCCGACACTTTGGGAGACCGAGGTGGGTGGATCACTTGAGCCCAGGAGTTCGAGACCAGACTGGGCAACATGACAAAACTCCGTCTCTACAAAAATTACAAAAAGTAGCTGGGCATGGTGGCTCGAGCCTGTAGTCCCAGCTATTAGGAAGGCTGGGGTGGGACTGCTTGAGCCTGGGAAGTCAAGGCTGCAGTGAGCCAAGATCACTCCACTGCACTCCAGCCTGGGCAACAGGAGCAAGATCCAGATTTCCTTTTTGTCCTCAGATGCATATTGTTCACTCTTTGATGCTTGCATTTAAGAGAACTCATCTAGGGTATGGTCATCTGAAGAGTCATGGAGGGTTTTTTGTTTTGTTTTGTTTTGTTTTTTAGGTGGAGTTTTGCTCTGTCGCCCAGGCTGGAGTCCAATGGCACGATCTCGGCTCACTGCAGCCTCCACCTCCCAAGTTCAAGTGATTCTCCTGCTTCAGCCTCCCGAGTAGCTGGGATTACAGGCACGTGCCACCATGTCTGGCTAATTTTTGTATTTTTAGGAGAGATGGGGTTTCACCATGTTGGCTAAGCTGGTCTCAAACTCCTAACGTCAGGTGATCTGCCTGCCTCAGCCTCCCAAAGTGCTGGGATTACAGGCATGAGCCACTGTGCCCGGCCAGAGATTTCTTTTCTATGATCCATTTTACCATCACAATTGGCATCTTGACACAGTGCTGTTCTCTGTCTCTGCACACATCTCCTGATTGTCTAAGAAGCATGAGCCCCGTGAGTGTTGACTGCCAGAGTTCACGCCCACCTTCTCTCCAGCCAATTGCCTTGGAAGAATAGGTACTGCCTTGTCTGATAAGTCAGCAGCGAATGACAGACTCACAATGTGAAATGCCCATCCCTTGCTTTGATGTGGGATGAACCCAGATGCAATTTTTGCTCCAAGCTTTCCATGGGACCAGACTGAAGCCACACGGACCCCACCCGAGACCACAGCCGTGCTTACCCTTTTTCCTTTGCCCTCTCCGATTTTCCTCACTCTCTTCTCCTTAGAAAGCTGATATAGTTTGGGCCGGGCGCGGTGGCTCACGCCTGTAATCCCAGCACTTTGGGAGGCCGAGACGGGCGGATCACGAGGTCAGGAGATCGAGACCATCCTGGCTAACACGGTGAAACCCCGTCTCTACTAAAAATACAAAAATTAGCCGGGCATGGTGGCGCGCGCCTGTAGTCTCAGCTACACGGGAGGCTGAGGCAGGAGAATGGCGTGAACCCGGGAGGCGGAGCTTGCAGTGAGTCGAGATCGCGCCACTGCACTCCAGCCTGGGCGACAGAGCGAAACTCCGTCTCAAAAAAAAAAAAAAAAAAAAAAAAAAAGAAAGCTGATATAGTTTGGATATTTGTCCCACCCAAATACGTTTAAATGTATCTCCAGTGTTGGAGGTGGGGCCTGGTGGGAGGTGACTGGATCATGGAGGTGGATTTCCCATGAAATAGTTTAGCATCATCCTCTTGGTGCTGTTCTCATGATAGTGCATGAGTTCTCACAAGATCTGGATGTTTAAAAGTGTGCGGCACCTCCCACCCACTCTCCTGCTCCCGCTCCTGCCTGGTGAAACACCTGATCCCGCTTTGCCTTCCGCTTTTGCTTCCTGAGGCCTCACCAGAAGATGCTGGCACTATGTTTCCTATACAGCCTGCAGAACTAGGAGACAAATCAGCCTCTTTTCTTACAAATTACCCAGCCTCGGGTATTTCTTTATAGCAATGTAAGAAACGGCTGAATGCATGCACACTGTAATAAATTACTTTTACAAGAATCCCCATTGCAGGTGCCGCTTATAGGAACTTGACCTAGGATAGCTGGAACCAGAGCCATCCCATGAAGGAGACCGCAAGGATGGAATTCCTTAAGGGTGACTCACTGGCTGAATGGTAGTGAGGACCCAGCAGGTGGAATATTGACAGTCCCTGAAGTGTCCGAGCCCTGCAGTGGCTAAAACTTTCACCTGTGCTGCCCCGGGGGCACAGCAGCATCCGTTTATGGTCTTCCCAACAGCGATGTGAATTGTGCAGCTCTCTGTCACAATAGAATTCAAGACCTGAACCCTGGCTGCTGCAGATGTCCTGAGGCTGGATGTGATACTCATCATCTCCCTCCTCCCACTATGAGGCCATAGGTGTAGCTGAGGGAGAGGTGTTGGTACAATACTAGCAGATGACTCGGGTGTCTGAGCCACCTGCTGTGCAGCCCATTGCGCCCCCTGGTCCTGCCATGCTGTACTGCAGATGTACCACTTCCATCTCACTGTGGGTTACTGTTGGGTCCACCTGACCTGAAGACTTGGTGGGTCCAGCAGAATCAGCTCTTTTATTTATTTATTTATTTATTTATTTATTTATTTATTTATTTTTTGGAGATGGAGTCTTGCTCTGCCACCCAGGCCAGAGTGCAGTGGCATGATCTCAGCTCACTGCAACCTCCTCCTCCTGGGTTCAAGCGATTCTCCTGTCTCAGCCTCCCAAGTAGCTGGGATTACAGGCACCTTGCCACCACGCCTGGCTAATTCTTGCATGTTTAGTAGAGATGGAGTTTCACCATCTTGGCCAGGCTGGTGATCCTTCAGTGATCCACCTTCAGTGGTCACTGACCACTGACCTTCAGTGATTCACCTGCCTCGGCCTCCCAAAGTGCTGGGATTACAGGCATGAGCCACTGCGTCCGGCCAGAATGAACTCATCTTGGGAAGTTCTAGCCATCAGACAGTTTCTAGCAGGGTCCAGGAGCGCATCAGGGCTGCTTTTTGAATGGTTTGTAGTTCTCTGTTGTGTAAGGCACAGACTTTCTCCAGAACCCAGGGGGTCTGTACTGGGAAGTAGCATCTTTCCCAACCACAGCCCCCTCTAGTTCCATTGCACCTGCTGAGTCATGGGTGCATGCAGGAAGCTGCTCTTGTGGCAGCCTGGGCTGCTGGAGAGCTCTTTCTGCTCCTGGCCCAACGCAAAACCAGCAGTCTTCCATGTGACCTGATGAATGGGTTAAACTGTCCATGTGGAGGCTCCTGAGTCTCCGTAGGCTTTATCTCCAGTCCCCTGGATGGCATGTGTCTTACCACGGCATCTGCTCTGATTAACGTGACGCCCTCTATATGGTGGCCAACATGCTGTTTTGCAGAATGTCTAGATGGTTCAGGGTGGAGGAAGATAATGAGTATCAAGTACAGCCTCAGGGCATTGGCAGCAGCCAGACTGTGGTTCTTCCCACTAACTCTCGTCTTGTAAATGTCCCCAGAAAAGTGTGACCAACCAGAGTCACGGAGAAGTCGTGCCTGGTCGGGACCACCTGGCAGTGAGAAGTAAGTGGGTCTGAATGGGGCAGAAAGGTCAGAGGCTGGCCCCGGATGCTGTTGAAAGTGTCATATCAACACTGTGCTGATTCCCTTCAGGGTTCTTTTAGAGGAGGGAAATAAACATTTGCCTTGTTTTGCATATTTTTTCTTATGCATGCAGCCAAAACTCGTCAAAGCTGGTATATAGGGGAAGATAAATACCCCCAAGAACAACGTGAGTGTCAGAGAAATCTCCCGCCCAACATCAGAAGAGATAGCCTAGCCAGAGCAGCCCAAACACACCATGAGCAAAATGAAAGTAAACAGCTTGGTAGATATGCAAGCATACACAGGGCCACTACAAGGAAGCAAAAACGTCAGTGTCATGAAGCACCAAAAAATAAATAAATAAATAAAATAAAATTTAAAAGTCTTCTTTAATCTAGAAAGAAGGTTGCTATGGACTAAACAGTATCCTCCCAAAATTTCTATATTGCAGACCAAACTCCCAGTGTGATGGTATTTGGAGATAGAGCCTTTGGGAGGTCATAGGGTTAGATGAGGTCAAAGGGTGGGGCCTTCATGAGGGGATTAGTACTCTTATAATAAGAGACACCGGAAAGCACTTCTGTTTTTCTTTTCTTTTCCTTTTCTTTTCTTTTTTTTTTTTTTTTTGAGACACGATCTTCCTCCATTGCCCAGGCTAGAGTACAGTGGCCCAATCTCAGCTCACTGCAGCCTTGACCTCCCGGGCTCAAGTGATTCTCTCACCTCAGCCTCCCAAGTAGCTGGGACTACAGGCATGTGTCACCATGCCCAGCTAATTTTGTTAATTTATTTATTTTTTGTAGAGACAAGGTCTCATTATGCTCCCCAGGCTGGTCTTGACTCCTGGATTCAAGCAATCCTCCTGCCTCAGCTTCCCAAAGTGCAGGGATTACAGGTATGAGCCACCACACTTAGCACAGAAAGCATTCTTGAGTGTGTTCTCTCTTCTCTCTCTTCTCTTCTCTTCTCTCTCTCTCTCTCTCTCCTGTCTCTCTCTCTTCTCTCTCTTCTCTTCTTTCTCTTCTCTCCCTCTCTCTCTCTCTCTCTCTCTCTCTCTCTCTCTCTCTCTGTCCCCTGTGGGGGTCACAGGAAGAAGACAGCAAGCCAGGAAGAGAGCCCTCACTGGGAGCTGATCATGCTGACACCACGATCTTGGACTTTCCAGCCTCCAGAAGGACAAGAAAATAAATCTCTATTGTGTAAGCCAATCAGTCTATGGTATTTTGTTATGGCAACTAAAGCAGACTAAAGATACATTTCTGCTAAATGCAATGTGTGATCCTCAGTTGGAGTCTGATTTTTTAATTCAACCTGCAAAGGAAAAAACAAACAAGGACAAGTATAAAAACAGATATGGTGAAATTCAATCCAAGGCAGAAAAGCAGGTGTCCCCAGATCCATCTCCCCATAAAAGAGCTCATAACAGTGGCTCACGCCTGTAATCCCAGCATTTTGGGAGGCCGAGGCAGGTGGATCAGTTGAGGTCAGGAGTTCGAGACCAGCCTGGCCAGCACAGTGAAACCCCATCTCTACAAAAATACAAAAATTAGCCGGGCATGGTGGCAGGCACCTGTAATCCCAGCTACTCGGGAGGCTGAGACAGGAGAATTGCTTGAACCTGGGAGGTGGAGGTTGCGGTGAGCCAAGATCGCGCCACTGTGCTCTAGCCTGGGCAACGGAGCAAGACTCCATCTAAAAGAAAAAAAAAAAAAAGAGCTCATAAGACTGTGACGTGGTGAGGCAACAACTCAGAGACAGGGCAGGAGCAGACAGAACCAAGATAATAACACTGCACATCTAATGGATAATGAAACAGCAAGAGGCCAGGCACGGTGGCTCACACCTGGCAGCTCCCACCTTCCAGCACTTTGGGAGGCCAAGGCGTGCCATCTTTTGAGCTCAGGAGTTCGAGGCCAGCCTGGGCAATATAGTGAGACACCGTCTCTAAAAAATATACAAAAATTAGCAGGACATGTCTGTGCATGCCTGTAGTCTCAGCGACTCTGGAGGCTGATGTGGGAGAATCACCTGAGCAAGGATGGGGAGGCTGTGGTGAACCAAGATGGGGGCAGGAGAATTGCTTGAACCTGGGAGGCAGAGGTTGCAGTGAGCCGGGGTCATGCCACTGCACTCCAGCCTGGGCGACAGAGACAGAGTCTGTCTCCAAAAAAAAAAAAAAAAAAAAAAAATACAAGCTTTGGAATTGGCCTGTAGTAACTGAACTTTCTGTTTGAGGTTTTTCTGGTGATTAACCTCTAACTACTATATAACACGGGTACATAGCTATAAGTTGCTGTCACTTTGAGACATTATCCCTTGGGGTCTCAGGTGACACCTGTAGAGGTGACTCACCACCCCATCCCCCCACATCTTCCTCTCAATGTGGTTATTACTATTTTCTATTATTATTTTCATTTTTTTTTAAACCGAGTCTCACTCTGTTGCCTAGGCTGGAGTGCAGTGGTGTGATCCCAGCTCACTGCAACCTCCGCCTCCCAGGTTCAAGCGATTCTCCTGCATCAGCCTCCCTAGTAGCTGGAATTACAGGCATGTACAACCGCTCCCAGCTAATTTTCGTTGTTGTTGTTGTATTTTTAGTAGAGATGGGGTTTCACCATGTTGGCCAGGCTAGTCTCCAACTCCTGACCTCAAGTGATCCGCCTACCTTAGCCTCCCAATGTGTTGGGATTTCAGGTGTGGCTCACACCACGCCTGGCCATTATTATTATTTTCAATCCCTCTATTGGTTCCTTCCATAAGCTTAAACATAATATTTGCGATTTTATTACTGGTTCTTCTATCCATAGAGGCTTCTCTTGATTCCCAACAAGGGAAGATGAAGATATTTGTTTCTCTAACCTTGGCTTTATAACCTCCACCTTCCAACTCCCAACTTAAGTCGTCTGTACTATTACTTTTATACTGTCAGAATTGATAGTATTTATAATCTGCTTGCAGTAGAAATAAACTGGTTTTTTGTTGTTGTTGTTGTTGTTGGGTTTTTCTTGAGACAGGGTCTCACTCTGTCACCCAGGCTGGAGTGCAGTGGTGCCATCACAGCCCACTGCAGCCTCGACCTCCTGGGCTCAAGGGATCCTCCCACCTCAGCCTCCCAAGTGGCTGGGACCACAGGTCAATGCCACCACACCTGGCTAATTTTTTAATTTTTTTGTAGAGATTGGATCTCACTATGTTGCCCAGGCTGGTCTTGAACTCCTCAACTCAAGCAATCCCCCTGCCTCAGTCTCCTAAAGAGTTGGGATTACAGGCGTGAGCCACTGCACCTGGCCCAGAATAAAGCTTTCTGTCCTTTACTTATAGGTCGATTCTAAAGGCGAAGATTGGGGCAACACTTTTCTTTTTTCTTTTTTTTTTTTTTTTTAAGATGGAGTCTCGCTCTGTCGCCCAGGCTGGAGTGCAGGTGGCACGATCTCAGCTCACTGCAAGCTCCGCCTCCCAGGTTCACGCCATTCTCTTGCCTCAGCCTCCTGAGTAGCTGGGACTACAGGCGCCCGCCACCACGCCTGGCTAATTTTTTGTATTTTTAGTAGAGACGGGGTTTCACCGTGTTAGCCAGGCGATCTCCTGACCTCGTGATCCACCTGCCTCGGCCTCCCAAAGTGCTGGGATTACGGGCGTGAGCCACCGCGCCCGGCCAACACTTTTCTTTATAAGATAATACAAAATGTCATCACTGTAGAACCAAGTTGTGCAGTGCCACATTTTTCTTTATTCAACTTTTGCTTTTTTCCCTAGAGTTGGAAGTTGCCTTTTTTGTTTTGTTTTGTTTTGTTTTGAGACGGAGTCTCGCTCTGTCACTCAGGCTGGAGTGCAGTGGCGCGATCTCTACTCACTGCAACTTTCACCTTTGGGCTCAAGCAATTCTCCTGCCTGCCTCAACCTCCCGAGTAGCTGGGATTACAGGCACTCGCCACCACGCCTTGCTAATTTTTTGTATTTGTAGTAGAGATGGAGTTTAACCATGTTGGCCAGGCTGGTCTGGAACTCCTGACCTTGAGCGATCTGCCCGCCTTGGCTTCCCAAAGTGTAGAGATTACAGGCGTGAGCCACCAAGCCCGATGGCAAGTTGCTTTTCTTTCTGTGTTGCGTTGTCTTCCTTTACTGCATCTCAAGCCTCTTCCAGAATCTCAAGGGTGCTCTGGCATCTGTGGAATCACCTTGTTTTCAGGACGCCTCTCTCCCGCTGCTGTCGTGCCCTGCTCCAGTCCGAGCCTGCACCCACTGTCTCCCAGGTCTTCCTTCATTGCTGTCTGAGTTGAATCTTCTGTTTCCTGGATCCCATGTGTTCCCCTCTCTGCCATCGCAAATCACCAAGGAACCTCTCCAGAAAGGGTATGTGGGAGAGAAATTATTCTGAGTCCATGTGTCTTAGGTTTTGCTGTATAACAAACTACCACAAAGCACAGTGGCGAAACAACCATTTATTTCTTCCTTACATATCTGCAGCTCAACTGTGGTTCAGCGGGTCCAGGCCAGGCCTGGCTGGGCTTGACTCTGGACTGCGGATCAGCTCCCAGTCTGCTCCAACCATCTTTTGTCCCACGTGAACCAGCAGCTACCAGACTGATATCTCTCTTGGTGAAAGACACAAGCCCAGGCCCATGGCAAGCATATTTCAAGTTTCTGCTGGGTCACACACATCTGCTTCCATCTGATTAGCCAAAGCAAGTCACACGGCTCAGTCCAACAGCAACGGAGCAAGGAAGTCGGCACCTCCCACAGAGCTCAGGGGAAAGGAGTGAATATTTGCTAGGTAATAATAGAATCTTCCACAGCATGTAGTTCTAAAAATGTCTTTATTCTAGGCCTGGCACGGTGGCTCACACCTGTAATCCCAGCACTCTGGGAGGCCGAGGTGGGCAGATCATCTGAGGTCAAGAGTTCAAGACCAGCCTGGCCAACATGGTGAAACCCCGTCTCTACTAAAAATACAAAAATTAGCCGGGCATGGTGGCAGGCACCTGTAATCCCAGCTACTCGGGAGGCTGAGGCAGGAGAATCACTTGAACCCAGGAGGCAGAGGTTGCAGTGAGCTGAGATCACACCATTGCACGCCAGCCTGGGCAACAGAGCGAGACTCCATCTCAAAAAAAAAAACAAGTTTTTATTCTGCCCTAACATTTTGTTGGTAAATTAGCTAGGTATAGAATTTCAAGTTTCAGATTATTTTTATTGAGAACATTGAAGGCATTGCTCCAGGGTCCTCAAGCATCCAATGAGGCTGATAAATTTGATGTGATTGGATTTTCATTCCTTAGTAGGTTAATTTCTCTCTCTCTGAGAGCTTTTAGAATTGTCCTGCTTTTTACATTTTTCTTTGCTTTCTTTCTCAAAGTACTGTTTTATGTATGTTAAAGAATATATACAGTCGGGCTGGGCAAGGTGGCTCATGCCTGTAATCCCAGCACTTTGGGAGGCTGAGGCAGGCAGATCACCTGAGGTCAGGAAAAAAAGAAAAAAAGACTTGATTACTATGTATATAGTATTTTTTTGTATACCTACATACCCATGATAAAGTTTAATTTATAAATTAGGCACAGTAAGAGATTAACAACAATAACTAACAATGAAATAGAACAATTATAATAACCTACTGTAATAAAAGTTAAGTGAATGTGGTCTATCTCTCTCTCAAAATATCTTATTATACTTTATTCACCCTTCGTATGATCATGTGAGATGATAAAATGCCAGCATCACTACTCGTGCCCTTTGGGGCCATTATCAATGAAAACAGGAGTACTTGAACACAAGCACTGTGACACCGTGAGAGCCGATCAGAGATGGCTGCTGAGTGACTAATGGGGCAGGTAGCATAGAAAATGTGGATACGCTGGACAAAGGGATGATTCACATCCTAAGCAGGATGGAGCAAGCTAGCAAGAGATTGCATCATGCTCCTCAGAATGGTGCACAGTTTAAAACTTATGAATTGTTTACTTCTGGAATTTTCCATTTCATATTTTTGGGCCACAGTTGACCATGAGTAACTGCAACCACAGAAAATAAAGCCTTGGGTAAGGAGGGGCTGCCGTATCATACTCTGCCCCTATACGGCTCTGCCACCACCCTCTCAGCTAATGATGTCAGAAGTTATACCTTTATACATTGGGTGCCAAAAAACATAGACTTATTACTGGCTTTTTACTATTAGTCTTTTAAATCATGTATAAAAGGAAAAGTGGTGTTACAACCCAAAATGACAATAATACTAGCTTTTGTAATTGTCCATGTATTTACCTTTATAGAAGATCTTTATTTCTTCATAGGACTTTGAGTTATTGTCTAGTGTTCTTTAGTTTATTTTTTTTTAATTTTTGCTTTCTTCCTTCTGCCTATATAATGGCAAATATCCTTTAATTTCAATCTGCAGAAGTCCCTTTAGCATTTTCTGTAAGACAGATCTAGTGGTAATAAACTCTTTCTGCTTTTGTTTATCTGGGAATACCTTCATTTCTTCTTTTCTGAGGGCAGTTTTGCCAGGTATAGGATTACTTTTGTTTTGTTTTGTCTTCTTTTTTAAGAGACAGAGTCTCACTCTGTCAGCCAGGATGGAGTGTAGTGGTGTGACCATAGCTCACTGCATCCTCAAACTCCTTAGCTCAAGTGATCATCCCTGCCTCAGCCTCCTAAGAAGCTGCAACTACAGTTGTGCACCAACATGCCTGGCTAATTAAAAAAAAATTTTGGGGGGGGATGAGGTCTTGTTATGTTGCCCAGGCTGGTCTTGAACTCCTGACCTCAAGTGATTCTCCCACCTCAAGCCTCCTAAGTAGCTAGAATTACAGGAAGGAGCTAACTTGTCCAGCAGGATTCTTGATTGACAGTTTTTTCTTTTATCTCTTCAAATGTACCAACACATTGCCTTCTTGCTGCCAACGTTTCTGCTGAGAAATCTGCTGTTAATCTTACTGGAGATCCCTTATATGTAACAATTTGTTTCTCTCTCCCTGCTTTCAAGATTCTCTCTTGGCTCACACCTGTGGCTGGGTGCAGTGGCTCACACCTGCAATCCCCATACTTTGGGAGGCCAAGGCAGGAGGATTGCTTGAGTCCAGGAGTTTGGGACCAGCCTGGGCAACATAACAAGATCCTATCTCTATAAGATTAATTAGTTAGTTAATTAATCTATAAGATTAATTAGTTAGTTAATCTATAAGATTAGTTAGTTAATCTATAAGATTAATTAGTTAATTAATTAATTACTTAAAAATTAAAGATTCTCTCTGTTATCTGTGGTTTGGGCAGTTTGATTACAGTGTGTCTCTGTGAGGGCCTCTTTAAATTCATCCTACTTGGAGTTCACTGAGCTTCTTGGATGTTTAGATTCATGTATTTCACCAAATTTGAGATGTTTTCAGCCATTATTTCTTCAAATAATCTCTTATTATTTATCGATTAAAAACAATAATAATCTCATTTTCTTTTTTCTTTTGAGATGGAGTCTTGCTCTGTTGCCCAGGCTGGAGTACAGTGGCACAATCTCAGCTCACTGCAATCTCTGCCTCCTGGGTTCAAGTGATTCTCCTGCCTCAGCCTCCCAAGCAGCTGGGATTACAGACACCTGCCACCACTCCTAGCTAATTTTTGTAGTTTTAGTAGAGACAGGGTCTTACCATGTTGGCCAGGCTGGTCTTGAAGTCCTGACCTCAAGTGATCTGCCCACCTCAGCCTACCAAAATGCTGGGATGACAGTTGTGAGCCACTGCACCCAGCCAATAATTTAATTTTCTCTTTCCCTCTCTCTGTTCTATTTCTGGCACCCTGACAGTGTGCATTCTTCTACTTGATGGTGTCCCACAGGTTTCTTGGACCCTGTTTACTCTTCTTCAGTCCTCTTTCTTTCTGTTCCTCAGACTTAATCATTTCAGTTTTCTTATCTTCAAGTTTGTTGATTCCTTCTTCGGCCTGTTCAAATCTGCTTCTGAATCCCTCCATGAATTTTTCATTTCAGTTATTGTACTTTTCAGCTACAGAATTTCCTCTTGGTTCCTTCTTGTGTTCACTATATTTTTATTGATCTTTCCATTTTGTCCCTAAATAATTTGCTTGGCTTTGTCTGCGTCCTTCTTTTCTCTTTTTGACAGTTAAACGATTTTTTTTTATTCATGATCCTCCTCTTTCTTCTTCTTCCTCATCTTCTTCATATTCTTCTTCCACATTTTTCCAGGCAACTTTAGCAGGACCCTTTGTGCCATCAAAGTTTCCTTTAGACTTAAAGTCAACAACATCCTTCTCATACTTCTCCTTCAGCTTTGCCGCCTTTGTGATGTAAGGCTGCTTTTCACTGTCGTTTAAGTTATTCCACATCTCACCCAGCTTTTTGCCACATCTCCAGTAGAGATGCCAGGGTTTGTGGATTTGGTCTTGGGGAGGAATTCTGAACAGAACAGAAATAATATAGAGGATGGCCTTTTGGGGGCATTAGGAAACTTCTTCTTGCCTCCCTTAGCTGGTCTGTTATCCTCCATTTCCCGATCATAGCATACTTTATCTGCCTTTGCAATTTCATCAGATTTAGACTTCTCTTTCCCACTGTCTTGCACCTCTCAGAGGACTTCTTGGAAAATTCTGCAAAATTGACAGGGACCTCTGGGATTTTCTTCTATGTCCTTCTCTGCACATCTGCACAAAGAAGGCATAAGCAGACATTTTGTCCTTTGGTTTCCTGGGATCACGTTTAGCCATCCTGACTGTATTGTTCACTAGTCTCTATCTGCATCTTTCTTTAGCTCTCTGAGCATTATTAGTCAGACAAAATGCTTTGTCTAGTAAGCATTAAAGACAAAGCCAGCCAGGTGCGGTGGCTCACATCTGTAATCCCAGCACTTTGGGAGGCCAAGGCGGGCAGATCACTTCAGGTCAGGAGTTCGAGACCAGCCTGGCCAACATGGTGAAACCCCGTCTCTACTAAAAATACAAAAATTAGCCGGACCTTGTTGCAGTTGCCTGTAATCTCAGCTACTCAGGAGGCTGAGGCGGGAGAATCGCTTGAACCCGGGAGGCAGAGGTTGCAGTGAGCCAAGATCATGTGACTGCACTCCAGCCTGGGCAACAGAGCAAGACTTTGTCTCAACAACAACAATAATAGCAACAAAAACAAAGCCTCAGAAAAGGCTGAATAAGTTTCAGGCCATTGTTATAATGTCTTTGTCTAGTAAGTTTGCCGTGTGGTTCTTCCTTAGAGATGGTTTCTATATATTTTTTCCCTATGAATGAACCCACTTTCCTGTTTCTTTGTATGCCTGTGATTTTTTTGTTGAAAACAGGATTTTGAATGTTACAATATGGTAACTGTGGAAATCAGGTTCTCTCCTTTACCCACGTCTGTCTGTCTGTCTTTTTCTTTCTTTCTTTCTTTCTTTCCTTCCTTCCTTCTTTCTTTCTTTCCTTCTTTCTTTCTTTCAAGACAGAATCTCACTCTATTGCCCAGGCTAGAGTGCAGTGGGACTATCATGGTTCACTGTAGCCTCTACCTCCTGGGCTCAAGCAATCCTCTCATCTCAGCCTCCCACCCAGCCAATATTTTTTTTTTTTTGTAGAGACAGGTTGTCACCATGTTGCCCAGGCTGGTCTCAAACTCCTGGGCTCAAGCAATCTACCTGCCTCGGCCTCCCAAAGTTCTGGGATTACAGGTGTGGGCCACCATGCCCAGCCTGTTTTTCTTTTTAAATTGTTGTAAGGTGTCTCTGTGCAGGGGATGAACTTGAGGTGTAAACTTGAGATTGTCTCGGGTCTTTTCTGAGGCTTTGTCTTTCCAGGCATGAATGGTGACTTTCTAAATTCTCCTGTATACGTGGTTGCTTTTGAATGTCCTAGTCCTTAATTGTTTGGCCACTAAAAGGAGAAAAGGGAAAAATTAAGGGTAAAAAAATAAAAAACAGGCCGGGCGCGGTGGCTTGGGCGTAAGCCTGTAATCCCAGCACTTTGGGAGGCTGAGGCCGGCGGATCATGAGGTCAAGAGATCAAGACCATCCTGGCCAACATGGTGAAACCCCGTGTCTACTAAAAATACAAAAATTAGCTGGGCATGGTGGCACACGCCTGTAGTCCCAGCTACTCAGGAGGCCGAGTCAGGAGAATCACTTGAACCCAGGAGGCAGAGATTGCAGTGAGTCGAGATCACGCCACTGCACTCCAGCCTGGCGACAGAGTGAGACTCCGTCTCAGTAAATAAATAATTAAGTAAAAAACAAAAAAACCTCAAAACCCAGCCTCTATCTCTTTCAATGCTCTGGAAGCTGCTTTAGCCAGTGGGGTTGTAACAATGGCAGTCCCCCCTGTGTCTGAACCTCTGCAATCAGAAGCAGCAGCCAGTGATGAGAATACACATCTCTTCTGGGCACGGTGGCTCACGCCTGTAATCCCAGCACTTTAGGGGGCTGAGGCAGGCGGATCACCTGAGGTCAGGAGTCCGAGACCAGCCTGGCCAACATGGTAAAACCCTGTCTCTACTAAAAATACAAAAATTAGCCAGGCATGGTGGTACACACCTGTAATCCCAGCTACTCTGGAGACTGAGGTGGGAGAATTGCTTGAACCCGGGAGGCGGAGGTTGCAGTGAGCCGAGATGGCACCTCTGCACTCCAGCCTGGGCGACAGAGCAAGACTTCATCTTGGGAGAAAAAAAAAAGAATACACATCTCCAGTATTTGGAGGACAAGGTTATGTGCTAACCCTGGGTGCTGCAAGCTATTCCAAGAATGACTGCATGTAGGGCTGAGGGGCTGGGGAATGCATAGCCACTACCATGAGAGGACACTGACCGAAATTAACCAGGATTCACATTCAAGCTGTTCTGGTTTGGATATTTGCCCCTTTCCAAACTCATGTTGAAATTTGATTGCCATTTTAACGGTATTACGAGTTGGGAGGTTTAAGAGATGATTAGGGCCACGTGTGGTGAGTCACACCTGTAATCTTAGCACTTTGGGAGGCTGAGGCAGGAGAATTGCTTGGGCCTGGGAGTTCAAGACCCGTCTAGGCAACATAGGGAGACCCCCTCGCTACAAAAAATAAAATAAAAAAATTAGCAGGACATGATGGCACATGCCAGCTACTCAGGAGGCTGAGGTGGGAGGATACTGGGGCCTGGGAGGTTGAGGCTACAGTGAGCTGTAATCATGCCACTGCACTCCAGCCTGGGAGACAGAGCAAGACCCTGACTCTAAAAATAAAATTTAAAATAAAGAATAAAAAATTTAAAAATTAGCCAGATGTGGTGGCACACACCTGCAGTCCTAGCTACTCAGGAGGCTGAAGTGAGATGATCACTTGAGCCCAGGATTTCAAGACTGCAGGGAGCTATGATCATGTCACTGCACGCTAGCCTGGGTAACAAAGCAAAACCGTGTCTCCAAGAATAAATAAAATAAAATAAAAATAACAGATGATTATGCCCCGAGAGTGGAGTGAATTAATTAATGCCATTATCTTGGGAATGCATTTATTATTATGGGAGTGGGTTAATTATAGTACGGAGAAGGCTGGGCACAGTGACTCATACCTGTAATCCCAGTACTTTGGGAGGCCAAGGTGGGAGGATTGCTTGAGCTCAGGAGTTTAAGACCAGCCTGGGCAACATAGTGAGATCCTGTCTCTACTAAAAATAATAAAACTAGCCAGGCATGGTGGCACATGCCTGCAGTCCCAGCTACTGGGGAGGCTGAAGTGGGAGGATTGCTTCAGCCCAGGAGACTGAGGCCTCAGTGAGCTATGATCACACCACTGCACTCCAGTCTGGGTGACAGAGTGAGACTCTGTCTCAGAAAAAAAGAAGGGGGAAGAGTTAAGCCCCCCTTTTACTCTCTCTTTCTCTCTCTCTCTTCTCTTTGCCCTTCTGCCATGGGCTGACACCATAAGAAGACCCTCATCAGATGTCAGCTCATTGATCTTGGACTTCCCAGCCTCCAAAACTGTGAGCCGATGGATTTATTTTCTTGTAAATTACCCAGTCTGTGGCATTCTGTTATAGCAGCACAAAAAGGAGTAAGATACAAGCCTTCCCCTGGAAACTGCAGGCCTTCAGATGGACTCCAGAGTTCCAAAATAGTTGCATCAGACAGATTCTGCCAGATTGTTGTCTAGATGGGGGCGACAGATTCCTGGCACTTTCTACTGTGTCATCTTCCATGATATCACTGCTATGTAAATAATTCTTACAACTCAATAATAAAAAGACAGCTCAATTAAAAATTGGGCTAAGCGTCTATATACACATTTTTCCAAAGAAAATATACAAGTGGCGGGCTGGGTGTGGTGGCTCACGCCAATAATCCCAGCACGTTGGGAGACTGAGGCAGGTGGATTGCTTGAGCTCAAGAGTTTGAGACAAGTCTAGCCAACATGGAGAAACCCCGTCTAAAGAAAAAAAAAAGAAGAAGACTGTTCTCCAGGCTCTGCAATGCCCTCTGTTGTCAATCAGGTATCCATGTGTATTGGTCTGCTTCGGAGTTTTTCTTGCTGGTTCACTGGACGATTTTTGTATTTGTGCACTAATCACACTGCCTTAATTACCATACTTTATAATAAGCCTTGACAGGCAGTGAGGTAATTGTCCTGACTTGTTCCTCTTCTTCTTTTTTTATTTTTATTTTTTATTTTTTTTGAGACAAGGTGTCACTCCGTCGCCCAGGCTGGAGTGCAGTGGCGTGATCTTGGCTCACTTCAAGCTCCGCCTCCCAGGTTCATGCCATTCTTCTGCCTCAGCCTCCCGAGTAGCTGGGATTACAGGCGCCCGCCACCACGCCCGGCTAATTTTTTGTGTTTTTAGTAGAGACGGGGTTTCATTGTGTTAGCCAGGATGGTCTCGATCTCCTGACCTCATGATCCGCCCACCTCAGCCTCCCACAGTGCTGGGATTACAGGCATGAGCCACTGCGCCCAGCCTGTTCCCCTTCTTTAGGAGAGTTTTTGGATATTCTCATTCTTTTGTATTTCCATATACTATTTATTTATTTATTTATTTATTTATTTATTGAGACAAGGTCTCACTCTTGCCCAGGCTGGAGTGCAGTGGCGCGATCTTGGCTCACTGCAACCACCGCCTCCCGGGTTCAAGCGATTCTTCTGCCTCAGCCTCCTGAGTAGCCGGGACTGCAAAAGCGGGCCACCACGCCGGGCTAATTTTTGTATTTTTAGTAGAGAAGGGATTTCACCATGTGGTCAGGCTGGTCTCGAACTCCCGACCTCGTGATTCGCCCCCGCCCCCCCACCCCGCCCCCGACCCCCACCCCGACCCTTGGCCTCCCAAAGTGCTGGGATTACAGGTGTGAGCCACCGCACCCAGCCTAATTTTTGTATTTTTGTAGAGATGGAGGTCTTGCCATGTTTCCCAGGTTGGTCTCGAATTCCTGGGTTCAAGCGATCCACCCGCCTCAGCCTCCCAAAGTGCTGGCATTACAGGTGTGA
This sequence comes from Homo sapiens, assembly GCF_000001405.40. Taxonomy (NCBI): domain Eukaryota; kingdom Metazoa; phylum Chordata; class Mammalia; order Primates; family Hominidae; genus Homo; species Homo sapiens. Next base: position 103,369,543 of record NC_000014.9, read on the forward strand.
GTCCCTGCACCTGGCCTTTTTCTCACTCTTGACTTTTTTTTTTTTTTTTTTTGCAATTTTCTCTTTTTCTTTGGTCAGTTTCACCAGGGATGAGACTTTTAGCTTTGTTGATTCTATTATATGTTTGTTTTTTATTTCATTATTTTTCCTCTTTATTATTTCCTATCCTACACTTTCTTTGGATTTGGTTTGCTGTTCCTTTTCAAGTTTCCTGAGATGTTTGCATAGTTCATGGATTTTCAGCTTTTCTTCTTGTCTGAAAGAATTTGTATAGAACTGAAATAATGTCTTCTTTGATAATTTGGTAGAATTCACCTGAAAATTATTTGGGTTTGCTTTGATTTCCTTAAAAGTAACAGAGCTATTAACGTTCTATTTCTTCTTGGGTTGTTATGATGATACCGTTTTCAAGGAACTGATTGGTTTTGCATAAGCTTTCAAATTTATTGATGCAAATTTGTTCACTGAATTTCCTTATTTTTTAAATCTCTGAACATCTGTAGTTATATCTCCCTTTGTGTTTTCTAATGCTTACCCATGCTTTCTCTGTTTTATTCTTGGTTAGCCAGGCTAGAGTTTTGCCTTTTTTTTTTAATGAGTTTTTACAAAGAACTGTTTCTTGGCTTTATTGATCTAATTATATCTTTGGGATTTCATTAATTTCTGCTTACTATGTCCTTTTAACACTCTTTGGGTACACTGTGTTCCTCTTTTTTTAATTTATATTTATTTATTTATTTATTTATTTACTTATTTATTTATTTATTTATTTTTGGAGACAGGGTCTCCCTCTCTCACCCAGGCTGGAGTGCAATGGCTCAACCTCAGCTTACTGCAACCTCTGCCTCCCAGGTTCAAGTGATTCTCCTGCCTCAGCCTCCCGAGTAGCTGGGATAAGAAGCGTGCCACCACGCCCAGCTAATTTTTGTATTTTTAGTAGAGACAGGGTTTCACCCTGTTGATCAGGCTGGTCTTGAACTCATGACCTCAGGTGATCCACCAGCCTCGGCCTCCCAGAGTGCTGGGATTACAGGTGTGAGACACCACTCCCGGCCTGCATTCTTTTTCTTTATTATTATTATTTTTAACTCTGTCACATCTCAGGATGTGTTCTTTTTCTTTTCTTTTTCTTTTTTTTTTTTTTTTTGAGGCAGAGTCTCGCTCTGTCATCCAGGCTGGAATGCAGTGGCATGATCTTGGCTCACTGCAACCTTTGCCTCCCCAGTTCAAGTAATTCTCATGCCTCAGCCTCCCAAGTAGCTGTGATTACAGGTGGGCACCACCACGCCCAGCTAATTTTTGTATTTTCAGTAGATACAGGGTTTCGCCATGTTGGCCAGGTTGGTTTCGAACTCCTGACCTCAGGTGATCCACCTACCTCGGCCTCCCAAAGTGCTGGGATTACAGGCGTGAGCCACCTCGCCTGGCCCATAGATGCCCTTTATACAAAGTTCCTTTCTATTCTTAGTTTAAGGGTGTTTTTTTGTTTTTTGTTTTTATCATGAAATTGTCTCGGGGCCAGGTATGGTGGCTCACACCTGTAATCTCAGCACTTTGGGAAGCCAAGGTTGGAGAATCACTTGAGGCCCAGAGTTCGAGACCAGCCTGGGCAACATAGCAAGACCCCATTTCTAATTAAAAAAAAATGTTTTTAAAGAATGAGCCAGGTGTAGTGGTGCATGGTGGTATTCCTAGCTACTCAGGAAGCTGAGGCAAGAGGGTTGCTTGAACCCAGGAGTTTGAGGCTACAGTGAGGTATGCCTGTGCCACTGCACTATAGCCTGGGCAACAGAGCTAGACCCTGTCTCTAAAAAAAGGTGTTGCATGGCCAGGCATGGTGGTTCACGCCTGTAATCCCAGCACTTTGAGAGGCCGAGGCAGGCAGATCACCTGATGCCAGGAGTTCGAAACCAACCTGGGCAACATGGTGAAACCCTGTCTCTACTAAAAATACAAAAATTAGCCAGTCGTGATGCCACGTGCCTGTAATCGCAGCTGCTTGAGAGGCTGAGGCATGATAATTGCTTCAACCTGGGAGGCGGAGGTTGCAGTGAGCCGGATCCCGCCAATCCCGCCACTGCACTCCAGCCTGGGCAACAAGAGCGAAAAACTCCGTCTCAAAAAAAGGTGTTGCATTTTGTCAAATGCTTTTTCTGGGCCTATTCATATGATTATATTGTTTCTGGCCAGGCGCGGTGGCTCACACTTGTAATCCCAGCACTTTGGGAGGCTGAGGTGGGCAGATCACCTGACGTCAGGAGTTTGAGACCAGCGTGGCCAATATGGTGAAACCCCGTCTCTACTAAAAATACAAAAAGTTAGCCAGGTGTGGTGGTGGGTACCTGTAATCCCAGTTACTCAGGCAGCTGAGGCGGGAGAATCACTTGAACCCCGGAGATGGAGGTTGCAGTGAACCGAGATAGCGCCACTACACCCCAGCCTGGGTAACAAGAGCGAAACTCCGTCTCAAAACAAAACAAAACAAACAAACGAAAAACAGAGTCAGGAATGACAGTGTGCTGCTCAGGGCCAGGCCTGAGGAATGGAAGACAGTGGCACCATCACACACACACACACACACACACACGCGCGCGCGCGTGCGCACACACACACATGCACACACACGCGCGCGCACACACACATGCACACACGCACACACATGCACACATGCACACACATGCGCACACACGCGCGCACACGCACACACACGCACACACACGCGCGCACACAGACACACACACATGCACACACATGCACGCACACACACACATGCACACACACACACACACACACTAAGTCCTTTTAACATTTCAACCCTAAAATTGTAATTTTTAAAATAACATGCTTATAAAAAAAGAATCTCTTCCAAGTAGGTTTCTGTTAAAAACAGGGGGTTCAGGAAGTTTAGAGGTGTTGTTGTTTACGTGTTTTTTTTTGTTTTTTGTTTTTTGCTTTTTGTTTTTTTTTGCCTTCGGTGTAGATTGGAGGATTTGCTTTAACAGAATATCTTTTTGGCTTTACTGGCTAAAATAGCCAGTTCCTGCTTATTAATACTCAAACACATCAATTATTCATCTGCACTTGGGTATATTACACACGCCGAATCATCCATCCTCCTGCCCTCTTTGTTAAAGGAGGCTTTGAGGCCAGCAGCCCCACGGGGAAGGCGTATAGTTGGGACTCAGGGCTGACTCAGAGGGCCAGCCCTGGCCAGCTCATGTCTGAGGTCACATCCGAGGGAGAGGAGGCAGCAGAGCTGAGTGAACAGAATCTTGTTCTAACAACTTCCCAGGCTCCACACTGCCTTGCCATGCTGAGCTGTCCATGTGAGGTCAGGGATTTGTCAAGATGAAGGGCTAGACCTTTGAGGGTTTTGCTCTTTCAACTCTGCTCTTGTCCTTGACCTGAAATTATACTAGCGGCAAAAAAAAAAAAAAAAAAAAAAAAAAAATGATGACAGCTGATGTGTGCTGGGGAAAATGATGGACAGTCAGAACCATTGTGATCTTCAGATGAGGAAGCTCAAGTTCAAGGTGGGAAGGAAGGCTATAGGCAAGGCCGCTTGGCAGCCAAATGCAAAGTCACGGTAGAATCTCCGTCTCCCGGTGACCATCCCCCATCAGCCTCCTGCATGGAACCCATAACGAGGGCCAGAACAGTGAAGGGTCTGCTGTTAGCTATGCCCTGGTGCACTGACTCCCAGGTAAAACCAGATCCACAGAGGAGAAGGGAGTGAGGATTATTTATTTATTTATTTGAGATGGAGTCTCACTCCGTCACCCAGGCTGGAGTGCAGTAGCATCATCTCGGCTCACTGCAACCTCTGCCTCCCCGGCTCAAGCCATTCTTGTGCCTCAGCCTCCCGAGTAGCTAGGATTACCGGCATGTGCCACCACGCCCTGCTAATTTTTGTATTTTTAGTAGAGACAGGGTTTCACCATGTTGCCCAGGCTGGTCTCAAACTCCTGGGCTCAAGCGATCTGCCCTCCTCAGCCTCCCAAAGTGTTGGGATTACAGGTGTAAGCCACTGTGCCCAGCCACCACTACCCTGATTTTTGTGTTTTTCATCCCCTTGTGTTTTTTTCAATAGTTTCATTCTATACGTTTGCATCTTTAAACAGTATGTTGTTTGGTTTTGCACGCTTTCATTTCTGAATCACGCTATGTGTATTCTAAGAATTGCTCTGGTTTTTTAAATAATATCTCAAGATTATGATACTGAGATGCATTCACATTGTGTGTAGCTGTAAAAATTATTCTCTCTGTTATATACTATTTCTTTGTGCTAATATGCCATTTTCTGTATTCGTACGGATAATGGACATTTGAATTGTTTCCAGTGTGTTTCTATAACAAACTGTAGTGTTACGACTATTCTTATACATGTTCCCGTGCATATGTTTGAGAGTTGTTTTTTTTTTTTTAGAAACTGATGTCTATTTTCCATCAACCTTATTTCCATGTTGCTGAAGAGCCCGTGCAAGAACAGCTTAAGACTATTCAGTGGTTGCTCCTACCCCTTCAGTGGCCTGAGCAGTGGGAGCTGCAGACCAGTCTTCCGTGGCAGGCTGAGCCCTCCAGTCTTCAGTAGGGAACTTCTGAATAGGCACAGAGGGCACCTAAACGCCGTCAGACCAGTCTGCAACCTCAGGCTGAGTAGCAGCTGAGGAGCTGGAGCAGTCCATTCACCCTGAAATTCCTCTTTCGTCTCAGCCTTTTCAGCAGCAGCCTGCTCTTCTTTTTTAATCTCTTGAGGATCTCTGTAGAAGTAGAGATCAGGCATGACCTCCCACGGGTGTTCACGGGAAACGGTGCCACGCATGCGCAGAACTTCCCGAGCCAGCGTCCACCACATCAAACCCAATGAGTGAGCTCCCTTGTTGTCACATGGGATGGCAATGTCCCCATAGTGCAGAGGAGAATCTGTGTTACACAGAGCAATGGTAGGTAGGTTAACATAAGATGCCTCCATGAGCGGCCGGTGGTCAGCCCTGGGGTCAGTAACCACAAGAAGCCGTGGCTCCCGGAAGGCTGCCTGGATCTGGTTAGTGAAGGTTCCAGGAGTGAAGCGGCCAGCAACTGGAGTGGCTCCAGTGGCAGCAGCAAACTTCAGCACAGCCGTCTAGCCAGTATTCCTGAATGATATGGCACTAACATCAGCAGGGTTTTCAATGGCAACAATGGCACGAGCTGCCAGCAGAAGCTTCTCCCAGGTCCTCCTCAGATTTATGATGTAGATGCCATCACTTTTCCTTTTACAGATGTACTGTTCCATCTGGAAGTTAAGCTTGGTGCCACCTAAGTGGGTTCCTGCCACAAGGAACTTAAGGACATGCTCCTCCTTCATTTGCAGGACATCAAAAGCTCCGGACCTTGTGAAAGTTTCCCTTTAAGTTACAGTGAGAATCCAGAACAACGCCGTATGGACCCCTCTGTGGGTAGCGCGGAAAGCGGGAGTTTCTGTTTTTTTCTCTTTTTTTTTTTTTTTGAGATGGAATCTTACTCCGTCACCCAGGCTGGAGTGCAGTGGCGCCATCTCGGCTCACCACAGCCACCGCCTCTGAGGTCCAAGTGATTCTGCCTCAGCCTCTCGAGAAGCTGGGATTACAGGCGTGGGCCACCATGCCCAGCTAATTTTTTTGTATTTTTAGTAGGGAAAGTGTTTCACCATGTTGGCCAGGCTGGTCTTGAACTCCTGACCTCAGGTCATCCACGCCTCGGCCTCCCAAAGTGTGAGGTTATAGGCATGAGCCACTGTGCCCAGCCGAGAGTTTCTTTAGGGCAAATATTTTGGGTGGAATTGCTCAGTTGTAGGGGCCACACAACTTCAACTTTAATTGCTAATGTCAGATTGTTGTCCAAAATGTCAATTTTACTGGCTTTTGCCAAAGAACTAAGTTTTGGCTTTGTTGAGTATGTGATCTTTGCACTGTGCTTCACTATTTTCTGCTCTTACCTTGAACTTACACTCCCAAGCAGGGTCTAAGAGTGCCCACTGAAGCCAGGGGCAGCAGCTCATGCCTGTAATGCCAACACTTTGGGAGGCTGAGGCTGAGAATTGCTCGAGCCCAGGAGTTTGAGACCAGCCTGGGAAACATAGTGATATCTCATCTCTACAAAAAACAATTTAAAAAAAATTAGCCAGGTATGATGGCTCATGCCCATAGTGCTAGTTACTTGAAGGTTGAGACAGGAAGATTGCTGGAGCCTAGGAGTTCGAAGCTGCAGTGAGCTATGATCATGCCATTGCACTCCAGCCTGGGTAACAGAGTGAGACCCTGTCTCTAAAAGACAATAAAAAGTTCCCATTGTTCCATATTCTCAGCAGCACTTGATATTGTCAGACTTTTTCATTTTTGCCAATCTGGTGGCCAGTACATGGTAACTTATTATGGTCTTTGCGCTATAGATTGTTTGTGTCCATCCAAATTCATATGTTGAAAACTAAACCCCAGCTGGGCACAGTGGCTCAGGCCTATAAACCCAGCACTGGGATGCTCAGATTGGAGGATCACTTGAGCCCAGGAGTTCAAGACCAGCCTGGGCAACATGGTGGAAACCCGTCTCTACAAAAAATATAAAAAAATTTGCTGGGCATGGTGGTGAGTGCCTGTAGTTCTAGCTGCCTGGGAGGCTGGGGTGGGAGGATCACCTGAGCCTGGGAGATTGAGGCTGCAGTGATCCATGATAGCCCCACTGTACTCCAGCGACAGGGTGAGACTCTGTCTCAAAAAAAGAAAACTGAACCCCAGTGTTTGATGGTATCGAGAAGTGAGGCCTTTGGAAGGTAATGAGGTCAGGAGGGTGGATCCCTCCTAGAAAAGAGCCCCAGAGAGCTCATTCGCCCCTTCTGCCATGTGAGGACACAGTGAGATGATGGCTATCCATCTGTGAACACAAAGCCAGCCCTCACCAGACACTATGTCTGCCAGGGCCTTGATCTTGGATTTCCCAGCCTCCAGAACTGTGGAGAATAAATTTTTGCTGTTTTTAAGCCACCCAGTCTACGGTAGTTTGTTATAGCATCCAAAATGGACTGAGATAGCTTGCATTTGCAATAACAGACGACTTTAAGTATTTGTTCTTATTATTTATCAACCCCCAAGTGCCTGTTGTTGACTTTTGCCTATATTTCTATTGGGTTGTTGATCTTATTAAATTATAGATCTTTCTTTCTTTCTTTCTTTCTTTTTCTTTCCTTGTAATGGAGTTTTGCTCTTTTTGCCCAGGCTGGAGTGCAATGGCATGATCTCGGCGCACTGCAAACTCTGCCTGCCAGGTTCAAGTGATTCTCCTGTCTCAGCCTCCTGAGTAGCTGGGATTACAGGTGCACACCACCACACCTGGCTAATTTTGTATTTTTAGTAGAGGTGGGGTTTCACCATGTGGGGCAGGCTGGTCTCGAACTCCTGACCTCAGGTGATCTGGCCTCCCAAAGTGCTGGGATTACAGGTGTGAGCCACCGTGGCCAGCCAATTATAGACATTTCTTATATGGTATGGATTTAAATCCTTATCAGTTATAACTTCTCCCAGTTTGAGGCCTGCGTTTTTACCCTCTTTATGGTGTTTTTGAAAAACATAAACTGTTAAAAAAGCTTTAACTGTGTATTCCTTTGCAGCTTTTTATTTTGCACTATGTGTACTGAGGAACAAAAGAAAAAAATGAAATTTGAGACCAGACGTGGTGGCTCATGCCTGTAATCCCAGCACTTTGGGAGACCGAGGCAGGCAGATCACAAGGTCAGGAGATCGAGACCATCCTAGCTAACACGGTGAAACCCTGTCTCTACTAAAAATACAAAAAATTAGCCGGGCATGGTGGCGGGTGCCTGTAGTCCCAGCTACTCGGGAGTCTGAGGCAGGAGAATGGTGTGAACCCAGGAGGCGGAGCTTGCAGTGAGCCGAGATCGCGCCACTGCACTCCAGCCTGGGTGACAGAGTGAGACTCCATCTCAAAATAAATAAATAATAAAAAGAAAGAAATTTGAATTAAAACCAAAGAGCTTAGTCTGTATCACCCTCCCCTGATTAAATTTTTAAATTACAGTTCTCCTGTCCTGAAATTATATTATGCATGAGTTCTGCTATGTGTGTCCTGTGACCTGAGAGTGGGCAAGAACTTTCTCTGTTCACAGCTATGTCCTCAATGCTTCAAACATAGCTTTGCCCAAAGTAGGTGCTCAATAAACACTGTGGATGGAAGGAACAAAGGAAGGAGAGAGGAGTAGCGGGGCAGCCACCGAAGGCTGATGTGGCTTTTCATGACTCCACCCAGTGAGGCCCAACTGGCTCCAAGGGTAGGGCAGCAGCCTAAGGAATGGAGGAAATGGTCTTTCCTCAAGCAGAGCTTAGACTTTATTGTCTTGGAAAAACCTGTTTGTATTTGGGAGATGTGCTTACTTTAATAGGTCAACCCTGCAATAATGGGCAGGTCTGAGGCTCCAGGAGTGCTGGGGTAGTCTATTCACCCCCTTATTCTTTCTCTCTATCCTTTTTTACCCACCTGCCTTGCAGCCAGTGGGTGTCAGAGCCAGCAGCAGACTGGAGTCTAAGGGCACTGCTTTCTGTCCGTGAGCTTGAGAAGGCTTCTTGCCCTTCTGAATCTCCAAGTCCTTGCCTGCAAAGCACAGGCAATGATAAAAACACTAACGCCTTATCTGGTGTTGCAGGATCCCTTACCAAGGGCTTCTACGTCTCCTATCGTGAGCTCAGTACTCAGTGAGGTAGGCAAAACTGGAGGAGGAAACCGGGGAGGAGGAGTGAGTCTCTAACTCCCCACGCTGTGTGGCCTAATAAGCCTTGATCTGTGTTCTACAGACTCTGAGCTCTGTGCTCCTCTCTGGGGAACAGGTGGAAAGGGCAGCCCTCCAGGAGGTGGTGAGTCCTCTGAGCTTTGGAAGGGTGGACTCTGCACCTGCTGCGCTGGTGCTCTCTGGGAATTTTCTCCACGGACCTCCAGAGCAACTGTGAGTGGTAGCTGTTACCATTCCCATTTGACTGGTTCAGAAACCTTGCCTGAGGGACATGAAGTCACTTGCCCAAGGTCCCCCAGCATTCAGCGTCATAGTCAGAGTTCAAACTCCAAAGCCCTTGCCTCTGCCTCACCACTGTGGTCTCCCTAGACCTTTAGATATAGTTCCAGACAGTGGGTTTTCCCAGCTCAGAGCAGAGTGGGTCATGGGACAGGGCAGGCTCCAGAGGGCTACGCTACCAGAATCTGGTAATGACAACTGTGTATGTGTGCGTGAGAGGCGGCTGACCGATCTAGATGGGGACTGACCGATCTAGAACTAGATGGGGATCAATCATCTTCAGCAGATCCGAGAGCTGGAGAATTACTGCAGGGGCAAATGGCTCTTTCTCTCCTGCATCCCCCAGGGCCATCTCTACACTGCGGTGAAGCATGGGACGTGGTAAAAGGACACCTTTGAGCTGTGGGAAAAGCTGACACGATTTTTCAGAATAGTGTGTTTAGGAAGGCGGGGGCGCCCATGTTCTTCCCGAGAGGCGTTCCATCCAGAGCTATCTGGAAAGGCTGGGGTACTGGAAGCCAGAAGGTGGAGAATCACTGATGCAGCTCTACTGAGTTTTCAGCTGGGCCCCACCCACACTGACCTAAGCACAGGAGGTTCGAGGGCTCTCCACTGACCAGGAATGAAAGGATCAATTGCAGAGTTTCGGCCTTGGAGCCCAGTCCTGGCTCTCCCTTTGCTTGCTCCTGACGTTGGAAGAGTTACAGCCCCTCCTGAGTCTCAGTCAGTCGCCTCTCACGTGCCCATTGACGTCTCACAGGCTGTTGGAGAGTTAGGGGGTCCTAGCATAGGTGTCTTGTGCCAGGTACACAGCTGGAGCTCAATAAATGTACTGTGACCTCAGGCAGGAAAAGCCAAGGAGGGGCGGGCCACCCTGGGGGCTGGTCTGCAGAGTCTTCAGGGAAGAAGCCAGGACAAGGACAAGGACCCTGGATGAGGACAGGATGAGAGGATGGCTGCATAACAGCAGGGAGGCTTTGGGCAGGCAGGGGAGCCTTTCCAGGTGAGTGAATGGCAGGAACACAATCTTGGAAGTGAGAATTCCTGGGGTGCCTTCTGGGCCTTGAAGCAGGGCTCACAGAGGGCAACAGGACCCCGCTGGAGTGAAGAAGGGGACTGGAGGGTAAATTAAAAGAATAGCAGCTTGTCTGCCCTCATCCCCGGTGTGGGGGGAGCAGCCTGGCATGGAGTCCAAATGGACCTCATATTTCCCAAAGACTCAAAGCATCTGGGGCCTACCTGGAATGTCCCAGGAACACCTACTGCCCGGCCCCTCCTCTTTCCCCTCACCAAGCATGATGACTGCAATGTCTCATAATTATCACACTCTGCTTTTCTCCATCTCTGTGGCTTTACATATTCTCAGTGTTCAGCTCTTGGTCTGCAACATATCTGCGTACAAACACGCACACACACACACACACACACACACACACACACACACACACACACTGAGGAATGGCTCCCGGGTCCCAGTAGTTCCCACTCTCTGGTAGAGGAGTTGTGTTTGTGAGGGCTGTGATGGGGTGACAAGCCTGCAGCAGCCTTTCCATGTTCGTCCAAACTAGATGTGGTGCAGAGAGCACAGGCCTGTGGATCAGCAGATGTGACACTTAGCATGATGGTACTGGTTAGGATCAAGCTAGGCAGTAACACACAACCCAACTGTAGTGGGTGCAACAAGCAGGTGCTTATTTTTTTGCAGAAGAAATCAGGAGGATGGCAATCTCACTGCTAGTGCAGGTGCTTGAAGCTGCCATCGGGGACCCAGATACTTTCTGGTGATAGTGTATATGGGGGGCGTCTGCTGGAGCTTGGGAGATTTGGACCCCCATTCTGGCTCTGTTGCTAACTAGTTGTGCAGCTTCAGACAAAGCTTCTGAAGCTTTGACTTCATTTCTTTATTTGTTTTTAAAATTGCAGGCTGAGTATAGTGGCTCCTGCCTGTAATCCCAGCACTTTGGGAGGCTAAGGTGGGAGCATTGCATGAGGCCAGGAGTTCGAGACCAGCCTGGGCAAAATGGCAAACCCTCATCTGTACAAAAAAAAAAAAAAAATACAAAAAATTAGCTAGGCATGGTGGTACATGCCTGTGGACCCAGCTACTTTGGAAACTAAGGCAGGAGGATCACTTGAGCCCCGAAGTTTGAGGCTGCAGTGAGCTGTGATTGTGCCACGGCACTCCAGCCTGGGTGACAAAGTGAGGCCCTATCTCAAAAATGAATAAATAAAATTGTGGTAACAACATATAACATAAAACCATCTTAACCATCTTAACCATTTTTAAGTGTACAGTTTAGTGGCATTGAGTACATTCATACTGTTGTGCAATCTGTCCTCATGTCTCTTTTCTTTCCAAACGGAAACTCTCCCTATTAAGCAAGAACTCTCTATTTCCTCCTCCCCACTGGCACCACCATTCTGCTTTCTGTCTCAATACATTTGACTGCTCCAGGTAACTCATAGAAGAGGGATCATACAGAATTTGTCCTTTTGTGTTTGACTTATTTCACTCATCATAATGTCCTCAAGTTTCATCTGTGTTGTAGCTAATGTCAGAATTTCCCCTCTTTTTAAGGTTGAATAATATTCCATTGTATGGACATACCACATTTTGTTTAGCCATTCATCTATGGATGGACACTTGGTTTGCTTTCACATTTTAGCTATTGTGAATAATGCTGCCATGAACATGACTGTGCAGATATTTCCTTGAGACTGTGTTTTCAATTCTTTTGGGTATCTATCTGGATGTGGGATTATTAGATCCTATGGTAATTCTATTTCTAATTTTTTTCAAGAAGCATAATACTGCTTTCCATAGAAGCTGCACCATTTTACATCCCCACCAACAGTGCACAGTTTCCAATTTCTCCACGTTCTTGCCAAAATTTGTTATTTTCTGCTTTTTTGGTAGCAGCTATCCTAATGGCTTTGAGACTCAGTTTCTCGTCTGTCCCACAGGGACATAGTAGGGCTAGATTATCTCTAGCTTCTGATGTCTCATGGTGCCTTCCTTCTTGCCATGAAAGTAAGTATTGCTTATGCACATATACATCTTAGTAAATTTAGTTATATCTTTTCAGCTTGGGGCCCCAAGGTAGAAACTATTTTAATATGAAGACAGGAAACAAGAAATATGAAAAGGGATTGAAGAAGGCATTCCAAGGACAACTTCCAAACCCTCCTCTCTATTCCTTCCAGACCATAGATGCACATAATTCTGGGCCACAGAGAGTCCTTTGGACAGAACAATACTTTACTGTTTCTTCTCTTCCTCTCCTTTTCTTTTTTGCTTGTAATTCACACACCCAGGTGGCTAGGCGCAGTGGATCACACCTGTAATCCCAGCACCTTGGGAGGCAGAGATGGGAGGGTTGCTTGAGGCCGGAAGTTCAGTCTGGGCAAGACTTGGTCTCTAAAAATAAATTACCTAGGTATGGTGGTGCATACCTGTAGTCCTAGCTATTCAGGAGGCTGAGGCAAAGAATCACTTGAGCCCCGGAGTTCAAGGCTGCAGTGAGCTATGATCACACCACAGTGCCCCAGCCTGGACAAGAGAGCAAGACCCTGTCTGGCTCAAGCAACAACAAAGGAAGGAAGGAAGAAGGAAGGAAGGAAGGAAGGAAGGAAGGAAGGAAGGATGGATGGAAGGGAGGGAGGGAGGGAGGGAGGAAGGAAGGGGAAAAAGAGAGAGGAAGGGAGGGAGGGAGGGAGGAAAGAGAGAAAAAGGCAGGCAGGCAGGGCAAGAAAGAGACAAAGAGAAAGAAAGAAAGAGAGAAAGAAAGAAGAAAAAAGAAACACACACACCCATCTCCCACTCTTTATAGTGTCATGATGTCATTTAACATAAGTGCAAGGAAAAGTTCAAGGCGTTTAATTCTAGCTTTTACAAAACCCAGAAGCATCTTGAGTTAAGTACTATTATCTTCATTTCCTAACTTTTGGCATTCGCTGACTCATTATTTCATATGTGGCTTGGGTGAGAAAAGCATCTGGGTGGCAACCTCCTCCCCCAGCTACTTCTCTGGCCAATGGGGACTGTTCTGAACTTCCCATACACTTTCTCGCAGCTTCTGCCTGAGGCTGAAACCCTTTCTGGGGTGTTTTCCCAACTGTCATCAGGATGGGATGCAGAACCAGGTGCCATGCTCTGTCCAAACCCTGCCTGGCTCCGGCCTTCTGCAGTCTCACTTCTCACCGCTCACTCTCCTGATATTTACCCAGACCCACCGTGTGGCTTCTCATTGCGGTGCTCATCAGGCCATCCTTCTGCTTGAACTGTCCTTTCTACCCATCCTCCCACAGCTAACTCTGCTCATGCTTTTAGACTCAGCATAAACATCCTCTCCCCCAGGAAGCCTTCCCTGATCCAAACCCCCGAGTTGAGCTAAATGTCCCTGCTTGGGTCTCCCACAACACTTATGCTCACCCCGTCTTATCATAACCAACATTGCAGTTGAAGTGTGTGAAGCACACATTTAACTAATGGAATTCCACTAACTCCTCTTGGCCAGAAGGAGAAAGAGAATAACTTTATTTATTTATTTACTTATTTATTTATTTCTGAGGCATGTTCTTGCTCTGTCTCCCAGGCAGGAGTGCAGTGGGCATCATCCTTCTGCCTTTTTTTTTTTTTTAAGTTTTTGTAGAGACAAGGTCTCACTCTGTTGCCCAGGCTGGTCTCCAACTCCTGGGCTCAAGTGACCCTCCCACCTCAGGCCCCCAAGTAGCTGGGATTACAGATGTGCATGCCGTCTCCCTATTCACATTTTATTTTACTTTATTTTGTTTTTTGAGACGCAGTCTTGCTCTGTTGCTCAGGCTGGAGTGCAGTGGGCTGATCTTCGCTCACTTCAACTCTGCCTCCCAGGTTCAAGAGATTCTCTCACCTCAGCCTCCTTAGTAGCTGGGACTACAGGCACACACCACCGTGCTTGGTTAATTTTTTGTATTTTAGCAGAGATGGGGTTTCACCATGTTGGCCAGGCTGGTCTGAAACTCCTGAGCTCAGGCAATCCGCCCACCTCGGCCTCCCAAAGTGTTAGGATTACAGGCGTGAACCACCGCGCCCGGCCCCTATTCACATTTTAAATAGAACCACTCTTGGCCCCCTGACCACTCCTCTCTGAGGGTTAGATGGGAGCCCTGAGTGTTACCTTAGTCCTCAGGTGTTTTAACATTGGGAGCCTCTGGCCTCTCTGGGAGTGAATCTGGCGTTTAAAGATACATATATTTGGCCGAGCGCAGTGGCTCACGCCTGTAATCCCAGCACTTTGGGAGGCCGAGACGGGCAGATCACAAGGTCAGGAGATCGAGACCATCCTGGCTAAGACGGTGAAACCGCATCTCTACTAAAAATACAAAAAAAATTAGCCAGGCATGGTGGTGGGCACCTGCAGTCCCAGCTACTCGGGAGGCTGAGGCAGGAGAATGGCGTGAACCCGGGAGGTGGAGCTTGCAGTGAGTGGAGATCGCGCCACTGCACTCCAGCCTGGGCGACAGAGCGAAACTCCGTCCCAAAACAACAACAACAACAACAACAACAACAAACATATATTTCGTGGAGCAAGAAATGTCTCAAACATAGCAAGAGAGTTGGGATGCCAACGGACCAAAGGGAAAGCAAGCATGACATAGCCCCCCACTACAAGGGCTTACCTATTATCCAAGCTTTGGGAGCTAGGTTAGAATCCCAGCTCTGTCGCTAACCAACCTGTGTACTTTAGCCAAGTCACTGTACCTGTCTAGACTTCGGATCGCATGTGTGTCTGCCCATCTCATAGGGTTACCCTGAGGCTAAATGAGGTAACAAATGTCATGAACCCACAAGGTAGACTCGACTCTCGGTAACAGTTCGTGTCACCCCCATCTCACACTACTCTCCCTCTTCGGACCCTGCACCCATGGATTCCATCCACCGCTGGCCAGGAGCTGAGTAGAGGCACCGAGCACGTGAAGAGGTGAATGGGCAAGGAAGGCTTCCAGGTCAGGTAGCATTTCCAGTGTTCCAGCCTGCAGGCATCTACCGAGCCTGGCCCGAGGCTGGCACCCAGAGATGCTTCCAGTCTTCCAGCAGCAACGCACTGACTGTAAGAAAAGCCTGCTTATAAACCCCCTACAGGCATTTGGAAGCTGGTCCCTGGGGTCCTCTACAGATTCATTTCGCCCCCAAACCCATCCCCTTTGTGCCACCCTCGTTATTGCACTCTTCCATCCGGATGGCATTTAGCTGGGTCCGGGTCTGTCACCCGTCTGACCACCAGCTCCTTGAGGGCAAGAGGCGCCTGCTGCCCTCAGGGTCCGCGCCCAGCCCGCAGCTGCTCAGATCCGGAGACGGGAAGGTTTGTTGGCGAGAACCTGACTCCCGGGTCACAGTTAAGGATGCAAGAGCCCGGCGCCTTCCCGTAGCCCCGGCCCTGTCATTAATTAATGCTGGGGCTCCATTCGGTGCAGCGCAGTCCCAGGGATGCAACCGCAACTTTTGCGCACAATAGGCTCTCGATCTGTAATCCAGCCAACCCAGGCCTGTAGTGTGTAAATGCCAACTCAGCGGGAGGGCTCTGGCTGTCGCCCAGAGCCGTTTCTCGGCTCTTTCGCGGTTGCCGGCGCGCTCGGGACAGGAGGAACCCGCAGCCCGCGGGAGTCAGCGGAGACCCGACCAGCACTATCCAGCCCTCTGCACCGCCCCCGCGGCGAGGTCTGGACCAAGTCGCCCCTAGCAACAACAGCCGGGCCGGCTTTCTCAGGCCATGCTGATTGGCGGGACTCCGGGTGGCGGCCTGTCGTCACTTCCGGCAGCCGGAGGCAGCAGAGGAAGCCGAGGGGCGGCCATCTTGGCTCCGTGAGGCTCTGAGGTGCCGGGGTGCGGCGGCGGCAGCGGCGGCCAGCAGGGCGGAGGCTGAGGCAGCAAGCTCGCTAGAGAGGGAGAAGCAGTCGGGCGCAGGCGCCTCCTCCGCAGCCCGCTCCATGGTCGGCGCCCACAGCCCGCGGCGGCCTGTCTTGCGCTCCACTTCCTTCACATCCTCCTCCGCCTCCTCGTTTTCAGGCGCCGCCGGCGGCGCTGTGTGGAGGCCCGCGAGCTGAAATTCGCGGTGCGACGGGAGGGAGTGGAGAAGGAGGTGAGGGGGCCCAGGATCGCGGGGCGCCCTGAGGCAAGGGGACGCCGGCGGGCCGAAGCGCAGCCCGCCGCCCGCAGGCTCGGCTCCGCCACTGCCGCCCTCCCGGTCTCCTCGCCTCGGCCGCCGAGGCAGGGAGAGAATGAGCCCCGGGACCCGCCGGGGGACGGCCCGGGCCAGGCCCGGGATCTAGACGGCCGTAGGGGGAAGGGAGCCGCCCTCCCCACGGCGCCTTTTCGGAACTGCCGTGGACTCGAGGACGCTGGTCGCCGGCCTCCTAGGGCTGTGCTGTTTTGTTTTGACCCTCGCATTGTGCAGAATTAAAGTGCAGTAAAATGTCCACTAGGACCCCATTGCCAACGGTGAATGAACGAGACACTGAAAACGTAAGTAACCTGGGCGTTGTAGTTGGCGGACCTTCGGGGTGGCATTCGTGCTCCTCGGGCAGTGCCTTGCAGTCGGGTGTTCCCCCCAGCCGAACGCTCTGGAAATAGAGGGCAGGCCGTAGTCACCCAGGAGGCAGCCAGGTCGGACCGTTTCCTCCAGAAGTCTGCCGTGTCCCGCTGTTCGCGGGCGGGTCTGCGAAGTACATCGATTATGCCGGCAGTCTAGTCGGTTAATAAAGCCCAGGAGTTGCAGCGTTACGGATCGGTGCTTTGAGAGGCCAGGTTGCCGCGCAATGGATTGTGCAAACGTGTGTGTCAGATCACTGCAGTGGTCAGTGCTTATTTTAGCCGAACTCTGCTTTTAACTTGGTCAGGCAGTTCTTGAGAGACTGTCACATTAATAACATATGTTACCGGTGCTGATTAAGAGTAATCGATTGGGTCAAGTGGGCGGTCTCGTTCTTTAAGATGGTCTGGAACTAAATTTAATCACAGTCACTAAGTGTCCACTGAGGGATCTTTGCGGTCCCCTTAGGAATTCCAAAACACTAGCGCGCAGCCTTTATTAAGGCAGTTTCCTTTCCATACAAATCTTTTTTGAAGGAGTTGGTTAAACATTTTGAAAAGCAGATGTATAGTGAAGCTCTGCTCTGCCACTCACTGCCTAGCTGAGGGACACCCGCTGGGGGCTTCGCTGTCCTCCTTCCTAAAAAGAGATTGGCTTAGATGAGCTCTTAGGTCCCTTTCAGCGCTCACAGGCTATGGTTTTATAAAAGGAACCTTTGATTTTGTTCATGTGAAACTACAAAATGCCAGGAACAGCATTGCTAGAGAATGAGAACTTGTAGTAGAAATTCCATTGAAGAAACGTTTGACTCTGTTCGTTTTCTAACTCTGTTCTCCTCTAACACTGGGTTCAAAAGTGTTTCAATCTAGTTGTTGACTATATTCTGTAAAACATCTAGTAAATAATTTGTAAAGAAACTTCACTGGCCTTTCATTAAAAGTGTTATGAGGTAATTGCTGGCACGAAATGTCTTCTCTTAGGGAATGCTTCCTTGCTTTGAGTGTTTTCATGCTTTCAGTAATGTCCTGAGATGTTGTGGCCTAGTGGAGTTAATGCTTTCATTTTGATCTTCAAAAATGCCGCTTGTTTGCTGGATAGCTGTTTGATAATTTAATCCGTAAACGTAAACCATAGCCTAAAGCATCCCTGTAGCATATTAGTATACAATATTTAATGCTCTGTGGCCCTGAGTAAGTAGAACAGTGATGTACCTTTCTCCACCTGAGATAGATTAGAAAATTATATAAAGAGTGAGTAATAGAAACTCTTAGACTAGGTGAGTCAGGGAACTAATTTCCTTATAGTCCTTTTAAAGAAACCTTATTTATTTGTTTATTTATTTATTTATTTACTTATTTATTTTTTGAGACAGACCGAGACTGTCTCCCAGGCTGGAGTGCAGTGGTGCGATCTTGGCTCACTGCAGCCTCCACCTCCCAGGCTGAAGTGATTATCATGCCTCAGCCTCCCGAGTAGCTGGGATTACTGGCGTGCACCACCACGCCCGGCTAATTTTTGTATTTTTAGTAGAGACAGGGTTTCACCATGTTGGCCAGGCTGGTCTAGAACTCCTGGCCTCATGTGATCCACCCGCCTCGGCTCCCCAAAGTGCTGAGATTACAGGCATGAGCCAGTGTGCCCAACTGATTAGTTTTGATCATTGATCTTCACTCAGAGAAGCAAAACCTTACATTGAACCAGAGTAGGAGCTCCATGCTTTCTAAACTGAAGCCAAAAACAGTCATAGCAGATTTGTGATAATGAAGGATTTCAAATGGGTCTTTTTTCTTTCTTTCTTTTTTGAGATGGAGTCTGGCTCTGTCTCCCAGGCTGGAGTGCCGTGGCATGATCTCGGCTCACTGCAACCTCCGCCTCCCGGGTTCAAGTGATTCTCCTGCCTCAGCCTCCTGAGTAGCCAGGATTACAGGCATGTGCCACCACTCCCGGCTAATTTTGTATTTTTAGTAGAGACGGGGTTTCTCCATGTTGGTCGTGCTGGTCTCAAACTCCCGACTTCAGGTGATCCTCCCGCGTCAGCCTCCCAAAGTGCTGGGATTACAGGCGTGAGCCACCACGCCCAGCCATGTAGTGTATTTAAAATGAATTTTTGACTTTTTTTAAAAATCAAGTTTATCACACATCGTTGCATTAATTTACCATGCCCTGTTACATTTTTAACTCTTGCATTGGCATGTTCTGGAAGGAGCTGTGTAGCTTTCACAGTGTGGAGCCCTTGTGTCAGTGTTATAACTCAGGTATAGTCCATATTAATTACCTACATTACTGCACTGCTAAGTATTAGACTTCCTGCCAATTGAGTGGTGAATGTACAAGAATGAATGGGAGCTCTCATTCTGTTGAGAACCTTTTTTCTTAAAGTTAGGTTTGTTGAGATGTAATGTTCATCTGTTTTAAGTATACAGTTTGGTGAATTTTGACAAGCGTATAGTTATGTAACCGCTATCACAATCAAGATGTAGAACACTTCCATTGCCAGAAAGGTCCCTTATGGCCCTGTATAGTCAGTGCCCTCTCCCTTTCTTAGCCCCTGGGTAACCACTGATCTGCTTTCTGTCCCTGTAGTTTTGCCTTTTCTAGGATGCTATGTAAATGGAGTCACAGTGTAAATAATCTTTTGTGTCTTCTTTCACTTAGAGTAGTGCTTTTGAGATTTATTTGAATGTGTATCAGTATCAGTAGTTCATTCCTTTTTATTGCTGAGTAAGTATTTCCTTGTTTGGATGTGCCACAATTTTTTTTAATCCACTCACCAGTGATGGACATTTTTGGCTATTGTGACTAGAACAGTTTTCTTTTAGTATTCTGTAAAAATACTTTTTATTGTGCTTACCCCAGGAATCTTATTTAAATTTTAAGTAATTGTATATAACTGTGATAAGAATGTCGCTTATTAGATCAAGACTAAGAAAAGGCAGGCCGGGTGTGGTGGCTCATACCTGTAATCCCAGCACTTTGAGAGGCTGAGGCTGGCGGATCACGAGGTCAGGAGATCGAGACCATCCTGGCTAACATGGTGAAACCCTGTCTCTACTAAAAATACGAAAAATTAGCCGGGCGTGGTGGCAGGCACCTGTAGTCCTAGCTACTCGGGAGGCTGAGGCAGGAGAATGGCATGAACCTGGGAGGCAGAGCTTGCAGTGAGCCGAGATTGGGCCACCACATTCCAGCCTGGGCGACAGAGCCAGACTCCATCTCAAAAAAAAAAAAAAATTAGCCAGGTGCGGTGGTGCATGCCTGTAATTCCAGCTACTCAGGAGGCTGACGTGGGAGAATCACTTGAACACAAGAGGTGAAGGTTGCAGTGAGCCGATATCATGCCACTGCACTGCAGCCTGAGTGACAGAGTAAGACTCTGTCTCCAAAAAAAAAAAAAAAAAAAAGCAGACAACTTGCAACATTATCTTCATCCTTGTACACTAATTTGTTTTTGTTTGTTTGATTTCCAAATATTAATGTCCACCCTTAGTGAATGGGTATATAAAAGTTTACTGTTGGCCAGGTGCAGTGGCTCACGCCTGTAATCCCAGCACTTTGGGAGGCCGGGGCAGGTGGATCACCTGAGGTCAGGAGTTCGAGACCAGCCTGACCAAGATGGCAAAACCCTGTCTCTACTAAAAATACAAAAATTAGCCGGGTGCGGTGGCGGGCACCTGTAATCCCAGCTACTTGGGAGGCTGAGGCTGGAGAATCGCTTGAACCCTGGAGACGGAGAGTGCAGTGAGCTGAGATCAAGCCATTGCCCTCCAGCCTGGGCGACAGAGGGATACTCCGTCTCAAAAAAAAAAAAAAAAAAAAAAAGGCCGGGCGCGGTGGCTCACACCTGTAATCCCAGCACTCTGGGAGGCCGAGGCGGGCAGATCACGAGGTCAGGAGATCGAGACCATCCTGGCTAACACGGTGAAACCCTGTGTCTACCAAAAATATAAAAAATTAGCCGGGCGTGGTGGCAGGTGCCTGTAGTCCCAGCTACTCGGGAGGCTGAGGCAGGAGAATGGCGTGATCCCGGGAGGCGGAGCTTGCAGTGAGCCAAGATGGCGCCACTGCACTCCAGCCTGGGCGACAGAGTGAGACTCCATCTCAAAAAAAAAGTTCACTGTTGCTGCATCGTGTTATAGCTCAAAAGAACTACTCAATCTGATCCAGTGAGGTTGCTGAGACTCAGAGAGGTGACAAAGGCTGCTAGTAATGACAGAAGACCACTAACTATTTAGTAGCAAAGCCTCTACTGGGCCCCAGATCTCTAGCTTAGGCTCCACAAGGAGATGTAGTTGTACCTGTACATAGAGTATTTCTAAAACTTTTTTTTAAGCTTGTAGATCAGGGGTGTCCAATCTTTTGGCTTCCCCGGGCCACATTGGAAGAATTGTCTTGGGCCACAGATAAAATACACTAACACTAACAATAGCTGATAAGCTTTAAAAAAACTGCAAAAAAAATCTCACAGTGTTTTAACAAAGTTTATGAATTTGTGTTGGGTCACTTTCAAAGCTGTGGTGGGCTGCATGCAGCCCTAGGGCTGTGGGTTGGACAAGCTTGCTGTAGATTTTATTTTGATTTTGAGACAGTATCTCGCTCTGTCACCCAGGCTGGAGTGCAGTGGAGCAATCACAGCTTGCTGTAACCTTGACCTCTTGGGCTCAAGCAATCCTTCCGACTCAGCCTCCTGAGTAGCTGGGACTACAGGCGTGCCCCACCACATGCATGGCTAATTTTTAATTTTTTCGTAGAGATGAGATCTCCCTGTATTGCCCAAGGTGGTCTCTAACTCCTGGGCTCAAGCAGGCCTCCTGTCCCAGCCTCCCAAAGCACTGGAATTACAGGTGTGAGCCACCACACTCAGTCAAAACTATTTTTTAAAATATTTTATTATAGGAAAATTTAAAAAAATAGAATGTTATTTATCAATGCTTCTCAGCCACAGGGTGATTTTGCCCTCTAGTGGACATTTGACAATGTCTAAAGACATCTTTGGTTATCACAGCTGGAGAAAGGTTTGGCTGACCAGGAATGCTACTAAACATTTTACAGTACGTAGGACAGCCTTCCACAGCAAAGAATTACCCGGCCTAAAATGTCAGTAGTGCCAGCGTTGAGAAACCCTGGTATGTACTTAGCCCCCCATGTACTCAACAGCGCAGCTCAGTGGCCAATCTTATTTCATTTATAAATGAAGAAGCAAATGCAGTATCATTTCCTCTCTAAAGCTTTTAGAAGAGATAAAGCCTGTTTTAAGAAAAAAGCAATACTTTTATCATATTTTCTTAATATCAAATATGCAGTATTTAAATTTTCTCACATTTCTAATTTTTAAACTGTTCAAATTAGAATCCAGCTTGAATTCATACATTATAGTTGGCTGATATGTCAAATATGCTTTTTTTTTTTTTTTAATTGAGATGGAGTCTTGCTCTGTCGCCCAGGTTGGAGTGCAGTGGTGCAATCTCGGCTCACTGCCAACCTCTGCCGCCCGGGTTCAAGCGATTGTCGTGCGCAGCCTCCCGAGTAGCTGGGATTACAGGCTCCCGCCACCATGCCTGGCTATTTTTTTTTTTTTTTTTTTTTTTTTTTTAGTAGAGATGGGGTTTCGCCATGTTGGCCAGGCTGTTCTCAAACTCCTGACCTCAGGTGATCCGCCCGCCTTGGCCTCCCAAAGTGCTGGGATTACAGGCGTGAGCCACTGTACCTGGTCAAAATATGCTTTTTAAAGGCAACCAAACAGTTTGCATTTCAGTTTATGTTCTATAGTTATATGGAGCCACGGATACATCCTTTTTCTATACTGGCAAAATGAGAAACATATTTTTCACCTGAATTTCAAAGGATATGACACTTCGTAAGCCTGGTAATGTTATTGGCCAAAGTACCAGAGGCCCAGGGCTTTCCCAGTTATTTAACAGTTACTGATATGTGTGCATCATGTACTTATTATTAGTTAATGCAAATAGTCCCCCAAATTTCTGACCTCTGTGAAACTGATGATGCTGTTGTCTAGTCAGTCATCGGTTATGTGAGACTGAATTAACCTATTCAGCAAGTGTGAATGCCTACCGTGTGTATGATACTGTGCTAGGTGCTGTAGAGGCCATATACCTGGGACACATAGCTTTCCTGCTCTTTAGGATTTCCTGCTCCTTGCAGGACAAAGCAGCCTGAGCTTTATGAAACTAGTCTGTAACTCTCAAACTTAAGCAAACATTAGAATCACCTGAAGGGCTTTAGAACCGTGATCACTGGGCCCTACCCCTAGACCTTGATTTTACCCGTAGAATTGGAATTTCTAACAAGTTGCCAGGTGATGTTGATGCTCCAGGTCCGGGGACCACTCTTAAGAATCACTATAGCAGGAATTTCTGATGTTTATTTATTAAGAAAAAAAAATCACTGCCTTAGTGTGCAGTGAAGGCTTGCTAACTAAACTATACTCCTTTTAGATTGTACTGTGACTATCAAAGGAAGATTTCCAGACCATTTAATTGAGTTTTCAGGTTCCATGAGTTTAAAAAAAACTGTTTATTAAAAATTGTGGTTCTGGAAAATAACAATAGTTGCCATTTGGTGATCACTTAACTGTATACCAGCCAGCAATACTTTGTAGAGTATCTCATTTAAAATATGTAATATGGTTTTATTTAATTAGCTTTTTTTTTTTTTAAATTTCCTGAGGCGGAGTCTCACACTGTTACCTGGGCTGGAGTGCAGTGGCACGATCTCGCTCGCTGCAACCTCCGCCTCCCGGGTTCAAGCGATTCTCCTGCCTCAGCCTCCCAGGTAGCTAGGATTACAGGCAGCCGCCACCACACCCAGCTAATTTTTAAATTTTATTTTATTTTTTGAGACAGAGTTTCACTCTTGTTGCCCGGGCTGGAGTGCAGTGGCATGATCTTGGCTCACTGCAACCTCCGCCTCCTGGCTTCAAGCAATTCTGCCTCAGCCTCCCGAGTAGCTGGGATTACAGGTGCCTGTTACCATGCCCAGCTGATTTTTTTGTATTTTCGGTAGAGACTGGGTTTCACCATGTTGGCAGGCTGATCTGGAACTCCTGACCTCATGATCCTCCCACTTCCCTCCTCGGCCTCCCAAAGTGCTGGAATTACAGGCGTGAGCCACTGTGCCCCGGCTTAATCAGCTTGTCAACTTCTAAGCACAACCTGTTGAATCAAGCTGTTTGGGCCTTATCAGAAAAAAGTTGGCCTATAGTTTCAGCTACTCAGGAGGCTAAGGCCAGAGGATCACTTGAGGCCAGGAGTTCCAGTCGACCTGGACAACATGGTGAAACTATGTATCTTAAGAAAGAAAAAAAAAAGTTGATCTCTGAAGAATTCATGAAAATATTTAGTCAGTTTTCAGGGAAAGATCTTATAGACTTCAATTTGAGCATCCTTATCTTATGTATGTAAATGAGGTAAAGGTTGAAATTTGCAGTAAATAGAATTTTGGTCATTTAAGTTATGTAGCTCATGATATATACATTGTATAACTATTTAGACTTACATGGTGCATGATTTACATTGTAATTACATAGAGGCTTATACAGTCTAATAAAAATTAATATTAACTATTTGATTGCAAAGAGGATTGTTCTGCATTTTATTACTTTTTTTTTTTTTTTGAGACAGAGTTTCACTCTTGTTGCCAGGCTGGAGTGCAATCTCGTGACCTTGGCTCACTGCAACCTCCGCCTGCCAGCCTAAGTAGCTGGGGTTACAGGCACACACCACCATGCCCAGCTAATTTTTTGTATTTTTAGTAGGGATGGGGTTTCACCATGTTAGCCAGGCTGGTCTCAAACTCCTCACCTTGGGTTATCCGCCTGCCTTGGCCTCCCAAAGTGCTGGGATTACAGGCTTGAGCCACTGCGCTCGGCCTGCATTTTATTATTCTAAGATATAGCCAAATTTTATGCCTGGAATTTTTTCCTGGGCTGGAACAAATTCCTAGTAAGAGTCAGGGAATATTCCGTGACTTGTGGCTTTGGTTAAAAAAGAAAAAGGAGTCAGGGAATGCAGTACCCTCTGATCACCACTGGGAGGACTAAAGCAGAAAATTCATTTGTCTCATATCCATTTTCAAATTTCAAATTAAACATGAAGGAGAAAATAAATCTCTTACCTGGGAAGCTTTAATGTCCTGTCTCACACAAGAAGTTAAAGGTTGTGCTTGGAGTTGGTCTGCAAAAGTAATAAGGAATTTGTACTCACCCGTCTGCACCTGCTTGTACAGAACAATTGGAAGGGCAGAAGTTGGCTTTGAAAGAAAAGGCCTTTTTTTGGAGGTGGGAGGGGCATCCAATTTTGTCTTCAGCCGAGAGTTCGCTAGCACTACACTCTAGCCACTCAAGCTGCTCAACTATGGTTGGTCTTGTGTACTTCTGTGTGCACTAGATAAGACATTGTTTCTGTGGGTTATGTGGGACCTTGAAGTTCAGTGTTGAAGCTCAAACAAAGCAGGTGTTTTTTCTGTATTTCTTGTTGACAGGCATTTGCTTTTTGTTGGACCTAAATATTGTGGGGTTTGTGTATGGACATTTGACACAAAAATCTGTATTGGTAGAATTTAATATAAAATCAGAGAAGTTGAATTCACAGGTTTTGTTCATAGAATTTTACATAACTCTAGTCTTTTTTCTTTTTTTGTGATGGAGTCTTGCTCTGTTGCCCAGGCTGGAGTGCAGTGGCATGATCTTGGCTCACTGCAACCTCTGCCTCCTGGGTTCAAGTGATTGTCCTGCCTCAGCCTCCCGAGTAGCTGGGATTACAGGCACCCGCCACCACGCCTGGCTAATTTTTGTATTTTTAGTAGAAACGGGGTTTCACCATGGCCAGGCTGGTCTTGAACTCCTGACCTCAAGTGATCCACCTGCCTCGGCCTCCCAAAGTGCTAGGATTATAGGCATGAGCCACAGCGCCTGGCCACAATCTTACACTACTTTCCTGAAGGGATGTGTGATGGAAAGAGTCTGGGCTTGAAAGTGGAAGACAAAAATGAGAGTCTAAGACTGATCGAGATAAAGATTCTGAAGAGGTAGAATGGACCTCATAAGATGGAGCAAAAAAGAAGGAACAACATATAAAAGGAGAAATTAGAATTTAGAGTTATAGACTGGAATTTGAAACTAGTCTTGAGATTTAACTGTGGACAAATTCACTCGGCTGTGCCTCATGGTTTTTTTTTTTTTAAATCAAAAGAGAATAACATCATTCAAGTTGTGTCTTGGTTTTTTTGTTTGTTTACTTAGATTTTTATGACTTCACTTTCTCAATTTCCTCTGTGGCCAGATTCATCAGGCATTCAGTCACTTTCATCTCTGTCAGGCTGGCCTTGTGTTCTGTCTGTCTGTTCTGCTGCATAGTTGTCATCCTGAGATCTCCCTTCACCCATATCCTAGGGATTCCCTTTGCCTTTCCTGTTCGATCCATTTTCTTCCCCTTGGTTCACTCCCAGGTTTCATTGCAGCAGTTCCTCCAGTGATTTTCTGAGAAAGTTGCTCAGAGGTAAATTTTTAAAATCCTTTCATATCTGCAAACATCTTTATTCTGTTCTCATACTTGATTGATATTTTGGCTGCATATAGAATTCTAGACTGAATGCCCTTTTTCCTCAGAATTTTGTTTTCTGTCTTATATAGCATCTGACACTCCGATTTGGAGAGAGAGAATGCTATTTTGAGTCTTGCTTATTTTTCTGTTTGTTTAAGGCTGATTGGAAGTTTTGTGCATTTGGATGGATCTTGAATACAACAGTGGGACACACTGTTATTTCTTTGTGGTGCTCTTGATACCAATATATTTAGTCTTATCACTTGGCCTAGGCAAGCACGGAATGCCCATGTTCCAGGGAGCTGAGTCGGGAGAGGGCAGAAGGAAAGATCTGTGGCTTTCTGCTTTCTCTGCTTGTTTTCAGTGTCCCTGCCCTCAGTTGTGCCCTGTGTCCCCAAGCCCAGAGACTTTCCATTTTGCCCTTTCTAAAGAACCTCCAGTTTTTTGCCTGAGTGGGAGAGGAGACCCGGGGGTCTGTTATTTAACAGACTGATAGATCTTCTTGTTTCAGGCTTACTTCACTCACACTTCTAGAGGTACTTGTACTACCAGTTCCTGAACCTTTTGAGAGTTCTATAATACAAATCAGGATTTTCCAATATCTCCATAGCTGGCTTAGGATTAATCTTTCTTATATGTGTTAAGTCATTTTCCTTCTTTTTTTAGTTTCTGAAAGTATATCTGTTACCACTTTTATTTTCTTTGTCTTGTGGCTTTTTTCCTTATGCCTTATATTTTTTTCCTTTACTTTCATATTAATGGAGTTTGGAGAGGGAGGGGAAGTAAATGCAGCCATGATTTATAACCAGACTTGGATTAGGTGTTTACATATGTCAATACATGTCTTTAAAATTTAGCTAGTACTTGTTATTATAAATAACAAACTAAGATTGATAGGCTTCTTGAAAAATTGGCGGTAAATTTGGCTAATGGTGGGTTGTTGTAGTAGAGTAGCGTTTCCCCTTTTCACCCAAGCTTTGTTACCTCTTCTTGGGTGGTGCCTGGCCTGAGATGTCCTTCATCTCTCATAAGAACTCTCCTACTTGCCCTTTGAGGACTCCATCCCTTCACATCTTGGGGTACCTTTTTTCCTTCATCTCACCCAAATGTGATCATGTCCTTTGGGTGCCTAGAGCTGCATTATCCAGCACAGTAGCAACTAGCCACATGTGGGGCTACCAAGCACTTGAAACGTGGTTAGTTTGAATTTAGGTGTTCTGTAAGTATAAAAGATAAACCAGTTCAAAGACAGTATTTCAAAAATAGGATATAAAGCCTTTTTATATTATGCATTGAAATATTGGGGGGTATATTGAGTTAAATAAAATGGTATTTAATTTAACGTATTAAATATGTTTCTTTTTACATTTTTTAATGGAGCTACTAGAAAATTGAAAATTACATATGTATGTCACATTATACACCTATTGGACAGCATTAGAGTATTCACTCTGATTTTCTCTTGGGGCAGGAATTGCCCCTTGTTTCAGTTGCTATTCCCCCGTTAGCACCCCGTGTATATCATGAGTGCCTTGAAGGTTTGACACCACACTTTTCTGTTTCTTTTATTCCCTGCTAATGCCTACCATATAGTTGACTAGCCGAAAGTTACTGAATAAACATTTTTTTTTTTTTTTTTTGAGATGAAGTCTCACTCTGTCACCCAGACTGGAGTGCAGTGGTGCGATCTCGGCTCACCGCAACCTCCGCCTCCCAGGTTCAAACGATTCTCCTGCCTCAGCCTTCTGAGTAGCTGGGACTACAGGCACCCGCCACCATGCCTGGCTAATTTTTTTATTTTTAGTAGAGATGGGGTTTCACCATATTGGCCAGGCTGGTCTCGAACTCCTGACCTTGTGATCCTCCTGCCTCAGCCTCCTAAAGTGCTGGGATTACAGGCGTGAGCTACCGCACCTGGCCTGAATCAAGATTTTTTTAGCCACAACTTGTGCCTTACAAGTTTTTTATTCTAAGGATTAGACAAGTAAATTATTTTTCACCGTATTACATTAGTTCACCTACTATACCAGTAACAATTATTTTATTCAAAAGTGAAACAGATTTTACTATATTTATGGGACAATAACAGTTCCCCCTTCCTATTCATATTCTTAGATGCTTTCTCATAAATTCAGCTGTGAAGAGTCACATTATCTTTGATCCATGTGAGACTATCTTCTTGTTTTATCTACTCCTGTTAGTCTCCATATGTCATTACTCTTACCCTCCACCCCACGTTACTGTTTTAATGTGTTTAGTATGTGTATGTGTTCTTACATAGTTTATTTTGGTATGTTTGGTACTTTATGTAAATATTACATATGTCTTATCTGTGCGCTTAATATATTGCATCTAACTGCTGAATAGCAGTGAGATGTATGCATCTACCACATTTTACCAGTCTGCTCGCCAGAGGTGCACATGTTAATTTTCTCCAACTCTGTCACCACAAAAAAAATGCTTCAACATCTTCATGCATGTCCCCTTATGGAGCAATGTAAGAGTTTCTTTGGGATATATAGCTTGGAATGGACTTGATGGGTCACAGGAAATGTCAGATTGTTCTTCTAGATGGCTGCTTCCATCAATAGTGCACCACAGTTTTTGTATTCCCGTTTCTCTGCCAACATTTCAGAGCTTTCTGCCTTTTCCCTATCTAACAGGCCTAAGGTGATACTACATTGTGGTTTTAACTTGTATTTCTCTCTGATTTTTAGAATCTCTTTATACATTCCTTGGCTTTGGGTGCATTCTTGTTTTTTGCGGGGGTTGGTGATTTTTATCAAATCAAGGACAGACATCCCATTCTAATCCTAGTTTGCTATAGGAATTTTGTGGGGGCTTTTTGGTAGAGACAGGGTCTTGCTATGTTTGCCCAGGCGGGTCTCAAACTTCCGGGTTTAAGCAAGCCTCTTGCCTCAGCCTCTGAAGGTGCTGGGATTACAAGCATGAGTCACCATGCCTGGCCAAGAGTTTTTAAATTATAAATTGTTCAATCTTATCAAATCCTTTTTCTATGTTGAATGAAATAATTGCCTAGCTGCTTTCAAAAGTGAAACGTGACTTTGTGAATATTTCTAAAGTACAAAATACTTGGAGGACAGCCATTTATTGTCACAACTTGGCTTTGTAGTTTGTTTTTGTTTTTGTTTTTTAACATTTGGAAACCATACCTATGTGTTAAGTAAGTGGCTTGTGATTTAAGGAATAGAATGCATGTAAGGGCACACTTCTTTTGTTTTACAGAAGGGATCAAGTTCTGTTCAGGAAGATTTGAAACATAGTGTAAAGTTGTTGCTGTTTTAAACTTGTAAACCTGATTCTTCTCATGTGGGAGGTACGTAAGTAGGCCTCTCAGATTTCAGGTTGGTTCTCTGCCTGGTAGATACAAGGGCAAAACTATTCTGGAACCATATTGATGTTAAAAAAATTTTTTACGGACTTCCTGCCGGCAAGGATTTTTTTAAAAGATTTTTTAAATGTGTCTAAGAAATGTTTTAATTTGTCTTCTGATTATACAGTGATTTACAATTCATGCTTCTTTTATATGTGGGCAAAATTAAGAACTAATATGTAAAACAAAATGGAGCACATTCCCATTTTTCTTATTGCTTTGAGTTGATATGGCCCCTATGTCAGTAGTGCTTTGGCTGAACGTCACAAAGACCTAACACAGTGCCCTAAACAAATAGGGGGTTTGTTTTTCTCCAAAAAGAAATTTGGGGTAGGGTGCGGTGGCTCACACCTGTAATCCCAGCACTTTGGGAGGCCAAGGCGGGTGGATCACGAGGTCAGGAGATCGAGACCACGGTGAAACCTCGTCTCTACTAAAAATACGAAAAAAATTAGCCGGGCACGGTGGCGGGTACCTGTAGTCCCAGCTACTCGGGAGGCTGAGGCCAGAGAATGGCGTGAACCCGGGAGGCGGAGCTTGCAGTGAATCGAGATGGCGCCACTGCACTCCAGCCTGGGGCAACAGAGTGAGACTCCATCTCAAAAAAAAAAAAAGAAAAAAAAAAAAAAGAAAGGAATTTGGAGGTATGCAGCGTCTAGCTTTGGATCAGCAGTTCAGTAATATTGGAGTTGGTGGTATTTTAAGGTAGTTTTGTCTTTTCTGTCATGTTTGAGACCCTGTAGCTACAGGATAATGTTTTACAGTTACAGCTACATGGTTGCATTCAAGGAAGGAGGAAGGAACTGTACTGGCAACTCTGTCCTTACCCCCCCACCCTCCTTTTTTTTTTTTGAGATGAAGTTTCTGTCACTCAGGCTGGAGTGCAGTGGCGGAATCTCAGCTCACTGCAACTGTCGCCTCCCTTGTTCAAGCGATTCTCATGCCTCAGTCTTCTGAGTAGCTGGGATTACAGGCATGTGCCACCATGCCTGGCTAATTTTTGTACTTTTAGTAGAGATGGGGTTTCACCATGTTGGCCAGGCAGGTCTCAAACTCCTGACCTCAGGTGATCTGCTAGCCTTGGCCTCCCAAAGTGCTGGGATTACAGGTGTGAGCCACAGTGCCCGGCCTCCCCTTTTATGATAAACAAAGGCATTACCAACCCCTACCCCCTACTACATTGCCACCTAGTAGACTTTAACTAATGAGAACTGGCCAGAACTAAGCCAGATGGCTATCTCTAGCTGCAGAGAAGTTTGGGAAAACAAGTATTTGGCCAATGTGGTCTCCCTAAACACGTGTTCAACTTCTTGAAGAAGGAAATCTCATGTCTTTGGCTGTATTCAGCATTTTTCAGTAGCAGTTACATATTCTAGTTTTCATGGTGGATGAAGTGGTACCAGCTTAGTTCCACAGGAGGGAGAAGAATCAGGACTCATTTAATCCATAAGAATTAAACTCAGCAGCTTTTGAGTACCCATTATGTGCATAGTCTGCCATGAAATATTATAAAGTAGTCCAGGTATGGTGGCTTACACCTGTAATATCAGCACTTTGGGAGAATAAGACAGGAGGATTGCTTGAGGCCAGAGTTTGAGATCAGCCTGGGCAACATAGTGAGATCCTATCTCTACAAAAAATTAAAACATCAGCCATGTGTGGTGTACGCACCTGTAGTACCAGCTACTAAGGAGGCTGAGGTGGGATGATCCCTTGAGTCCAGGAGTTCGAGGCTGCAGTGAGGTATGATCGATCACACTACTGTACTCCAGCCTGGGCAACAGAACGAGACCCTGTCTCAAAAAAAAAAAAAAAAAAAAGTTATCAAAGAATTATATAACATTTTGTGTGTGTGTGTGTGTGTGTGTGTGTGTGTGTGTGTGTATGCAGGTTGTTTATTGGCTCCTTAGGAAGAAAAAAATACGTGTATGAAATAATTGATTAACAGTACAAGAACTCATAATTATTTGTTTAAATGTTTAATGTTGGTACTGAGTGCTGTGGCATAGGAATAGGGAACTTTTTCTTAGGGTCGGTGATGGATTCTTGGGAAAATAAAATGAAGGGCAAATGGAAGCAAAAGACAATTTAATTTGCTTCTGTTTTAAGGGAACTTTTAAAAAGTTAATTCTTAAATTTTTTAATTTAAGGACTTCGTCAAGAAACATCGAATTAAATATATTGAGTTTAACCCTAACAAGCATCAGATCTTTCAGTCTGCTGTATGAGGAAATACAAGTTTCTTTCTGCTTTCTATTATGATTGTTGATTTGCATGAGCGTGTTTTAGGTTAGGCTGTGTTATGCTGTGGTAATACATACCACCAACATCCTCATGATTTAACACAATAAAAAACTTCTGCTCACACCAAGTCTGCTTGAGGGCTCATTGGCTCCGTGGAAACTGATCTCCATGTCCAGGCCAGTTTGGTCTTGTGGCCGTCCGTTTTAGGGCAGTGCTTAGGGTCAGGAGAGCAAAACACAGGGCTGGAGAGTTAAGCACAGGCAACTAAATGCTTCAGCATGGGAATGGCATTCATTTTCACTCACAGGATGTGTTCAGCTTAGTCACATGGCTGTCTATGCCTAACCTCAAGGGAAGGGAGTGCAGTCCTCCAGGAACTCAGATGTAAAAAAGCCAGTATGATGGATATAGTATTGTCTACAAAAAAAAGTAGCATAATAGAGTTAGATACAAGCAAAGTACTCTAGGATCCCAGTAAGGAGAAGTAAGAAATTCTGATGAGATGCAGGGAGAGCCTTAGAAGGGTTCATGAAGATGGTGACAGATGATACAAACTCAGTAGAATGAGCAGGTTTTTCTTAGATTTGAAGAGAAGAAAGGACATTCAAACTAAGGGAACAACACTGACTGAGTCAGAGCTAGACTCAAAGCTAGAGTCTACTGGCTGATGTCGTGGGAGAGGAAGAAGAGATGAGCGGGCCTTGAATTCGTTTAACATTCAGCAAAAATGTATTGCATGTCTACCATGTGTTAGGCACTGTTTCAGGTTTGGGGAATATCTGATAATGAACAAAACACAAAAAGCCTGTCCTTGTGAAGGTTACATGCTAGTGGAAGAAGCGCTAAGGAGTTAGTATTTTATTATAAGCACACTGGTGAGTAAGCAAAGATAGGAACATTGGATGCCTGTGAATCTTAAGATTTTCCTGGCCGAGCGCGGTGGCTCATGCCTGTAATCCCAGCACTTTGGGAGGCTGAGGTGGGTAGATCACTTAAGGTCAGGAGTTCGAGACTAGCCTGGCCAACATAGTGAAACCCTGTCTCTACTAAAAATACAAAAATTAGCCGGGTATGGTGGCGCGCACCTGAGTCCCAGCTACTCATGAGGCTGAGGCAGGAGAATTGCTTCAACCTGGGAGGCGGAGGTTGCAGTGAGCTGAGATTGCGCCACTGCACTCCAGCTGACAGAGTGAGACTCCATCTCAAAAAAAAAAAGGATTTTTCTAAGATTTCTATTTTACATTAAATAGAAGGCAGTTGGTTTGCATGAAAATTATTATTTCATCAATTTGACTGCCTCATTATAGAAAACACATATTGAAGTCAAATAAAACGTAGAGATGAATCTCTGAAGTTAAAATATGTTATTTGGGACGCAAGAATTGCAATTTGGGGCACACAGACCACAGGGTGGTCTTCAGTATGTATGAAGAACAAAGTAAAGGATGGAGGTTTTATAAAGAGAAGTGTTACATATTTTGAAAGACAGGTCATTGGCACTAGTAAAGTTTTGGGGAGGTGGCAAGCCCTGATTGGTGAGTGACAGTGGTGGGTAATACTGGTCTTAGAGTCAGCAACAAGTTGTTTCAGTAGCCATTAGATAAACTGGTTTCAGGTTACAATAGGCAGTTTCAGCAGCCAGGCTTACAGAGAATTATAATCTTGGAGCAATGTTACATCCCTCCCCCTCCCCTGGCCCCCCACCCCATCCCTGCCCCTCAGCTCTGATTTAGTTGAGTACGAATAGGATGACCCAATTAGTATGATCAGCTTTCACACATGAAGGTTGAATTTATGAAACATGTAAATTTGAAAATACATGTTTACATTGCAAAAAGCTTTTTTAACAAAAATTTTGGCCAGTAGTATAAATTCAGTGAATATGTTTTCATTGCACAGATAGTAAAACCACTTGATACATACCTCATGGGGATATGGACTGCTTTATGCGCTGCTTTTTACCACACCTTAAATAGTGCCTGGTTGTGTGTGTGTGTGTGTGTGTGTGTGTGTGTGTGTGTGTGTGTGTGTAACTCAGTAAATATTCAATGAATGAATGAAGAAATTCAGAAGATAAAAAAGAGAAATTTCCCTTATTTTTAACCTTCTGAACACTATAGTGGTTAGCATTTATATCATTTATTCAGCCATTCTAATATTTATTGAGTAGCAGTTTTGTACCAACTGCTGTTCTAAGATATAAGGAATAATAAATTCCTGTTACTGTTTTCATGAAACTTAAATTCTAGTGTAATTAAAATCATGTAGAAATAAACATAAACATGATCACCCAGCTTCTTTTAAAACTAGACTGCAGTTGATGTAATAATTTGCATTACAACAGCATGCATCTTGTGCACAACAAAATCTACCTGTTTTTGTATTAAAGCCTTAGTGTCAAAGCTTTATTATCATTTTAGTCTTTTATCAACTCCATATTTATAAATGGTCTATTTTCCCAAAGTTCTAATATGGAAATCAGAATCATTTTTGTTAGAGGAACAATGTTTACAAGTTGCCTAGATTTGCAGTGAGGTCATAAAAAGCCTGTTTAATCTAAAATAGACATTTGCAATAAAAACAGAAATTGTTGTTGAGATGCCATATTATGTGATAACTGAGTAAAACAGACAAGAGCCTATCCCCTAACCTGGTATGTGAATGTGAAAATATTAGAGAAATAATGAAGAAGTAGATGGAGACTAATGAGGAAATTCTGAAAAGGACATCTTTTGAGAAATTCAGAGGTAGATGGCGCAAGTTTTAAAGCTTACTTTCACTTTAAAACACCTGAGTTTCATTTCCTTTGATTTGAGTAAATTACAAAGCAGTTTATTAGTTAAATCAGGCTTGTTTTGATTTATAGGTATATAGAGAAAGACAGGACATTTTCCTGGACAGAAAGTTGGAAAAGAGAAACGTGTAAAGGGGGTGGAAAGTGGCTGTGAGTGCATGTGGAATGAGAAGCCTCCCTTGGGCAGGAGTTAACAGCCACAATGGGGAAAGGATTGGGACATCTAATCCTTTGAGTGTGTGTGGGGGCCAAGGGAGCAGTAGTAGCAGGATGCCTGCGCATACAGCCATGTACACAGTGTGTACACAGAAGTGTAATTCTTGGGCCTGAATATTTCATAGGGTAGAGACATATTGAGTACTTTATTAAGTAAGCATATTGAGTACTTTATTCATCTATACAACAAGGGTCGTCTATTAAGGGCCACACAGTCTAGCTGTTTCTGTAAAGCACATTGTTTTGAATTACTGTTAGCAGTGTAGTATAGAAGGAAATCGGGAATCCAGATTCTCTATGGATTTCCCCCTGAACAGTTATGTGGCTGTATCCTTATCTAGTGAATGGTGACATTAGCTTTTCCCCTGCTGCACGGGCTGTAGTGAGGCTCAGGTGTGCAGGTGCACTTACTAACATATGGAAAAGTTAAGCACTGTATAACCAGAAGGTAGCCCTTTTACTCCTATTTTATATGACAGCCACGTATGCAAAATATCTAATTTCTTCCTGAACACTCAATTGAACTTCAACACTTCGTATTTTTCGTCTCAGAATTTTTATTTTCCTCAAATTTATATTATGTGGTTAAATTCCTTTGAAGTGCTAGATACTTTAAGATTAAAATTAAAGTAGGAATGTTTTTTCTTCAATTAGAAGCTCTTAGAACTTGGCAAGTACTCTGTGTTCTCTCATTTCCTTATCTTTGTGTATGCTGTATTGCAGCACACGTCACATGGAGATGGGCGTCAAGAAGTTACCTCTCGTACCAGCCGCTCAGGAGCTCGGTGTAGAAACTCTATAGCCTCCTGTG
Source organism: Homo sapiens (assembly GCF_000001405.40). NCBI lineage: Eukaryota > Metazoa > Chordata > Mammalia > Primates > Hominidae > Homo > Homo sapiens. The sequence continues at coordinate 103,405,164 of NC_000014.9, forward strand.
CAGATGAACAACCTCACATCGGAAACTACAGACTGTTGAAAACAATCGGCAAGGGGAATTTTGCAAAAGTAAAATTGGCAAGACATATCCTTACAGGCAGAGAGGTAAATACCAGTTATGCTTATTTCTGTTATGACAGTTGCTCTGTTTATTTCCATGTAAGAGAAAGAAAAGAATATAGATATAGGCCTTATTTCTTTTTTTTAAGATGGAGTCTCGCTCTGTCACCCAGGCTGGAGTGCAGTGGCATGATCTCAGCTCACTGCAAACTCTGCCTCCCGGGTTCACACCATTCTCCTGCCTCAGCCTCCCGAGTAGCTGGCAGTACAGGTGCCCGCCACCACACCCAGCTAATTTTTTGTAGAGACAGGGTTTCACCGTGTTAGCCAGGATGGTCTCGATCTCCTGACCTTGTGATCCGCCCGTCTCGGCCTCCCAAAGTGCTGGGATTACAGGCGTGAGCCATAGCGCCTGTAATATATAGCTACTATGTATTACATGTATTACATGTCAAGTTCTAACCACATAATATAAATTTGTAATACATAGCTGGGATTACAGGCGCACACCACCACACCACGCTAATTTTTTTTTTTTTTTGTATTTTTGTATTTTTGTAGAGACGGGGTTTCACCATGTTGGTCAGGCTGGTCTCGAACTCCTGACCTCGTGATCCACCTGCCTTGGCCTCCCAAAGTGCTGGGATTACAGGCATGAGCCACCGTGCCCAACCTATTTTATTTTCAAGACAGGGCCTTGCCCTGTCACCCGAGCTGGAGTGCAGTGGCTCAATCATGGCTCACTATAGCCTCAACCTCCTGGGGTCAGGCAGTTCTCCCACCTCAGCCTCTCGAGTAGCTGAGACTACAGGCATGCACTGCCACACCCGGCTAATGTTTAAAAAATTTTTTTGTAGAGACAGGGTTCTCACCGTGTTGCCCAGGCTGGTCTTGAACTCCTGTGTTCAAGCAGTCCTCCTGCCTCAACCTCCCAGAGTGTTGGGATTACAGGCATGAGCCACCATGCCTCACTAATTAAGCTTTTTCTTTTTTGGGGGGTTAGGGGGGTGTCGGGGGTTGGGACGGAGTCTTGCCCTGTAGCCCAGGCCTGGAGTGAAGTGGCATGGTCTCGGCTCTCTGCAACCTCCGCCTCCCAGGTTCAAGCGTTTCTCTTGCCTCAGCCTCCTGAGTAGCTGAGATTACAGGCGCACACCACCACGCCTGGCTAATTATTTTTTTTTTTTTTGTATTTTTAGTAGAGGTGGGGTTTCACCATGTTAGTCAGGCTGGTTTCAAACTCCTGACCTCAGGTGATCTGCCCGCCTCAGCCTCCCAAAGTGCTGGGATTATAGGCATGAGCCACCACGCCCAGCCTAATTAAGCTTTCTCAAAAGAACATGAAACATATATTAGGTGTCTGGGAGTTTTTTGTTTTGTTTTTGTTTTTGTTTTTTTTCTGAGGCAGAGTCTCACTCTGTCACCCAGGCTGGAGTGCAGTGGTGCAATCTCGGCTCACTGCAAGCTCCGCCTTCTGGGTTCAAGCCATTCTCCTGCCTCAGCCTCCTGAGTAGCTGGGATTATAGGCATGAGCCACCACGCCCAGCCTAATTAAGCTTTCTCAAAAGAACATGAAACATATATTAGGTGTTTGGGAGTTTTTTGTTTTGTTTTTGTTTTTGTTTTTTTTATGAGGCAGAGTCTCACTCTGTCACCCAGGCTGGAGTGCAGTGGTGCAATCTCGGCTCACTGCAAGCTCCGCCTTCTGGGTTCACGCCATTCTCCTGCCTCAGCCTCCCGAGTAGCTGGGACTACAGGCATCCACCACTGCACCCGGCTAATTTTTTGTATTTTTAGTAGAGACGGGGTTTCACTGTGTTAGCCAGGATGGTCTCGATCTCATCTCGTGATCCGCCTGCCTCAGCCTCCCACAGTGCTGGGATTACAGGCGTGAGCCACCACGCCTGGCCCATCTGGGAGTTCTTTTGCTTTCCCATTACTTTAAACGTTGGAAATATCATAGAGTGTTTAAATAGTCTTTACCTTTAAAAATAGGTAATGTTTTGTTCTTTTTCAGTAGCAAATGTCTGCTACCACAGTAAAAATTGTCTTTAACTTCAGGTATACACTTATGTGTATGAGCTCATGTTACTTGCTAATCAATATTATTGTCAATATTTACAGATTTATCTTCAAGAAGTTTCTTAATCTCTCTACTTTTCTCATAGCGTATGTTTAATCGGTTATTGTGTAGGAAGGCACATACTTTCCTAACCTTTGTGAAATGGCTTTCTGCTCAGCCCCGTTCCTATTAATCAAAAATACATGCATTAAAACCACAAAACTAACTCCCTCCTCTTGTTATACTCATATGGTACAGAGCCTGTTTTGCCTCTTTTTTTTTTTTTTTTTTTTTTTTTGAGACGGAGTCTAGCTCTGTCGCCAGGCTGGAGTGCAGTGGTGTGATCTCAGCTCCCTGTAACCTCCGCCTCCTGGGTTCAAGCAATTCTCCTGCCTCAGCCTCCTGAGTAGCTGGGACTATAGGCGTGCGCCACCATGCCCGGCTAATTTTTGTATTTTTAGTAGAGATGGGGTTTCACCATGTTGGCCAGGATGGTCTCAATCTCTTGACCTGGTGATCTGCCCGCCTCAACCTCCCAAAATGCTGGGATTGCAGGTGTAAGCCAGCGTGCCCAACCTTTGATGTAGTTTCTTGCATTTAGGTCTTTGCGCCTGCTTTTCCCTGTACCTGAAATACTCTTTACTCTTCTGTTTAGGGAACATTTCTGAGAAGTAATCATTGACAAATCCCCTTTCCCCAGGCATGGGATTCCATAAAAATCCCGATACTCCCCTTATATGGCACAATTTACATTGTATTGGAATTGCTCGTTTGTCTGTCTCCTTCTCTAGTTTGTAGGCTGTCTCCAGTCTGTAGGGGAAGATGACAGAACTTAACACAGTGCTTGGAACCTGTTAGGTACTTAATAAATATTTGCTAAATGAATGCAATAATACTGTTTTTTGGCGGGGGGGAGGTGGTGTTGGCAACAGAGTCTCACTGTTGCCCAGGCTGGAGTGCAGTGGCGTGATCTCAGCTCACTGCAACCTCCCGCCTCCTGGGTTCAAGCGATTCTCCTGCCTTAGCCTCCCGAGTAGCTGGGATTACAGGCACACGCCACCGCACCCAGCGAATTTTTTGTATTTTTAGTAGAGAGGGGGTTTCACCATGTTGGCCAGGCTGGTCTCGAACTCCTGATGTCAGGTGATCCACCCACCTCAGCCTCCCAGAGTGCTGGGATTACAGGCGTGAGCCACCATGCCTGGCCTGAATGTAGTAATACTTTTGAAGGAAGCTTTTAAAACAAATGCTCTCCCTGTGCGAGACCCTTCTGATAGATGTGCCAAGACTGTGACACATATGGCGTAGCATTCATGCCTGCAGCCCACCAGGCCTGGGGCTGCAAGAGCATGAGCCCTGGGTCTGTCATCTGTCAGCATGCATCCTCTGTTTGCAGCAATGTGCCCTGTAAATATTTTCATTTCCTGTGTGTGCGGAGACTTGGAAAAGGTTGGGAAGCACTGGACTGTGCTAACTGGAATTTTAAAAGACTGTTGCCAGAAATTTGCCTTTTGACAATTCATTAATTTTAGTGATAAAATTCTTGTGGATTTTTAGTTAAGACTCCTTGTTGCTGAGCTGCCTTATAGACTGCTTTTGGAATCTGTAAACAGCTTGTGTGGGCGGAGCTGTCCTTGTTGTCCTTGATTAAAGCTTTCTTGAGATAAGGAACGGTGAGACCTCTGAGTTTCTTAGTTCCCACCAGTTCCAGGTGGCTACTTGCCAGCTTCCTCATGTGGGCAGAGATGGTGGGCCAAGAGAGCGTTGAGACAGACGAACCTCTTCCATTTACCTTACCTGATTTACATTATCTAGAGTCTGGCCTGTGGTGTTTACTTCTAGTAGGTTCTTTCTCTAGAAATGCTTGAATATGACTAGCAGAGTGGTTTAATTTAAAAACTTTCTCAGTTTCTCAGTTTTTTTAAAACTTTGAACAAGTTCTCACTCGTAAGTGGAGTTGAACAATGAGAACACATGGACACAGGGAGGGGAACATCACACACCAGGGCCTGTCGGGGTGAGGGGCAAGGGGAGGGATAGCATTAGGAGAAACACCTAATGTAGCTGATGGGTCGATGGGCGCAGCAAACCACCATGGCACATGTATACCTGTTTAACCTGCACGTTCTGCACATGTATCCCAGAACTTAAAGTAAAAAAAAAAAAAAAAAAAAAAAAAAAAAAGGAAAAACTTTGAACAAAATCATTTTACTCTTGTGGGGTTTTTTTTGCCTATTGTAGATATGACATATAAAATGTAAACATTATAGAAATATAGAAATTCATTATGTAGAAAGTAAGTTCCTTGAAATTTGTCTCTTCAAAGACAATCACTTTCAGCAGTTTGGTGTATATTCCCAGAGTTTTTTATATAGACATTAACTTTTAAAAAATTTTAACAGAAAGGGACTCATGGAACATGATGACAGTTTTTTTACTTAGTAATGTACCTTGACCATGTCTGGGTCTTAGTACTCATAGATCTGACATATTAGTCTAAAGGCAGCATAGTCTTCCTGGCTATGGTGGTACCATAGTTTATTTCCTATCAGTGGGCATTAGGGTTGTTTCTAAATTTTTGTTGTTACAAACAGATCTGCAGTGGACATTCTTTAGCATTGCGTGTCCTTGTTAAGTGTTTCTGTAGGATAATTCCTAGAAATGGAAGTCCTGGGTGAAAGTGGATGACTATTTGACATTGTAATAGATACTACTAAATTGGTTTTGAATAAAAAGTGATGTACCTACTTTATTATTCTACCAAAATGGAATAGAGTGTTCATTTTCGTACATGCTTCTACACTGTAGATAATTTTTGTCTATCTGAAGGTCTCAATCTGTTTTTGCTGCTGTAACACAATACCAGGGACTAGGTAATTTATAAAGATAAGAAATTTATTTCTTACAATTGTGGAGGCTGGGAAGTCCAAGATCCAGGGGCTGCATCTGGCCAGGGCCTTCTTGATACATGAAGGGCGTGATGGAAGGGCAAAGAGTGGGGAAGGAAGGGAAGAGGAGGAGAAAGGAAGAAAAGAGGGCAGAGCCCTTGCAATCTGATTGCCTCTCCAGGGCCCCATGCCTTAGTACTGCTGCAACAGCAATTACGTTTCACCATGAGTTTGGGAGGGGACATTCATTCAAACCATAGCACGTATGGACAAAAAAAGGGTGTAGAGAAAACCAGAAGTTGCTTTTTCCCTTTTCACTACTTAGATTTATGATCTTTTTATATATTTTTGTCATTCATAATTTCTTTTTGAGGCAAGTTCCCTGGCCACCCGCAGTAGCTCATGCCTGTATTCATAGTGCTTTGGGAGGCCAAGGCAAGGAGGATCACTTGAGCCCAGGAGTACAAGACTGCATTGTGCTATGATTGTACCGCTGTACTCCAGCCGGGGCAACAGAGGACACTCTCTAAAATAAATAAAAATAAAACAAGTTTCCTGTTTATATCCTTTATTCATTTTTCTTTTTTTTTAATCTTAGTGATTTAAACCCTTTATGTTTCAGTCATCTGTCTGATGTGTCTGTTAATGTAGGTTATGAATATCTTTCCCTAGATTACTCCTTTTAACTGTTTATGATGTCTTTCTTGTTTTAGGGAAGTTTTTAAGTATTTATGTGGCAAAATCATTTAATCTTTTTCTTTATTACATTTGGGTTTCATGTCTTCTTGAAGATTTGTCCCGTGACTTAAAAAACAGTTCTATAGGCCGGGTGCAGTGGCTCACGCCTGTAATCCCAGCACTTTGGGAGGCCGAGGTGGGTGGATCACGAGGTCAGGAGATCGAGACCATCCTGGATAACACGGTGAAACCCTGTCTCTACTAAAAATACAAAAAATTAGCTGGGCATGGTGGCGGGCGCCTGTAGCCCCAGCTGTTCAGGAGGCTAAGGCGGGAGAATGGCATGAACCCGGGAGACGGAGCTTGCAGTGAGCTGAGACTGCATCACTGCACTGCAGCCTGGGTGACAGAGTGAGACTCCGTCTCGAAAAAACAAACAAACAAACAAAAAACCAGTTTTGTATTTTCTTCTAATACTCCTCCTATGGCTCACATTTTAACGTTTAATTCATGTGGTATGTATTTGGGAAGATTAGTATTAGGTGTAGGGATCTGACTTTTTTTTTCCACTTGGATTACAATTGTCCCAGAACCATCAGTTCTCTCCCAACAATTGAAGATACCTGCGTTAACACATAATAAATTCTCATATGTGTCCTGTTATTTCTCCAGTCTGTTTATTTAGTCCTATACCCATACTGTGGTGTTTTTATTACTGCAGCTGTGGATTGTATGTTTTAGGTCAAGTTCCCCTCCTGATGATTCTTTTTTTTTTCTCTCTCTCTTTTTTTGGTGAGATGGAGTCTCGCTCTGTCGCTAGGCTGGAGTGCAGTGGCGGGATCTCGGCTAACTGCAACCTCCACCTCCCGGGTTTAAGCAATTCGCCTGCCTCAGCCTCCTGAGTAAGTGGGATTACAGGTGTGTGCCACCACGCCCAGCTAATTTTTGTATTTTTAGTAGAGAGGGGATTTCATCATGTTGGCCAGGATGGTCTCGATCTCTTGAACCCATGAACTGCCCACCTCAGCCTCCTAAAGTGCTGGGATTACAGGTGTGAGCCACCACGCCCGGCCAATGACTCTTATTTTTCAAAATTTTCATAGCTTTTTTTTTTTTTTGGTCATTTACTCTTCCACATGAATTTTAGAATTAAGTTGCCATTTTCTAAAAACAGAGCATGAAATTTTGATTAGATTAGTTTTCATGGGATTAGTTGGTTTTTTGTTTTTTGTTTTTTTTACTAGTAGCAGTAGAATCTTTTCAAATATGCCTTAATATAGGCGCTGGGGCTTGCCCGTGGTGCTCTTGATATATAAGGCCCGGACATTCTGCCAGTTTTTTCTCGAGCAGTGACACCAAGAAGTTAACAGCCAGGTGAATGTTATGCACAAGCTCATCGTCTGTCATCTTCACGTGGCCAACAGCCACAGCCAAACATAACATGTTCATATGAAACTTGATTGTGGACTTCGCCTCATCCACTTTGGCCACCGTGTTTTCATCGTGTGTGAGCAGGGAAGGGAACTTTACTGCCTTTGTTAGGCCTATGCCGAGGATTCGTGGGATTTGCTTTATCAGAGACTCTGAAGCCAAAAATGCATCATACTTCTTGGCCAGCTTCTTGACCAGATTCTTATTCTTGAGTTTTTTTGGCACCTCAGTGTCCACTTGGGGGGATATCCGTGGCCTTGGTCTCGTCACAGTGCTGCTGTTCCCCCAGGACCCACACTTGGGACAGGGAGTGGACTTAAGCCTGACGGTGCCCGAGAAGCGCTTGTCCTTCTGGGGGTCATAGTTCTTCAAGCTGATCTGCAACTCCACCATCTTCAGGAACTTGGGGCACTTTCACTGGTTCCCGTGCAGGACTTCCTGCACCGCCTCATCCAGGGTGTCGTGAGAGACTTTGCTGCTTATGGGTTCTCATGCCACGCTAACCAGAAAAGAGGGTTTAGTTGGTTTTATAAATTATTAATAGTTTGGGAGGAAATTGATATTTTAATGATGCCAAGTCTTTCTTTCTTTTTTTTCTTTCTTTTTTTTTTTTGAGACGGAATTTCGCTCTTGTTGCCCAGGCTAGAGTGCAGTGGCGTGATCTCAGCTCACCACAACCTCCGCCTCCTGGGTTCAAGCAATTCTCCCACCTCAGCCTCCCGAGTAGCTGGGATTACAGGCATGCACCACCATGCCCGGCTAATTTTTGTATTTTTAGTAGAGACGGGTTTCTCCATGTTGGTCAGACTGGTCTCAAACTCCCAACCTCAGGTGATCCACCCGCCTCGGCCTCCCAAAGTGCTGGGATTACCAGTGTAAGCCACCACATCCGGCTAATGCCAAATGTTTCTATTCAGGAATGTGCATGTGTCTCAAATTTGTTTTCAGGTTTTGTAACTTTTTTCATCTATGTTTTATATAATGCTTGTTAAATTCATTTCAAGCTATTTTATAATTTTTGTTGCTAATGTAAATGGAACTTTTTTTTCCTCAAGAAGGCAATAATCATATAACTTCTTGCATTTGGGAAACTTTTGATCTCTCATTTGGAATGTCGAAAATTAAGTTTATATTGTTTTTTAATAGCATGCTTTTTTTTTTTTTTTGAGACAGAGTCTGGCTCTGTCGCCCAGGCTGGAGTGCAGCGCGATCTCGGCTCACTGCAAGCTCCACCTTTTGGACTCAAGCAACCTCCCACTTCAGCCTCCCCAGTAGCTGGGACCACAAGCACACAGTACCGCACCTGGCTTATTTTATTTTATTTTATTTTATTTATTTATTTTATTTTATTTTATTTTTGGTAGAGATGGAGTTTCACCATATTGCCCAGGCTGGTCTTGAACTCCTGAGCTTAAGCAGTCCGCCTGCCTCGGCCTCCCAAAGTGCTGAGATTACAGGCGTGAGCCACCACGCCTGGTCAGTTGTCTTTTTTTGAGAATGTCAAATAAAATGGGATCATATGGTATGTAACCTTTTGAAACTGGCTTCTTCTCACTCAGCATCATGTCTTTGAGATTGATTCAGGCTGTTGCATATATTGACAGTTTGTTCCTTTTTGTTGCTGAGAAGTATTCTGTTGTATGGCTGTGCTACAGTTGGTATTAGCTCCCCCACTGAAGGACATTTGAATAGTTTCCAGTGTTTGGCAATTATGAATAGAACTCCTGTACAGGTTTTTCTGTGAACATAAGTTTTAATTTCTCTAGGAGTGACATTACTGGATCGTGTGGTAAAGAATTAAGTGAATTGTTAACTAGAAAACTGATTTTATATAACAGTATAATATTCCTAGTAGAAAGAAACCTAAAGCCTCTGGTCTGGTCTGTGAATTGGTGTATTTTTATTACTTAGTACTTTTCTTTTCTTTCTTTTTTTTTTTTTTTAAAGATGGACTTTTGCTCTTGTTGCCCAGGCTGGAGTGCAATGGCTCAATCTCAGCTCACCGCAACCTCCACCTCCCAGGTTCAAGCGATTCCCCTGCCTCAGCCTCCCTAGTAGCTGGGATTACAGGCATGTGCCACCATGCCCAGCTAATTTTGTATTTTTAGTAAAGACAGAGTTTCTCCATGTTGGTCAGGCTGGTCTTGAACTCCCGACCTCAGATGATCCGCCCGCCTTGGCCTCCCCAGGTGCTGGGATTACAGGCATGAGCCACCACACCCAGCTACTTAGTACTTTTCTCAGCTAAGATCTTTATTTTTGTCAGCGTTCTCTTGCCCTGTGATGGGAACGTGATGTATCTTGCCTATTGAAGAACTAAAACCTCTGAAGAAAACCCAGAGGGTTGTGGGAAGAGTGGCATTGATGATTTGGGGACTTAATTTGTTCTGAGTCAGTATAAGTTAAAGGCTTATTGTGTATTATGTTGAGAGTTTTAACTGCTATCCTTGGGGTAAGAACAGAGATGTAGAATTATATCGTGAAAAGAATTTTCTGAAAGAAGGGAGTAGGGACAATCTATATCATGCATTTAAGTCACAAGGATGTCGTGAACATAAAAGATACTCACGAAGGCCGGGCATGGTGGCTCATGCCTGTAATTCCAGCACTTTAGGAGGCCAAGGTGGGCAGATCACAAGGTCAAGAGATCGAGACCTGAGGTCAGGAGTTTGGGACCAGCCTGGCCAACATGGCAAAATCCCATCTCTACTAAAAATACAAAAAATAGCCGGGGATGGTGGTGTGCGCCTGTAGTCCCAGCTACTCGGGAGGCTGAGGCAGGAGAATCACTTGAACCCGGGAGGCGGAGGTTGCAGTGAGCCAAGATCATGCCAGTACACTCCAGCCTGGCAACAGAGTAAGACCTTGTCTCAAAAAAAAAAAAAAAAAAAAAAAAAGATACTCATGAAAAACTATATGTTCGTTGGAAGAAAGTTGTTTTAATTTAACAAACATGTTGGAATAAGAATTATAAACAAGATACATTAATATGTACACTCTGAAGACCATTTTAAATCAAGCCTTTAAATAGCCTAGTTATGGTGTAAGTTCAGTTTAGATGAGACTTCCCACAGGATGACCATGAACCAATCAGAAATGGATATCAAAATGCTCATTTTATATATTTTTAAAATACATGTACCAGTTGTGAAATTCATCTGATTTAGCTCTTAAATGAAAATGCTACCCATTATCCATATTGTCCTGGAAGCATCTATCCCATATTTACTATGAATCTGGGGATGTTAGTTGCATCTGCTGTCTTGCTTTTGACCAACTTTTCATAGCTTATGGTTATTTTGGTGTGAAATATTGCCTGTTTTACACCACAGTTTTCTTTCAAGTTCATTATTTTCCCCCCACTAATTTTCATAGCCTCCCAGAGACCTTTCCCCTCACACGAACTACAGAACTCACTTGTTTCAGTCATTTGTACTTTATTGGAGTTATTTATTGTTTAAAAATTATTTTCCTAAAGTAATGCATGCACATAGCTTAACAAGTCAAATATACTAAAAAGTTCTAATGACAATCAGAAGTTTCTTTTCTTATCCCTCTTTTTCCTCAGCATTATTACTCAAAGGCCCCAACTTTTTTAAGCTCTTTCTTCTGTTACTCCAATAGCTTTCTCCAAATTTATCATTTTAAACATCATTGACTTCCACTTCCCACTTCCATATCTACATTTCTTTCCCTAGCTTTTCTATTGCAGTGATATATTTGGCTTATTTACTTAAATTACGACTGTGTAAGTATTGTTGAGCTTTGGCTATGATCATTTATTTTCTTATATAATTGTAAAGCTTTGTCTAAAATTAATAGTTGTTTCTTTTTCTATAAACTCTTAGGTTTTATGTGTTACTGCTAATTGGCCAAAATGTTCTAGCTTATCTTTCAAATATTTTGCAGTACTCACACATATAATATAATGTATTAGCTCAAGAGAGAATCGGTGAGTATAAATTAGAGACAGCAAGGTAGCTCTTTCTAGGCACAGATAAGTGGGATGGTAGCTACAGGGAGACATTAGGCCAAGGTATTTTTTAGAAGATGGACAAAATATCAACATATTTCTCTACTAATGGGGATAATCTCATAAAAAGGAGGAAATTGGTGCTGTCGAAGAGATTTTGGAATAGGTGAGGGGATGGTGGAGGCATTGGTCTTTGGATAACATGGACAGTTCTTCCATAGAAATAGGAGGAAAGCAAGCCAGGCGTGGTGGATCACGCCTGTAATCCCTGCACTTCGGGAGGCCGAAGCGAGTGGATCACCTGATATCAGGAGTTCGAGACCAGCCTGGCCAACATGGTGAAACCTCATCTCTACTAAAAATACAAAAAATTATCTGGGCATGGTGGCGTGCCCCTGTAATCCCAGCTACTCAGGAAGCTGAGGCAGGCGAATTGCTTGAACCCAGGAGGCAGAGGTTGTGGTGAGCCGAGATCGCACCACTGCAGTCCAGCCTGGGCAACAAGAGCAAAACTCTGTCTCAAAAAATAAAGAAAGAAAATAAAGTAAAGAAATAGGAGGAAAGCAGAGGGTGCCGGCATCAGTGCAGGTGAGGGGATCCTTATGGTAGTAGGAGCTTGTAGAAATTTTCTGAGTGCAAACTGTTTTTTCAGTAAAATGGAAAGCAAACTGATCTGCTACGATGAGGAGATGTATTAGAGATGTGAGGAGGTTAAAATAATTGCCAGATAAGCAGGAGAGTGAATGGACTAGAGAAATGTAATAGAATTGCCAGGCAGCCTTAAGGCTTCCCTGAGGTTGGTGACCAAGGATTTAAAGTGGGAAGAGTCAGCATGGCGTTGTGCTACTCTCCAGCCACATTCAGTTGCCCAGCTGCAGGCATGGCATTTGCAGAGATTGGGGTTTTGTCACATTAGTATAGTGAAAGGACAAAGGAGCATTGTTATACAACACCCCAGGAGCATTGTTATACAACAACATCACAATGAAATTAGTGATATAATTAGGAACTAAGAACTTGAGGAGGAAGACTGACCCTATGAAGGTGTGGGGTCAGTGAATTACAGATCCTGGTAAGTTCCAACAGTTATTAGAGTACTAGATTGAGTGAGCAGGAAGGTAGAAGAAGTTAGTTAAAGAATGGGAAGCTCAAACTTGGATCATGAAAGGTTTTCAGATATTGGGAATGTCAAAGACTGGAGTATAACCATGTAAGTAGCTTAAGTATGTAATATTTTTTTTCTTTCTGGAAGTTTATCCTTGGTTTTTAGAAATTAGCCATTGAGGTGCCAAGGGTTAGTCTTCATTCATTGTTCTTGGTGCTCATTGGACCCTTTTAATATAGAGGTTTTTGTCTTTCAGTTCTGGAAAATTGTCTCTTTTTTAACTTAAAAATCTTCATTCTGGAATCCTTAAGCAGAGACTGGAGTGCTTGAAAAGAGCCTCAAAATCTATCTTCTATCTCTATGTTTTTACTTTCTGGGAGATATTTTTAACTTCATCTTCCATTCTTTCTGTTAAAAATGTGTGTGTGGGCCGGGCACGGTGACTCATGCCTGTAATCTCAGCACTTGGGGAGGCTAAGGCAGAAGTGTCACTTGAGGTCAGGAGTTTGAGACCAGCCTGGTCAACATGGTGAAACCCTGCCTCTACTAAAAATCCAAAAAAATTAGCTGGGCGTGGTGGCGCGCACCTGTAATCCCAGCTACTCAGGAGGCTGAGGCAGGAAAATCTCTTGAACCCGGGAGGCAGAGGTTGCAGTGAGCCGAGATCGCGCCACTGCACTCCAGCCTGGGTGACAGAGCAAAACTCTGTCTCAAAAGAAAGAAAGCTGTGTGTGTGTCTCCTCTTCTCTCCCCAGCTCACTCTTTGATCATTTTCATCTGTTTGTTGTTACTGTCTTTACAGCATCTAGCCCTGGTATTATGAATGTTGTTTCTTCTGCTGACTCCCTGAGAATAGTAAAGGCTTTTTTTTTTTTTTTTTTTTTTTAGCTCTTTTATAAAGTAGATTTTTGTTCCCTGCATTGCTTCTCTTTTTTTCTGGGGTTCTTTCTTGTTACCGCTCTTTCATATAGAGACTTTCTCTGGATGTCTGGTAGCCTCTGGTTGTCTGTACCTAATGTGGAGCCCTAAGCATCTGATCACAAGCTGTGTTTGTATGAATAGGACATGTTTGACCACAGAGCTTTCCTATTGGGAGTTGTCTGGTGCTTTTATTGAAGACCCCAGATATTTGTGTCCTTAGATTTCTGAGAGTATCCAGTTTCTCTAGATAAGAATCTTCTCTTCTGCCTGGGAGGAACTGATGATCCCACCCCTCAGTCACTTAGTCCTCCCCCGCCTGCCTTTTCATCTGTTGCTTCACTCCTGAAACCACGTTTCTTCATCCTGGGGTGTGTGAAACTTCCTGAGACTTTGCATAAATGCTTATGTTTAGTCACGAGTTTGTTGGTGAAGACTATGTTAACAACTTTACAGAAAGTTTGGAGAATAGAGAAGAAAAACCCCACAATCCTAATATTCTGAATACCATTTTTGTTTTTGTATATTTTCCATATACATGTTTTTTCAACATATTTTTGATTATAATTTTGTATCTTGTTTTTTCCGCCCTCGGAATTTTATCCAAAGCAGTTTTCTACGTTGCCACTAATCGTCATAATTGTTCATTTCAGTGGTTGTGTACAATGCCATTGATGAGAACAGCAGTTCTCAAACGTTTCTGTCTCAGAACTCCTTTAAATTGAAAATTGAGGCTGGGCGCGGTGGCTCACGCCTGTAATCCCAGCACTTTGGGAGGCTGAGGCGGGCGGATCACGAGGTCAGGAGATCGAGACCATCCTGGCTAACATGGTGAAACCCCGTCTCTACTAAAAATACGAAAACAAAATTAGCTGGGCGTGGTGGCGGGCGCCTGTAGTCCCAGCTACCAGGAGGCTGAGGTGGGAGAATGGCGTGAACCCGGGAGGTGGAGCTTGCAGTGAGCCGAGATTGTACCACTGTACTCCAGCCTGGGTGACAGAGCGAGACCCCGTCTCATAAATAAATAAATAAATAGAAAATTGAGAACTCCCCAAAGCTTTTATTTATTAGGGTTATATGTATTGATAGCTGCTGAATTGGAAGTTATTACTTAGGAAACTTAAAATATATATTAATTCATCAAAAATAATAATCCTGTTACATGGTAATGTAAATAACATATTTTTATGAAAAACAACTATTTTCCAAAGCAAATTATTGAAAAGAGTGAATTGTTTAAATTCTTTGCAAACCCCTTTAATATCTGGCTTAATAGAAGTTAGCTGGGTTCCTGTGTCTGCTCTGCATTCACACTATTTAAGTATGTTGTTTTGGTTGAAGTGTATAAAGAAATGTAGCTACAAAAGGAAGGGAGCATATTAATACCTTTTCAGGTGATTGTGGATATTGTTCTTTGACATTATACCAAAACTCAGCAAGTGGTTTCTTGGGGGTGGGTAGACAGTGATGAATTTTTATTCAAAACAACTGTAGTGACTGACAAAAAAAGTTAAAACCCAGAATGATTTGCTTCAATTAAAAATTAATTATATCCCAAGAGCAGGGGTCTACCAGGTTGTCTGAGGGGAGGGGTGAACTGGCCCAGAAACGGAGCAGGTCAAAATTCCTCTGCTGATCAGTGGGATGGGGATTGGGATCAAGATTGCTTCTGTGAATAGCCACTGCCTGGGGAACATAGCGAGATCCTGTCTCTTAAGAAAAAGAAACAGAAACTTTTGGAAACAAGCAGACAAGGGTGAAAGAAAGCCTTGGTGTAAGATATAATTTATATATTCCATATAAGATATAGAATACATATGTTATATAACTAAAAAGCATAAAAACAGTCAGCATGCTTTTAGTACAACCTGGAGGTATGGTTAATGTGCAGGAAAAAAGCTCCATATAAGCCTAATCCCTATATATAAAAAATCACGGAATTCCACAGTTTTGAACATTTTTTTTTCTTTTTGAGACAGAGTCTTGCTCTGTCGCCCAGCCTGGAGTGCAGTGGTGCAATCTTGGCTCACTGCAGCTCTCTACCTCCTGGGCCCAAGCAGTCCTTCCACCTCAGCCTCCTGAGTAGCTGGGACCAGAGGTGTGTACTACCACATCCGGCTGATTTTTTGTATTTTCTACAGAGACAAAGCATCCCCATGTTGCTCAGGCTGGTCTCGAACTCCTGGGCTAAAGTGATCCTTCTGCCTGGGCCTCCCAAAGTGCTGGGATTAAAGGGATGAGCCACCACACCTGGCCAACACTTTTTTTGTGTGTGTGGTAAAATACATACAACATAAAAGTTATAATTTTAACCATTTTTTAAGTGTGTAGTTCAGTGACATCAACTATATGTACATTATTGGGCAACCATCACCACTATTCATTTCCAGGCAGATAGTTAATACTCATTTTTTTGTGGTTTCTATATTTGCAAATTTACCTGTTCGAAAAAATTTATTTGTAACACCCAAATCAGTACAGCGCTTTGGTAATCCTTTTCGGACATATGCAGAACGGTGAAAAAATATGCACATCCCTAGTTGAGGTTCAACAAGGGGACACTTTGCTTTCTTTTTTTCAGTCTTTGTGCCGTAAACCAGTGTCTTTTTTGTGATCTATTTAATGCCTTTTTTTTCATTTTTGTACTTTTTGTTGATGATTTTGCCATTTAAAATGGGCCCCAAGCATAGTGCTGAAGTGCTGTCTAGTCTTCCTAACGCACCCTTGAGTGAAACTTACCTAACACCTGCATTTTCTTTGTAAGGCACATCATAGCCTTGCCATGGATAAAACTCTGGACAGTTGAGTTTTTCCTTGCACTGCACATGGCTATGGTGCTTTACAAAGAAGATGCACGTGTTAGAAGTTTCACTCAAGTGTGCGTTACAGTGCTGTGGCTGTGAATTCAGTGTTAACCAATCATATATAGTAAAGAAGGTGTTCTTAAACAGACACACACATAAAACAAACTTATGTATTAATCTGCTGTTGCAAAATGTTGTGACCAGAGGCTTGCAGAAACCTAACCCCCAGAAGCAATGATTTCGTATTCACTAATTCAGTGAGCACAGTAACTGCATAGAATGAACAATGAGAATTGACTGTAGCTCCTTTTTTGAAAGAAGAGGCTTAATTATGGAGCAAGGCATCAGGAAAAATCACAGGCTTTCCTCATTTGTGTGATTTTTTTATTTTGTTCATGTCTTCAAGAGTGGAGCCCTAAGAAGAAAGCTGAGAGCTCCCAGTAAAGGGGTGACGAGTGCCTGGCTTAGCCTCATAGAGGCCAGAGGAACGTCGGTCTTTACACTGGGACATTCCACACACGCAACACAGAGTTATTTTCTATGGACAGTTGAGTTTTTCCTTTTCCAAGCATATTCTAGGGTTGTCTTTCTGTGCCCTGCTACATGTTCCACTGTACTGCTGTCAGATTTTTATCTCCCAGAAATTCTTTGAAGTCACTTGTCTTCTGGTGGCAGCCCTTCCCTTCTCTTGGCCATTCTTTGTCATTTGGTCTTTGTTCTTCAGTGGGCCTATCAGGTGGCAGGACAGAGAAATGCATGTGATCAATATGCCATCTTTAACCAATGTCCTCATTATGGTTATGAAAATAACTTTTCATGTAATTATTTTTATTCAAGTTACATATTACACACAGTTTAAAGAGTCAAGACTTGTTAAAAAAGAGTCCCCTAGACTCACTGGTTTCCTTGTCTCCCAGGATGGCCACTTTTAATCTTTTAAAGTGATTCTTTAGTCTTTTAAATGATTCTTTCATACTTTATAACATGCTTGTAGTCTTACTTGTTTTTCAGGTTTAGGCATTATCTATTGACATTTTATTTAAAGTCATCATTGACTTTAAAAACACAAAAACTCTTTACTGAAATGTAACACAGGTTGGGTGCAATGGCTCATGCCTGTGAATCCCAGCACTTTGGGAAGCCGAGGCAGGCAGATCACCTGAAGTCAGGGGTTCAAGACCAGCCTGACCAATATGGTGAAACCCTGTCTCTACTAAAAATACAAAAATTAGCTGGGCATGGTGTGTGTGCCTGTAGTCCCAGCTACTTGAGAGGCTGAGACAGGAGAATTGCTTGAACCCAGGAGGTGGAGGTTGCAGTGAGCCAAGATCGCGCGACTGCACTCCAGCCTGGGCGATAGAGCAAGACTCCATTTCAAAAACAAAACAAAAAGAAACGTAACATACATAAAAAGTGCCCAAATCATAAGTGTACAGCTTGATGAATTATCACAAAGTAAACACATTTGAATAACCATGACCCGGGCAAAAAATATACTGTGACCCACACCCTAGAAGCCTCCCTTTGGCCTCCTTCAAATCCCTTCACTACCCCACCTCCTCAAGTGAACCACTGTGCCACCTTCTAATACCATAGGTTTTGTCTGTTTGTTGTTTTAACATTGTACTAATAGAATGTTAGAGTATTTTAATAATAGTGTATTATTTTGTGTCTATTTCTTTTACTCTACTTCATGCTTGTGATATTCTTCCATGTTGAGGTTTTCATTTGTAACCAACTGTTGTAGTTGTTTGACTTGGCCTCCATTTGCTATGGATTGAATCGTATGCCTCAAAATTCATATGTGTAAGCCCTAACCCCCAGTGTGACTGTATTTGGTGATAGGGTCTTTATAGAAGGTTAAGTGAAGTCGTAGTATGAATCCTGATTGATAGGGTTAGTGTTATTACATGAAGAGACACCAGAACGCTAGCTTTTTCTACCACATGAGAACGCAGGGAGAGGGTGGCCATCTGCAAGCCAGGAAGAAGGTCCCCTCCAGAACTGTGAGAAAATAAATTACTGTTAAGTCCCCCAGTGTGTGGTATTTTGGTTATGGCAGTCCAAGATGACTAATGCATCATTCTTCAGGCCACTCTATCCCCCTAGAGGACTTGCAGTCTTTTTTTTTTTTTTGCCTCCTCTTTTACTGACTGAGAATGTTGTTAACACTTTCAGAAACAGGGTGTTAGGATCTTTTGACCGTTGGTGAACCAACAGAAAGTGGAAGATAAGGATTTTTCTCCAGTGGGTGTTTGCTGTGGATTTGTTGGGAGAAGCCCATCTCATGTATGAGCTGTCCCATCCCTATTTTGTAATATTCCACTTTGCTGCTGGCATCAGAGTGAATGTAAATGGAATTTCCCAGAAATTTCCACAGCAAGTGGCTTTCTCACTTAGTGAGCCCCCTTGGTGTTTGTTGAGTCTCCCTTTACCCAACCCCACAATCACTGGAATAAAGGGGTGGTCTTCTCTCCAGTCTACACCTTTCTGAGGCACTGCAATCGGGGATACCCCAGTTACCACCTCTTTTGGTGACCCCAAGGTTTCAGCTTTGCCTGAGCTCTCCAGGCTCCAGCTCTGGGCCAAGGTGATTTTGGTGGAGTCATCCCAGCGGGGAGCTAGGAGGAAGAGGGGATTAGGAACTCCCGCTCAGGCTTCCTTGCTGCACGTACACATGTCACATCAAATGATGGTGTTTCACTCTGGGGACATAGTTGCTTTTGATAAAATGACTTTTCTGCAGTTTGGTTAAGCTGAATGAAACATATTTGAGCTCCTATTTTTGCTTCAGAGGCTATTGAATAGCAGTACCTGAAGATGAAAGTGTATAAGAACAGAATCAGTCCGGGCGCGATGGCTCATGCCTGTAATTCCAGCACTTTGGGAGGCCGAGGCGGGTGGATCACCTGAGGTCAGGAGTTCAAGACCAGCCTGGCCAACATGGCAAAACCCTGTCTCTACTAAAAAAATACAAAAATTAGCTGGGTGTGGTGGCACGTGCCTGTAATCCCAGCTACTTGGGGGAGGCCAAGGCACGAGAATTGCTCGAACCCGGGAGGCGGAGGTTGCAGTGAGCCAAGATCACGCCACTGCACTCCAGCCTGGGTGACAGAGCGAGACCCTGTCTCAAGAGAAAAAAAAAACGCAGAATC
This sequence comes from Homo sapiens, assembly GCF_000001405.40. Classification (NCBI taxonomy): domain Eukaryota; kingdom Metazoa; phylum Chordata; class Mammalia; order Primates; family Hominidae; genus Homo; species Homo sapiens. The sequence continues at coordinate 103,424,234 of NC_000014.9, forward strand.
AGAATCTTTGGAATAGTGACCGGATGCCGTGGCTCATGCCTGTAATCCTAGCACTTCGGGAGGCTGAGGTGGGCAGATCGCTTGAGCCCAGGAGTTTGAGACCAGCCTGGGTAACATAAGGAGACCTCATTTCTACAAAAAATTAGCTGGACATGGTGGCACGTGCCTATAGTTCCATCTACTCGGGAGGCTGAGGTGGGATGATCACCTGAACCTGCGGAAGTCGAGGCTGCAATGAACTGTGATCATGTCACTGCACTCCACCCTGGACAACAGAATGAGACCTCGTCTCAAAAAAAAAAAACAAAAAAAAGAATCTTTAGAATAGGAGGAGGATATTGAGCAGAACCATAAGAAACTAGTGATTAAGAGTCCAGGTGTGAAAATAGAAACCACGTCTCAGAAGCTCAGAGAGAAGAAGAACTGGAAAGGCAGCATCTTTGATGGATTTGGCCATGAAGAGGAGGAGGAATAAAGCAGAATGGAGGCCAGAAAAGAGTGTGTATGTCTAACGGTTTCATTGGAATTGGGAGATCTAGGTATACCATGTAAAATTACTTATGAAGGTAAAGTTTGAAGAAAATTCATTCGACTTTGATTTATATAATTTTTAAAACCTCATTATCTGTTAAAACACCAGAAGCCCTGTTTTTTGGTTACTGATTATGAGTGTTCAAGGCCTCAGATCAACTCAGCATTTATTTATTTATTTATTTTTATTTTTTTGAGAGGGAGTCTCGCTGTCTTGCCAGGCTGGAGTGCAGTGGCATGATCTCGGCTCACTGCAACCTCTACCTCCCAAATTCAAGCAATTCTCCTGCCTTAGCCTCCCGAGTAGCTGGGATTACAGGCCCATGCCACCATGCCCAGCTAATTTTTTGTATTTTTAGTAGAGATGGGGTTTCACCATGTTGGCCAGGATGGTCTTTGTCTCCTGACTTCATGATCTGCCTGCCTTGGCCTCCCAAAGTGCTGAGACTACAGGCGTGAGCCACCACACCTGGCCTATTTATTTATTATTTATTTATTTATTTATTTATTTATTTGATGGAGTCTCATTTTCTCGCCCAGGCTGGAGTTCAGTGGCACCATCTTGGCTCACTATAACCTCCGTTTCCAGGTTTCAAGTGGTTCTCCCGCCTCAGCCTTTCAAGTAGCTGGTGGGATTATAGGCATCCGCCACCAAGCTCAGCTAATTTTTGTATTTTTAGTAGAGACGGGGTTTCACCATGTTGGCCAGGCTGGTCTCGAACTCCTGACCTCAGGTGATCCACCCACCTCCCAAAGTGCTGGGATTACAGGCATGAGCCACCTCACCCGGACAACTCAGTATTTATTGAGTACTCCTTATGTGCCAGTTAGGGCTATAAAGATGAATAAGATGTCTTTTCCCCAGTTGAGATATGCATAAGACAGTTCGTGTTTGCCTGTTTCAGTAGTCAGTATTTTCTTTTGCTTATTCAGTTTCCACTGAAACTTATGTTTTCCAAATACAAAATTAGAATTCCAACTTTGCGTTTTTCAGGCGCACACACTCGTTTTCCCTCCACTCCTTCCCCAGTTCTGATTTGCTTCCTCCTGAAAATGGGGGTTATAGCCCATCCACTCCAGGGTCAGAATTGCTGGATACCTTGTTGCAGTGATTTTTTCTGTAGCTCCTCTGGAGGTTATAGACTCATAGGGAATAAATAATGTGGTCAGGTGGAGGCTTTAGACCAAGTTAAGCAGGGTTTTTAAAACATGGTGTTAATGTACATAATGCAGCCATTCTCAAAAGTATGACATGGGGAGACCCCTGGAGGTTTTCTGAGACCCTTTTAAGGAGTCTGCCGAGTCAAAACTATTTTTGTGATACTAGTAAAACATTTGCTTTTTTCATTCTGTCTCTCACAAGTGTAGAGTGGAATTTTCCAGAGGTTACATGATGTGTGATATCACAACAGATTGAATGTAGAAGCTTGTATGAAAATTTCATACAAATATATTATTTGTGTTATAATGTGCTTATTGTTATTTTGAAATCAATTGTTAAATACTTTTTTTTTTTTTTTTTTTTACAGTTTCTCAGTTTTTATTTGTATTTTGGTAGATATTCGTTGATACAACCCACATTTGGGGGAATGAGTAATCTTTAAAAGTGTAAAAGGGACCAAAAAGTGTGAGAATGTTTGATGTAGAGAAACTCCAAGCTCATTCCCTGGACTTTGGCTATAGATGCTTTCTTCAGGGGTGGGTCTTCTGGGCCTGTGTCCTGCAGGATGCCCAGTAGGAAGCACAGCCTCTTTGATCTTATGGGGGTGGGCTCATTTGCTGTTTTGGAGCTCAGGTGCAAAGCCGAGTTACTTGATATTCCCTGGTCATGGCAAAGCCTCTCTCCACTTTTCTTCCCTTCTATTGTCACTTCCATTCTTTTTCCATAGTCCATAGAAATCATTTTTACGTGACAGTGATGAGCTGACCAGAAGCTATAGAAGCTATAGTACTTCCTATATCCTAATGGGTTTTAAAAACACTGGCTGGGGCATACTCACCCTTTCTGAACAAAGGCTGCTAGGTGACCCTGCTGTTGCCGCTCTGTATATTCACTTGGTTAGCCCACAGATTGGTTTGGACCTAATTCCCTTTCCTTCTTTAACTGCCCAAAGGGCTTTTCTATTTAAAAAAAAAAAAAAAAAATTTTTAAAGTTTTCAGATTCAATACCCACCTATTTGTATGCTTACCCATCCCAGAGTCAGCTAAATTTAAAGTGTCAGTAAATTGTAAAGAAAAGATTTGCTACATTGCATATGTTTTTAGAAGTGCTTTCTGTGTATAATCTCTCTCTCTCTCTCTTTTTTTCTTGGTTTGGAGGAGACTTTCCCCTTGTCTATAAGTAACTTAAATATAAAATGTTATAACAATACGTTTATTAGTTTGAAGCCCCAATTTTCTTTTTTTTTTTTCTTTTAAGTGAAAACAAGTTTATAAAAGAAGTAAAGAAACAGGCCAGGCGCTGTGGCTCACACGTGTAATCCTAGCACATTGGGAGGCCGAGGCAGGTGGATCACCTGGGGTCAGGAGTTCGAGACCAGCCTGGCCAACATGGTGAAACCCCATCTCTACTAAAAATACAAAATTAGCCAGTCGTGGTGGTGCGCACCTGTAATCCCAGCTACTCCAGAGGCTGAGGGAGTAGAAACTATGAAAACTTGGGAGATGGAGGTTGCAATGAGCCGAGATCATGTCACTGCTCTCCAGCCTAGGCAACAGAGGGAGACTGTTTCAAAAAAAAAAAAAAAAGAAACAAAAGAATGGCTGCTCCATAGACAGAGCAGCAGTATCAGCTGCTTGACTGAGTCTACTTATAGTTATTTCTTGATTATATGCTAAACAAGGGGTGAATTATTCATGAGCTTTCTGGGAAAAGGGCAGAGATTTCCTGGAACTGAAGGTCCCTCCCCTTTTAGGGGACTATTTAGGGTAACTTCCCAAGGTTGCCGTGGCATTTGTAAACTGTCATGGTGGTGGTGGGAGTGTCTTTTAGCATGCTGATGCATTATAATTAGCTTATAATGAGCAGTGAGGACAACCAGAGGTCACTTTCATCGCCATCTTGGTTTTGGTGGGTTTTGGCCTGCTTCTTTACCACATCCTGTTCTATCAGCAGGGTCTTTGTGACCTGTATCTTCTGCCAAGCTCCTCCTATCTCACCCTGTGACTAAGAATGCCTGACTTCCTGGGAATGCAGCCCAGTAGGTCTCAGGCTTATTTTACCCAGCCCCTTTTCAAGATGGAGTTGCTCTGGTTCAAACACTTCTGACATATTTCCCCCCTCCCTTTTACAGGGGGACCCTTAATCCTTAAGAATTGTAGCGGGACAAAGATCATCTGTAACTTCTTCAAGCCAAATAGGGGTGATGATATTCCTGCCTATTAGGGTCTCTTGTATTTAGGGTAGGGAGAAGTTTAGTTAGAAAGCATTGTTATAGAAGCCCTTATTTTCAGTTACACAATTTTATAAAGTTACAATTGCTTATTGTAACCAGCTGAGTTTTAGGTTTTGTGGTTTGTTGCTTGCTTGCTTGCTTGCTTCTTAATGCCATATATCTTGGCATTTATCAGTCCATAATTACTAAATTCTTAAAATCCATAAATATTTATTATTCTTTCTAGGTTGCAATAAAAATAATTGACAAAACTCAGTTGAATCCAACAAGTCTACAAAAGGTAAGATTGGTTCAATGTCTAGTACTTTTTAAAAAATTATCGGTGCTAATTGCCATCTAATTTGTCCCTTAAATACCCCAACTGTTATTTTATGTTTAATGCCATAAAGCTTCCTATTCCTCAAATGAATGCAACTTAATGTAGTATTTCATGAAAAATTGTTGGGTTATCTTTGGTCGGAGATTATTTTTAAATGTTCTTAACAGCACAAACTAAAGGCTGTGCTTTTTTTTTGTACTTTTTTATTGATATAGTTGTACGAGGCTGTACTTTTTATTGAATATTCTTAATATTGACTAGAGTTTTTTTAAAAATAATACAGTACAAAAATATTTTCATGTAATTGATATTGTGCAAATTTGTACCTTATAGCTAATACTGAAAATTTTAAAGTGAACACTTTGGCTTCCTTAAACTCTTGACACACCACATCTGATTAAGGACTGATGATTAATATAAAAGGGAAATGTTAAAGTAAAACTGAAAGTGGAAAAGCATGTTCATAAAGCAGTATTGCCATTAGTATCATTTAACATAGATCAAGTCTTTGCCCTAGTGCCTTTTAGAATCACCTGGGCAGATTTTTGAAAGTCTTAACACTTACATAATAATGCCTAAGCAATTAGGTTGGGCCCAGGCATAGGTATTTCAGTGGTAGGACATCAGCAAATAATTAATGATCTTCATAATAAAATCCTTCTAGTTGTTTTTAGCTTCGCAGAGTCTTTTTACATACTTCATTTGATTTCTAGATTTGACCTGTAGTAGTTGAGGGGGGTACAGAGACCATGAAGTAGGAACAGGAAGTACTGAATTTCAGTCCTGGCTCTGCCACTTAGCCGAATATCTGACCTTGAGCAAGGCACTTAACTTTGCTGGACCTTGGGTTTCTCATCTTTAAAATGGAGATAATTTCATCTTCTTATGATGGATGTGAGTATTAATGAAATAATGCATATAAAAGGGCTTTGTAAACTGCACAGCACTGCACAGTTGTGCGATATTTTGATAAGAGCAGTGCTCTATATACATTTCTAATGTATTCCTCATGGTTATTTATATCCTGGTAATTTTGAAGCCCTGTCCCTGTTTTGTGTTTGGGAGGTGGGGAGGGAGATAGACTTTCTCTGCACTAAAAATGTTATTTCAACAAGTGGTTCTTTGTGATCTGCAACCCATAATGGGCCTTAAGGCTTCTCAAGGTGGGCATGAAACATCTAAAAATTCCAGTCCTTTGTCCTGAAGAGTAAATTTTATCTATTTCCTTAAACTTCCATATCTTCAGCTATCTAAGGATTTGGTACTAATAAATACATTAGAGTTTAATACAATGTGGTATTCAGAACTAAAATTAACATACAAGGATGTTTAATGAGGACTCTAATTGAGTATTCTATGATGTTACATACCTTCCACTATTCATGTGTACCTGGATATAATTGTAATCCTAACAGTTTTCCCGGAAAAATTTTTACCATGGTGTTGTATCAAGTTGGCTGCAGTTTTTCCTTCTTGTTTGCTTGCTTCCTTTAGTCATTTTTTATTTTATTTTATTTTTTTGGTAATGATTTTTCATTGCTGCTCTTCGTTTATTATTTGTCACATCATTATCAGTTTAGTGCATGGTAGTTTGGTTAGCCCATTAGTGTGATTATGCATATTTGCATCTGAATTAATTTTGACTTATAATAATAATTAAAACTTTAAGATTTGTTTTTGGTATTATTCAAGTATGAACCATTCACTGAAGACTTATTCTAAAGCCAGCTCTATCCCAAGTTAAATAACTTGATAAGTATAATATTTTCAGTTTATAGGCCATTGTTTAAAATTGTGTATATAACTTCATATGCTTATGAAGTAAATTAGAAGCATTTTACATACATTTGTTTCCAATTCTTTTTCACCAAGTATCTTATCCCCAGCCCCCCCATCTTCCCCCACCCCCAGCAATTTTGCAACAATGTAGAATGTACCAGGCAACTTTGTCAGCCCCCTTTGCAGTCATTCTTGCATCCTTTTTTCTTCTCAGCACCATTCATAGTTGTATCACACTTGCTTCAGGAACAGCTCTCTTAGATAGTGATTTAAAGCTGTGGAGCATGCCCTAGCAGCTAACATTCATCATAAGGAACATTCTGCCATCAGCAGTGTGCAATCTCTTTTTTACCACCACTACCGAAAAAGGTGGACTGGCTCATTCAGGCAGTATTTTAACAGTGAACACACGTGTTAAAATATCGGTTTCATGATATTCAGGCTTGCATACTGGGTCATGAACATTTACTAAATGCACATATAAGTAAACCTGAGTTGACTATGTTTGCAAATTGATATTATTTTCACAGATGAGTCTCTTCATTTTTCCTTTGTATTTTTGCAGCCATTGAATTAATAAACGTTAGATTCTGGTGAGAGATTTATTTTTCTCCATTGTTTTTTAAGAGATGGGTCTTGCTCTGTTGTCCAGGCTGGACTCGAACTCCTGGGCTTAAGCAGTCCTTCCACTTTAGCCTCCCAAGTAGCTGGGACTACAAATGCACACCACAGCATCTGGCTATATACCTTCCAATGTCTCACTAGTATATCTGGAATACTATTCTATTCTTACGCATCTTTTAGGTCAATTTTTTGTTTGTTCGTTTGTTTTTGTTTTTGTTTTTTTGAGATGGAGTCTCGCTCTGTTGCCCAGGCTGGAGTGCAGTAGTGGGATCTGAGTTCACTGCAGTCTCCCTCTGCCTCTTGGGTTCAAGCAATTCTTCTCCCTCAGCCTCCCAAGTGGCTAGGACTACAGGTGTACGCCACCACACCTGGCTAATGTTTGTATTTTTAGTACAGATGGGGGATTTGCCATGTTAGCCAGGCTGGTCTGGTCTCAAACTCCTGACCTCAGGTGATCCACCTGCCTCAGCCTCCACTTGCTGGGATTACACGTGTGAGCCACCATGCCCAGGCCAAGGTGTGTGGATCACTTGAGGTCAGGAGTTCGAGACCAGCCTGGTCAACATGGTGAAACCGCGTCTCTACTAAAAATACAAAAATTAGCTGGGCGTGGTGGCACATGCTTATAATCCCAGCTTCTCAGGAGGCTGAGGCAGGAGAATTGCTTGAACCCAGGAGGCGACAGAACAAGACTTTGTCTCAAAAAAAAACAAGAAATTTGTAACATGTAATGAAATAATTGATTTTTTGTAATGTATTTATGATAGCTGGTTAGTTAGCCAACCTTGAGCACATTCAGGGATGGAGACACACTCCTTCCCGTAGCATCTTGTTCCAGTGTTCAGTGGCTTTGCTATTAGAGCCTTTTCCCCTTACTTCAGACTAGCATCTGTCTTCTAGAAACTTCTACAACACTGTTTACCATTTGTCATATGGAGTTATAGTTACTCCAAACATAACCAGCCCTTAGAAGTTGCTATTTTGGGTCTTGTTGATTTTCTCTTATGCAGAGTAAATCCCCTCAGCCTCCTTGGGTACTCCCACAGGAGTTTCGCTGAACAGAAGCCTACTTTATTCCATACTTGGAATTGTTTCCCCCCTCCCACCTGAATTTGTTTGATTCCTGCTAAAATTCATTTAATTGATTTTCTGCCTTAATTCCAGTCTTTTGGGGGATTTTGGAATAATGGGTCATTTGTATTAGCTGCTATGTAAATTAGATATGGATGTCTCCATCCAATTAAAATATTAAACAAGACAAGAACAAGACTTTTCAATGGAGAATTCATCCAAGTTGATACTGCTGACCCAGTAGTAAAGCATTTTTTGAGTAAGATTTAACCACCATTCTTAAATCTAGACTGAGTAGGACAGAAAGGGAAATCCCTGTGTTTTTAAATTTTAATGAGATTTACAGAGGAAGAAAAAAAGGAACATTAAACACAAATATATGCAAAATACCCAGTAGGATTTATTAAAGCATTATTGACTATGGATTTCATCAGGGTCTTTGTGGGGAAATCCTGCTTATACCCACCTCAATCTTCCTCCCTCCCTTCCTTCCACTGGCCTTATCGTGATTGTAAAATAGGGCAACACTACATTCCATAAAATAGAATAAGTGTCCCTATGAGCTGAGCAGAAGTTGGCTTTAGAGACAGGCAAAGGCTGAAGAAGGCTGAGGCAGGCCCGGCACAGTGGCTCACTCCTGTAATCCCAGCACTTGGGGAGCCTGAGGCGAGAGGATCACTCGAGCTCAGGAATTCGAGATCAGCCTAGGCAGCACAGAGAGACCCGTCTCTACCAAAAAAAAAATTAAATAAATTAACCAGGTGTGGTGGTGTGTACCTGTAGTTCCAGCTACTTAGGAGGCTAAGATGGGAGGATCACTTGAGCCTAGAAGTTGGAGGCTGCAGTGAGCTGTGATGGTGCCCCTGCATTCCAGCCTGGGCAACAGAGCAAGACCCTGTCTCAAAAAAAAGCTGAAGCAAAGAACAAAGAGTGTATTGGTCCTTTCAGAATTCCTTTTTTTTGTAAGGCAGGGACAGGGAAACAGAACAATAGACCACAATAGACTATACCACATAGAAAAGTAACCGATTAGTTAATGTCAGGTTACTTCACACTACATTTTTTTCTGTAAGGATTAAAGCAGTAGGAACTTTGTTATTGTGCCAATTGAAGTTTTTTCTTTTCTTTTCTTTTCTTTTCTTTTTTTTTTGAGACAGAGTCTTGCCCTGTGACCCAGGCTGGAGTGCAGTGGTGTGATTTTGGCTCACTGCAACCTCTGCCTCCCGGGTTCAAGAGATACTTCTGCCTCAGCCCCCTGAGTAGCTGGGACTACAGGTGTGTGCCACCACGCCTGGCTAATTTTTGTATTTTTAGTAGAGACAGGGTTTCACCATGTTGGTCAGACTGGTCTCCCAACTCCTGGCCTCAGGTGATCTGCCTGCCTCAGCCTCCCAAAGTGCTGGGATTACTGGCCTGAGCCACCGTGCTCAGCCAGGACAGTTTAAATCTTCAATCAGGGGCTGGACGCAGTGGCACACGCCAATAATGGCAGTACTTTGGGAGGCCGAGGCGGGTGGATCACCTGAGGCCAGGGGTTCGAGACCAGCCTAGCCAGCATGGTGAAACTGCATCTCTACTAAAAATACAAAAATTAGTTGGGCGTGGTGACATACCCCAGCTACCCAGTAGGCTGAGGCACAAGAATCGCTTGAACCTCGGAGGCGGAGGTTGCAGTGAGCCGAGATCACACCACTGCACTCCAGCCTGGGTGACGGTGAGACTCTGCCTCAAAAAATAAATAAATAATAAACTGTCCTGTTTGGGAAATTAGCTGTTATCTCCTTTTCTTCTGATTTCTAGGAAGGTCAGATAACAACTTAATTTAGGTTTGGGAATGTGGAATCTTAGCAGGGATTACTCCATTTTTAATTTTAACCTGGTTTCCTGGGGCCTAATGCAGGAGTTTAGTCCCAAACAATGGCTTCCTATAATTTTTATTTAACAATTCTTCCCTTTTGGTCAGGCTTTCACCTAGGTAAGAGTGTAACCAAAACCTAGGATATCCCTGCTGTTCTCAGTTGCCATCATTTTGAGTTTCCCGTTTCAGCATGCCGTTGACAGGGTGTTCTCATTATCGTGTGTTTCTTTTGAGTTTTTGTTGTTCTAGCCAGAGAGAACCATTTGACATCTGATAGGTGGCTACATGGAGACACTTAACACTCTGGGAGGATACAGCGTACCAGAGAGACTACCATTATGACTATCATGAGGATCACACCAAGCATTTAGAGTATGCTCCTAAGCCAGGGTTTTTATGAACCAAATCAACTAAAATTGTATAGCCAAACAAGGAGTCTGCCAATTTTAACCAAGTTGTCCGCTCTACCATACCCAAATCGCAACGAGAAGTGTCATGAACTGCACAGATTCCTCCATGTTTAGTAGGCATCCCAGCATTCCGTGACCGGGCTAAGTATAAAGCAGGGAGTGCAAGTTACCCACAGAAGCTACTGACTGTGAAATTTTAGCTACAGCATGATCCTGCCAAACTGAAAGAGGTAGGCATTAGTAAGGAAAAATTAAGAGGGGCAAAAGCATTGTTATGAAGTCTTGTTATTATGACAGTCTTGGGAAAAGCTGTCCATAGCATGCAGTCCACAACTTCTCGTCCTGGTTCGCAGTTTGAATGTCTCTGGTTGTGGCATCTGGCATTCTGGTGAATTCTCTGTGTGGCCTACACATCAGGCATGAGACTCGAAATTTACATCAAGCTGTCAGCTTTGGTTTATAGGGCTTCTGAAATTGAGCAGCTCATTCTTCATTGGCAAGTTGTAGCCAGATATTAAAGAAAACTAGAAGAATTCAGAATCTAGTTCAGTCAGGAATAATCTTATCAGGTCATTTCTGGAAGTCAATTCTGTGAATTAATATTTTAGCAGCGTTTTTTGCTTCTAATTTCAAATTGGAAGGTATAGGGTTATTCATTGTGCCCCTCAAGCCTGGTCCACTCCGATACCCCTCAAGCACCAGACACCTACCCAGGAAGAGGGAGGCTGTTTTCTTTTTAAAGCTAGTATTTGCTTTGGAGCCACTGTTAGTGCTTAGAGCTCTGTAGCAGTAGCAGTAGTGGCCTTTTTTGGCGTCCTAGGGAATCTTGGTCATGGGATGTAGCAGGGAAACTTATAATTTGAAAGCAAGGAGAACCAGTTCATGCTTTTCATGTGGTCTGTCGTGTAATGACTTTTACTGCTGCCACCACTGGGTTATTTTGGGCACTGTTGATTTAGTTTTCTTAAGCCAGTACTTTTCAACCCTTCTTGTGCATTAGAAACATTTGTGGAGTTTGAAAAAAGCATATTTCCTTCACAGTACTTTCCTCCCTAGAGGTCCTATCTTGGCGGGTCTAGAAATGTGGTGATCTCAGTACACACCCCAGATGAGAATGGCTCCTAGTCTGTCTTCACTTCCCCCAAAGTTCTTAATTTCTCTCTTCTTCCAATTTTACTTATTTTTATTTATTTATTTATTTTTTTGAGACGGAGTCTCGCTCTGTCACCCAGGCTGGAGTGCAGTGGTGCGATCTCAGCTCACTGCAAGCTCTGCCTCCTGGGTTCACGCCATTCTCCTGCCTCAGCCTCCCGAGTAGCTGGGACTACAAGCACCCGCCACCACGCCCGGCTAATTTTTTGTATTTTTAGTAGAGATGGGGTTTCACCGTGTTAGCCAGGATGGTCTCAATCTCCTGACCTCATGATCTGCCCGCCTTGGCCTCCCAAAGTGCTGGGATTACAGGCGTGAGCCACCACGCCCGGCCTATTTATTTTTTATTGATTGAGTGATTGATTGATGGGGTCTTGTCCTGTTGCCCAGGATGGAAGGTAGCAGCAAGACCAGAGCTCACTGCAGCCTGGAATTCCTGGGCTCAAGTATCTTTCCACCTCAGCCTCCTGAGGTAGCTGGGACTATAGGCGCGCACCACCACACCCAACTAAAGTAACCTATTTTATTTATTTATGAGACGGAGTCTCCCTCTGTTGGCCAGCCTGGAGTGCAGTGGTGCCATCTCGGCTCACTGCAACCCCTGCCTCCCGAGTTCAAGTGATTCTCCTGCCTCAGCCTCCCAAGTAGCTGGGATTACAGGCACCCGCTGCCACACCCAGCTAATTTTTGTATTTTTAGTAGAGACAGGGTTTCACCGTGTTAGCCAGGCTGGTCTCGAACTCCTGACCTCAAGTGATCCACCCGCTTCAGCCTCCCAAAGTGCTGAATTACAGGTGTGGCCACCGTGCCCGGCAAAGTAACCTATTTTAAAGATGACCCCTTCCCCAAATATTCTAAGTTTCATAGACAGCTGCTACTGCCACTGCCACTGCTGAATATTTTCTCCCTCTCTGGAACTCTTCCTAGGAATGCCTTAGTACCCAGTTCCTGGCCTCCTTTCTCTATTGGGTGAAGCACAAGTTATTTTGGAAATCCTTTTCATTGAACAACTCTTTTCATCTTTTTCTTTTCTTTCTTTTTTTTTTTTTTCCAACTATCTTTCTCTTTCATTTTCTTATATTGACTTTTCAGGCCATTAACAAAAGTAGTAACCACTGTAAAAATAGTTGTTACAGTCTTGTCTGTTATTTAAAATCCAGTGTCTGCATTCACATCAGTGTCATAAATCTGATAAATTAATACAAATAGGAGATGGCAAATGAAATCCAAGACAGGCACTTCTTATATTGATTGATTGAGGCTGGGTCTTACTTTGTAGCCCAAGCTGAAGTGCAGTGTCATGATCATAGCTCACTGTAGCCTGGAACTTCTGGGCTTAAGCAATCCTCCCGTCTTGGCCTCCCAAAGCCTTGGGATTATAGGCATGAGTCACCACCCCCAGCCTGATTATACATATTTAAAATATTGAGAATAGACTGGGCACGGTGGCTCACTCCTGTAATCCCAGCACTTTGGGAGGCCCAGCTGGGTGGGATCACCTGAGGTCTGGAATTCGAGACTAGCCTGACGAACATGGTGAAACCCCGTCTCTACTAAAAATACAAAAAAATTAGCCAGGTGTGGTGGCGCATGCCTGTAATCCCAGCTACTTGGGAGGCTAAGGCAGGAGAATCACTTGAACCCAGGAGACGGAGGTTGCAGTGAGCCAAGATGGCACCACTGCACTCCAGCCTGGGCAACAAATGAGAAACTCTGCCAAAAAAAAAAAAAATTGAGAATAAAACTGTATATATGTTTGTTTATTTTTAGATTTCAAAAGAGAAGAAATAGAAAAACCGGCTTTCAGTATTGTTGCTTCTTTATTCCTTATAAACTTTTAAATTTCTTGCCAGACTTATTTTTGTTTTGGCAATAAATAATACGGGTTGATATTTAGAATACATTATAAACTCGGGAAGCTGAGGCAGGAAAATGGTGTGAACCTGGGAGGCGGAGCTTGCAGTGAGCCGAGATCACGCCACTGCACTCCATCCTGGGCGACAGAGTGAGACTCCGTCTCAAAAAAAAAAAATACATTATAAACTGAGAATAGTAGAGTGTATTTTAGAGATTGATTGTTTGTTTTTAGAATTGAGGTCTCACTATCTTGCCCAAGCTGGTCTCAGACTCCTGGGTTCAAGCATCCTCCTTCCGAGGATTCCAATCTGCCTTCCAAGGAGCTGGGATTACAGGCACACACCACCATACCCAGCTAAAGTATATTTTTCATTGTACCAAGGACTTATTATGCTATTTTAGAAAAGTCACCAAGGAACCAAGTATTTTAAGTGGGTTAAACTTAGAGCATAGCCTGGACCCATTTGCAGAAAATATAAACTTGGGTGCAAATTAGGCCTTTGTGAGAGAATTATAACAGTAACATCAGCCAGAATCACAAACACATGTCAGGAGTTTATTGTGTGCCAGGTGCTGTTCCATGCACTCTGTATGTCAAGCCATCCTTTCATTGTAGAGGTGACAGGGTCAGGGAGGTCAAGTTACCTAGACTTAGTGAGTGGTACAGCTGGGTTGGGATTAGGTAGTATAGCTCCTGGAATCAAATTCTACACACACTTTATCTTATAGCATTGCATGTACTTTTCACAACAGTCCTGTGAAGCAGTTGTTTTCTTTTTTTTTCTTTGAGACAGAGTTTTGCTCTTGTTGCCCAGGCTGGAGTGCAATGGCGTGATCTCGGCTAACCGCAACCTCCACCTCCCTGGTTCAAGTGATTCCCCTCCCTCAGCCTCCCGAGTAGCTGGGATTACAGGCACCCGCCACCACGCCCAGCTAATTTTTTTGTATTTTTAGTAGAGACAGGGTTTCTCCATGTTGGTCAGGCTGGTCTGGAACTCCCGACCTCAGGTGATCCACCTGCCTCAGCTTCCCAAAGTGCTGGGATTACAGGCGTGAGCCACCACGCCAGGCCGAAGTAGCTGTTTTCAAAATCTATCTTATAGGTAAGTAGGTTAAAGCTCTCAAGATTTTGTGGTTTGTTCACTCATCCAGTGAATAAGGGACTGAACTAGCCTTAGAACCTAAATTTATAACATCAAATAGCTTTCTTTGCATAAGTTCCCTTGGAGCCAGTCACTCATAGTACTTTCCATATGGGAAGGATAACAAAGGAACATATGGAAATTCAGCTTGCATGTGGTAGATACCTAGTAAAATCTGATAAGTTAATTTTGTTAGTACCAAATTCATTTTAACACTAAATTAATTTTTCCTGATGTTGCTCTGATTCTAGGAATCTTGACCACCAGAACCTTGAGTTTGGGAGATGGGAAGATTCTTAGTTTGTCTTTGAAATATTTGATCATAAAAAACACATTATTGGCCAGGCATGGTGGCTCAAGCCTGTAATCCCAGCACTTTGGGTGACCAAGGCAGGCAGATTGCTGAGCTCAGGAGTTCAAGACCAGCCTGGGCAACATGGCAAAACCCTGTCTCTACATACAGAAATTAGCCAGATGTGGTGGTGCGCACCTGTAGTCCTAGCTACTTAGGGGGCTGAGGCTGGAGGATTGCTTGAGCCCGGGAGGTCGAGGCTGCAGTGAACCATGTTCATGCCACTGCATTCCAGCTTGGGTGACAGAGCAAGACTCCTTCTCTAATTAAAAAAAAAAAAAAGCACACACATTGTTGCTACTCTTATTTTACATTTTTAGAAAACTGATTTGTTGTATTACTCAGCTAAAGCTAAGCAATTTTTTAAAATTTAGTTTTTAATTTTTATTAAATACTGACTGCATACAAAAGAATGTTCCATGTTTAGCATATAAATATGTATATGAGATGAGCACCCTTATACTACCTGCTTCAAGAAATAGATCTTCAACCATACCTTTAAACCAGTCCCATATTGTGCCCCTCCTCAACCTGATTCCCCTTCTTCATTGCCCACCTACTGGGTAAACACTAACAAGGATTTTGTGTTATTATTTTCTTGCTTTGTCCGTGTAATTTTACCACATATGGATCACTCATCAATGTAGTGTAAAGGTTTTTTTTGGTCTGTTTTTTGTTTCTTTTGTGTTTGTTTGTTTGTTTGTGACTGAGTCTCGCACTGTCTCCCAGGCTGGAGTGCAGTAGTGCGATCTCAGCTCACTGTAACCTCTGCCTCCCAAGTTCAAGCGATTCTTGTGCCTCAGCCTCCTGAGTAGCAGGGATTACAGGCGTGCGCCACCACACCCAGCTAATTTTTGTATTTTTAGTAGAGACCAGGTTTCACCATGTTGGCCAGGCCGGTCTTGAACTCCTGACCTCAAGTGATCCACCCACCTCAGCCTCCCAAAGTGCTGGAATTACAGGCGTGAGCCACCGCACCCCACCAATGTAGTGTAAAGTTTAAAAAATTGTATAAATGGACTCATGCTATGTGTATTCTCCTATTGGCTTTTGCTTTGCTTCCTTTTTTTTGTTTTTTTGAGACGGAGTTTCGCTCTTGTTACCCAGGCTGGAGTACAGTGGCGTGATCTCAGCACTGCAGCCTCTGCCTCCTGGATTCAAGTGATTCTCCTGCCTCAGCTTCCAAAGTATCTGGGATTACAGGTGTGCACCACCACACCCAGCTAATCTTTGTGTTTTTAGTAGAGACGGGTTTTCACCACGTTGGCCAGGCTGGTCTCGAACTCCTGACTTCAAGTGATCCACCCACCTCAGCTTCCCAGAGTGCTGGGATTACAGGTGTGAACCACCATGCCCAGCCGCTTTTGCTTTCTTTTACCTACATTGTGTTCCATGTTGATGTATTTTGCTGTAATTCACCTTCACTGCTATGTCCATTTTCAAGAATATGTAGTATCCCATTATGTGAATATGCCACTCTGTATTTATTCTGTGATTCAGAGACATTTGGATTGCTTTTTGTATTGCAAACATGACTGCTGTGAATTGTCCTCTGTGTGTCCTGGCACACTTGTGAAGAGTTTCTTAAATATATATACTTAGAATTCTTGTATCACAGAGTCTGTCTGCACATCCTCCTTCTTCATTAGAGAAGGCCAAATTATTTTCAGAGCAGGTATGCTAATTTATATTTCCATCAGTAGTGTGTAAGAGAGCACAAGTAATGTAGCATCCTCATCAAAATTTGATTTTCTCTGATTTTTTAAAATTTGTGCCATCACAGGAGAATTGCTTGAACCCGGGAGGTGGAGGTTGCAGTGAGCTGAGATTGCGCCACTGCACTCCAGCCTGGCGACAGAGCAAGACTGCATCTCAAAAAAACAAAAAAATTGTGCTATCAATTTGGTAAATATAAAAGTGATATTTGGCCAGGCATAGTGGCTTCCTCCTTAAATTCCAGCACTTTGGGAGCCTGAGATGGGAAGATCTCTCCAAGCCAGGAGTTCAAGAACCAGCCTGGGCAACAGAGCAAGACTCTGTATCTACAAAAAGATTTTTTTTTTTTTTAATTATCTGGGCATGGTGGCACATAGCTGTGGTCTCAGATAATTGGGAGGCTGAGGATTGATTAAGCCCAGGAGTTTACAGCTGCGGTGAGCTGTGATTGCACCACTGCACTCCAGCCAGGGTAACAGAGCAGGAGCCCCTCTTAAAAAAAAAAAAAGAAAAGAAAAGAAAAATCTCATTATGGTTTTAATGTAACATTTTCCTAATTACTGATGAGGTCATGCATTTTTTCATATTTAGGTTTTTTGTTTCTTCTGTGAAGTACGTATTCATCTTTTGTTTAATTTCTAGTGGATTTTTTCTTAGTTATTTTAGGATATCATTATATATCATGGATACTATTATATATGTGGCACACACCTTCTACTTGATGGTATATCTTCACTCTCTTGATACTGTCTCTCAGTGAATAGCAGAGGCTCCTAATTTTAAAGCAGTTACATTTATCAGTCTTTTTTTAATATGCTTTGCACTTTTTATGTCTTTTTTGTTTTTTTGTTTTTTTGTTTTTGAGACGGAGTTTCGCTCTGTCACCCAGGCTGGGGTGCAGTGGCACGATCTCGGCTCACTGCAAGCTTCGCCTCCCGGGTTCACGCCATTCTCCTGCCTCAGCCTCCCGAGTAGCTGGGACTACAGGTGCCTGCCATCACGCCTGGCTAATTTTTTTTGTATTTTTAGTAGAGACGGGGTTTCACCGTGTTATCCAGGATGGTCTCGATCTCCTGACCTCGTGATCCACCCATCTTGGCTTCCCAAAGTGCTGGAATTACAGGTGTGAGCCCCCACGTCCGGCCTTTTTTGTGTCTTCTTTAAGAAATTCTTCTCTACCTGGGGTCATAAACATATTTTTCTCTGTTGTCTTCACATGTTTAAAGTAATCTTTAAGCCACCAGCAGTCATGTGTTACGAGGTAGGGATCCAGTTTCATGGTTTTTCGTATGTATAATCACTTGCTGCCTCACCTCTCCTTTCTTTGCTGATCTGCATCGTGGACAGAGTCTCCGTGTCTAAACACACACTTTGTTCTTCAGAAGTGGTTATTCTGGTTCACTTAACAATTGCCATTTGAAAAGCAATTATTTTTATTTTATTTTCATATTTTTAAATTTTATTTTTAATGATAGGACACCAAATGATAACCAGAACCCCAAAATACATAGGTGAAAATCTGAGCTAAATTAATAGAAACACAGGCATGACAGAGAAGACTTTATCACTTAACTCTCTTAGGCCATTCATTAATTACACAGTAAGTAGGGGGAAAAGGTACATATCTTAATATACAGCACCTCCATGGCCAGGTGCGGTGGCTCACACCTGTAATCCCAGCACTTTGGGAGGCTGAGGTGGGCGGATCATGAGGTCAGGAGATTGAGACCATCCTGGTGAACATGGTGAAGCCCCGTCTCTACTAAAAAATACAAAAAAATTAGCTGGGCGTGGTGGCGGGTGCCTGTAGTCCTAGCTACTGGGGAGGCTGAGGCAGGAGAATGGTGTGAACCCGGGGGGCGGAGCTTGCAGTGAGCGGACATCGTGCCACTGCAGTTCAGCCTGGGTGACAGAGTGAGACTCCGTCTCAAAAAAAAAAAAATAACAGCACTTCCATTAGCCCATAGTATAGCTGTTTTAATCCCCTTTTCAGGATACATAACAGCTGTGTGCTAGGATATTATCGTCATAACTATTCCAATGTGTGATGACTATGAGGTATATTATTTTCTCAGAGTTGGGCAATACATAACATTTGAATAAGCCAGACTAACATCTTTCTAGGCTATAGTTCTAATGTAGAGCAATAAAAATAGAACCAAACAAAATATACAAACATGTGGAACCTAAAACACACAGAATTCTTGGATCAAAGAAAAATTGCAAACAAAAATTACAGTATATCTAGGAATTAATGATAATAAGCTGTGTGTCAGAACCTATGTAATACTGCTTTTTGGTGCTCCGGGAAATTTGTAGCCTTAAACACATTATTAAACAAGAATGACAAGGAATGCATTAAACATTAAACTAATAGTTTAGAAAAGGGAACAAAATAAATCTCAGGAATAAATAATAATGTAAGGAGTCAGTAAAGCTAAAGGCAGAAAATAATGAATTTGAAAACAGTAGAAATGGTAAATCCAAAACTTTGGTGGGTGTCCCCCCCCCTCCCACCGACAAGGAAGTGAGAAGAGAGGCAATGAAATAGATAAGCTACTAAGTGCTGCCAGGGGGAAGGGAGAGAAAACACAGAAAAATGAGGGGGAAATACCAGATACTGAAGAATTTAAATTATTATAAAGGAACCTTTTCTGCAACTCTGAAAAATGTTAGAATATCCAAAGAAATTGATAATTTTCTAGGAAAACATGACTTACCAAAATTAACTCTAGAAAAGAATCGATACACATCAGTAACAACAGAAGTTGAGAAAGTAGTTAACATATTGCCAAACCTGGAATTCATGATTGAATTCTTTGAGATCTACTGTGAGTACATACTCTGCCTCTGTTCAGCTGTTCCAGAACTTAAGAAGAGGAACTTCCAAATTCTTTTCTCAAATTCAGAAACAATGCTATTGAAATATATTGGAAACAGGAACGAAAACTACAGTTCAGTTTCACTTATAATATCCATTCTAAAATTGGGAATTAAAAATACTAGCATATAGGACTAAATACTGGTACATTTATCTTTGTTTCCCCAAAGATTCACTAAATGATGGTAACGGAATTAAAAAGGAGGGGAAAAGAGTCCAGGAATTGAGTACTGAGGCATTCTCAGGAAGAGCACCAAGAGAGGGAGGAGATACCCAGCGGTCACAGTGGAAGTCGTCTTTGAGACTTAGAGCGTTTGAGGAAGGGGTCGTCTTTAAAATAGGTTACCTACCTAGCACTTGGGAGACCAGACCAGCCTGTGGCAACCAGTGACATCAGTTCCTTTGAGTCTTTCCAGAGATACTCTGTATATTAAGAAGCAAATTTTTTTTTCCTTTTTTACACAAATGCATTTTCTTGAAAATTCCTTCTCATGAACTTTGCCAGCCTCTCTGTCTTGGTTTGTCTGAGAGGGCCTTTGATGCACTCTTCCATTTAGGTGCTGTGGTAGTTGAGGCAAAGGGACAGTTTCTGTAGAGTGATGAGGGAGTGACTTAGGTGGCCTGGTCTTCTGTCCCTTATCTGTGTATCTGGAGAAGGGAGCCTGAACACCTTCATTGTGATGGTTTAGATCAGTTTTATGTCTGTAACCCCCGTGTTCTCTTTTACATACTCATTTTACTTTCGTATCGGTTGGTAAAATTGTCTTTTTTTTTTTTTTTTTTTACTAGAGACTAAAATTCTCTCTCTCTTTTTTTTCTACTTGTCAAAAGGTAAAATTTTATTTTTCCAGTGGTAATACTTGACAACCCCCAGGTCTTGGCTATTGGGACATGTTTCTTTACTTCTCTGATACCGTAGATTTAGTGTCCTTGATATCCCCATTGCCAGGATTCCAAATCTTTGCCTTCAAAGGTATTTATTCTCCTCTTGTGTGCCAGTTCCATAGAGGATGTATAGATGTGAAAATGTGTGGAGGATATAGATTGATCAGTAAGGAGAGAATTCTTTCAATTTATACGTTTCCATGTAATTTGATTTCTTTTTTCCAACTAACATCTATTTAAGATTGAAAAGGGAATGTGGAGAAATAAGTTGTATTAAGATAGTAGAAATAGGCTGGGCGCGGTGGCTCACGCCTGTAATCCCAGCACTTTGGGAGGCCGAGGCGGGCGGATCACGAGGTCAGGAGATCGAGACCATCCTGGCTAACATGGTGAAACCCCGTCTCTACTAAAAATACAAAAATTAGCTGGACATGATGGCGGGCACCTGTAGTCCCAGCTACTAAGGAGGCTGAGGCAGGAGAATGGTGTGAACCTGGGAGGCGGAGCTTTCAGTGAGCCAAGATGGCGCCACTATACTCCAGCCTGGGCGACAGAGCGAGACTCCATTTCAAAAAAAAAAAGTAGAAATAAGGTGAGTTTCTCTTATTTAAATGGCCTTTTACAATTACAAAACTTTAAAATTTTTCTGGTATAGTCCTTATAGGGACTTTCCTTAAAGTTCACATTTGCCTTTCAGTACATTATTCCTATCCAAATTTAACTATCTTTGGTCATCAGATTCTGAGATTATGAAGTCTCTGGCATTTTTATCTCACTTGTATGCAAATTGTCAACTTCGTAAAAAGCTCTGTGCCAGTACCCACCTGTTGCTCTGGACTTTTCTATATCAGCAGCTTATAATTTGTTGATTTTTTTTTTTAGTTAAATTTCTAAGGTAGCAATGTGGAATCCTGAGATGAACGTAGACTTTGGAGTCAGGCAACCCACAATGAGAATCCTGGCTCCAGCATATATTAGCTGAGTCTTTGGATGAGTTTCCTAACCTGTCTCAGTCGTCTGTCTCTGTATACTGGAGATGATCATACTCAGCTGATAGAGTTGTGAAAATTAAGCTTAGATAAGACTGTGAATGTGAAGCATCTGGCTCTATGCGTCAGACACAGCAGGCACTAGATAACTGTTAGCTTCCTGCTTCCTCCCTGTCCTGCTTGTTTAACTTAGCATAAAGCTTATTTACACATTTGCTGCCTGCCAGTATCTACCTAATACATAATTCCAATAGAGAGGTGAATACATAAAGTTATTTGGGCTAATATCCTGCCACTACCTCTCTTGGGATTCTTTGGCTGCTCTTTTTGCCTACGGAATTAAATTTTTACTAGTCTTCTATCTGGTCCCATTTACCTGTCCTTTTTGTTTTCACATTGCATCCCTGGTATGACCTCTGCTGTAACTCAGGAGTTCTCGCATTTTAATATGGTGTCTGCAGAATATTAGTTATCCACTGCTGCCTAACAAATTCCTCCAGAACTTAGCAACTTAAAGCCAAATCTTTTGAATTCCTGTAATAGTCCATCTTTTTCCTGCTTTTTGGCTCTAATTCACTTTGTTTCATTTCTGCTGTACTGTTAGTAGAGACTTAAAAATGATTGCCTTCATTTGACCTGCTCCCCTGTCATCAGAACTGTGACAACTCTGTAACAAGCATTGTGCTGCGGAGGATTTAAAAGCTATGTGGTCATTAGAATGCTGAGGCTGGCTCAGACCGCAGTTGTTGGTAGTTAGTGCTTTCATGCAGGCATTTATCAAACAAATGCATTTCAGTTGTGTGCCAGCCTTGGTTTCAGGTATACAGTAGTGAAAGGAGACAGGCATGCTCCCTGTGGGTGACACAAGGATAACAAACAGGTGCACAAAAATGTGTCTTCATAGCTTGAAAGACATCCCAGGAAAGAAGTGAACAGATGGGCTATGATGTAAAACAAGGAGACCTACTTAGATACGTTTTCAGAGAATCTGCCTGAGACTTAAAGGATGAAAAGGGAGAAGACATTTAAAGGAATTTAGTATGTTCTGTGGCCAGGCGCGGTGGCTCACATCTGTAATCCCAGCACTTTGGAGGCCAAGGCAGACAAATCACCTGAGGTCAGGTGTTCGAGACCAGCCTGGCCAACGTGGCAAAACCCCGTCTCTGCTAAAAATACAAAAATTAGCCAGGCATGGTGGGACCTACAATCCTAGCTGCTCTGGAGGCTGAGACAGAAGAATCCCTTGAACCTGGGAGGCGGAGGTTGCAGTGAGCCGATATTGTGCCACTGCATTCCAGCCTGGGCATCAGAGTAAGACTCCGTCTCAAAAATAAATAAATAAACAAACAGTATGTTCTAGTAACTAAAAGGAGTTGGGGTGACTAGAACGTACCTTTGAGGGGTATGCAGAAGTTGGCAGGTTGCAGGGATGCCATGGCCATGGTCAGGGTTTCATTCTCAGTGCTGTGTATCCTGAGCTATATTGATATGGCATCCAAAGTGGAGATTGTTGTCTTTTTTTTTTTTTTTTTTTTTTTTTGAGTTGGAGTCTTGCTCTGTCACCCAGGCTGGAGTGCAGTGGCATGATCTCAGCTCACTGCAACCTCCAGGAGGTGTTGTAATTTAGCAGTTGGGAAGTAATTGGGAGATTTGAATTCTAGCTACCAATTCAACTATAATGGATTGGAAAACAAGATTTCTGTGTTAGTTTAACAGAGGAGAGCTAAAAAAGAACTCAGGCCTGAATGGTTGTCAGGAATTTACTTGGGTGACTATCTTCTCATCTCAGAACATAAAATGTAGGAATTACCACAGTTGCAAAGGGAGATGTTTATGTTGGAGATAAAAATGCTCCTCCCTTCAAAAATGAGACAGTATTTTAGATAGGAAAGGTTATTTATCTGATTACATGTTTTAAAATTCTGAGCGTAAGGTTATATGTCAAATCCTGTCCATGGGCTGGGCACAGTGGCCCACACCTGTGATCCTAGCACTTTGGAAGGCTGAGGGGGAGGATTGATTGAGCCCAGGAGGTCAAGGCTACAGTGAACTATGATCACACCACTGCACTTCAACCTGGGCAGCAGAGCGAGACCCTGTCTCAAAAAATAAAAATAAATTAACAAAAAAATCTGGTCCATGTCCATCTCCTCTTAGCTGCTAATTCAATTTTAGATTAGACACAGTGGACAAGGACAAGTATGGTGAGAGTCCTGTGATTTCTCACCAGCTTCCTTTCCACATAGGCCGCTGCTTCTCTTCTTCCAAGGTTTTTCCCCGCTTTTGCCTCCTGGAGGTTGTATCCTGGGTGTTAGGAGACTGGGTTCCGGACACATTCCCCACAGAAGGATAGCAGGACCTTAGAAGATCTTTTTCTTTCTTTTCCTGGTTTCCTCTTGTTTGCAAGAGGGTTGAATAGGATGGTCTCTAAAATCCTGTTGTTTTTCTGGGTTATATTAACCCAGGCCATAATGATAAGAACCTGCTCTGAATTCACAACATGTATTTATACAACAGCAATTTAATATTTCTTATTCTGTGGAATGGCTAGGAAGCTCTGCTGGTCTTGGTTGGATGGTTTTTTGTTTGTTTTTTTTTGAGACAGGGTCTCGCTTTGTCGCCCAGGCTGGAGTGCAGTGACGCCATCAGCTCTCTGCAACCTCCACTTCCCAGGCTCAAGTGATTCTCTTGCTCAGCCTCCCGAGTAGCTGGGACTACAGACACATGCTACTGCACCCAGCTAATTTCTGTATTTTTAGTAGAGATGGGGTTTCACCATGTTGCCCAGGCTGGTCTCGACCTCCTGAGCTCAAGTGATCCACCCACCTTGGTTTCCCAAAGTGCTGGGATTACAGGTGTGAGCCACCGTGCTCGGCTGGTTTTTCTTAAGGTCTCACCTGGGTTCACTTGTGTGGCTGAATTCAGCTGGTGGTTTGGCAGGGGCTGGATGCAGTTACAACAGAGGATCTGTCTCTTTAAATAACTACCCTTCATCCCCAAAGAGGCCAGACCAGCTCCTTCACAGTGCTCCAAGAGAGCAAGCCATGACGCCCAAGCATTTTATCCAGCCTCTGCTTGCTTCAGTTTGCTAAGGTCCCACTGGCCAAAGCAGATTACATGGCCAGGTCTAATGTCAATATGAAGGGGGCACTCCACAAAAGCGTGAACATGTAAGGCATGACTCATGAGGGTCACTAATGTAATAGTCACCACAACCTCCATGCTAAGTTACCTATATTCTCCAGTGAGGATTTCTCAAGGTGGTTTTGTTCATAGTCTTCTAATAGAATTATTTGGAATTATCAGTTTAATATGCTTATGATGTATTTCACTGGAACCATACAGGTTTTGATTCGCAGAGTTGGGAGCCCTGGGTAGATACTGAATCAGACTAAGTTTAATCACAGAAATTATTCCTGCGTAAGTCTGATCTTATGTTTTCAAGATAGCATTGTAAAATTCAGAGTATGTTACCATCCCCCTTTGAGACCTCTGCTGTTTTTAATAAATGGAAGCATTTGGGAATACTATTTGGTAATAGTTTATTAAAACTACTTCAGAGATATTCTGGACTTTCATATTAGTCTTAGATATGGATTAATAAACATTAGCAATGAATCTGTTATCTAAGAGAAAAATTTAAATTTATATTACAACAGTGGAATATAATGTTTAATAACTTGTGTTGGGGGGATTATGTGTTTTGTTTGTTTTTTTTTTTAGCTCTTCAGAGAAGTAAGAATAATGAAGATTTTAAATCATCCCAATATAGGTACTTTCTGCTTTTTTAAATATTTTGGGGTCTAAATACGTACTTGAAATTATGTCATAAAGCTAAACACGTATTCTAGAAATGGTAGAGTACACTTCTAGTAAAATATATATACAAGTTGTTGATCATTTGTATTAGCTTTTTGAAATTGCTGAAGACAGGTTAAAAGCTTAGGTATTAAACGTTGAATTTAAAGCTTTAATCTGGTAGAAACATCTGTACTCTGATTATAATTTTCTAATTTTTAAGTATATTAGAAAATATAATTGTATTGCATGAGTAGATAGAAGGGAATTATAGGAAGTCAGAATTAATATTTTCAAAGGGGCTGGGCACAGTGGCTCATGCCTGTAATTCCAGCACTTTGGGAAACCAAGGCAGGAGGATTGCTGGAGGTCAGGAGCTCAAGACCAGCCTAAGCAACAGAGCGAGACCCCGTCTCTCCAAAAAAAAAAAAAAAAAAAGTAATAATAATAATAAACTTAAAAATTTGTAAAAAGAATATTTCAGAGGTCCAATACTTTTTGCTGTGTGCCCTAAGAAAATACTTATTTGAAAGATGGAATACTTGCTATCTAATGGAATTGTGATAGGAATTATTTTATAAATCAAAGATTTGTTTTCTGTGTCCTCTGTGTGCACAACTCTGTGCTGGGTGCTAGTAGGTGTGTTTAAAGATGAGGAAGGAGCGACATGGTCCTACCCTTAGAGTAACTGTAGAAACAAGAAGAGAATAAGCAAATGACTTAATACTGACCCAAGAAAAACTTTTGATCCCATATGCATTGTAATAGGGCTTTTAAAAAATTACATAACTGCTTTTTTGTATAGTGATAGATCATACAATCTAAAAATAATATTTCAAGAATGAAATCACTCTTAAGACAGCCCATAATCAGCTTAACTGTCAACATCAGTTTTAGGAAATGAAAGGATTGATGTTTAGTATCAAGGATAGCCTATCAAGAATGCATCAGGCACAAGAATAGAAGAGTAACACAGAACCACCACAGGAAGAAAGAAGCTTTTACAGAGAGCTGCTTTTTTAACAAAAGGCGTATGCCCTATTTCATCAGTCTAAACCACCATTACTTTAAAGGTGTTCTTGTTTCCTTGTTTCATATACTACTAAGAGAAATGCTAGCAAGCCTTCATCCTGATATCAGGGATATTAATTAAAATGTGAAAAAAAAATTTAGAATCAATAAGTATGGTTGAAGAAAAAACCACGGAACAACTTCATAGTTGGATTAAAAAAAAATCACAAGGAATATAATAGTGGGAAGAAAATCTTGTTTCCTTGATTTTCATTTCAATCCTTTGGGGCTAGCTAGCCAACTCTGGATTTCAAATTCCAACTTTTCACACCCGTCCTCCCGCCCCCCACAAAAAAACTTTATCACTGTTGCCTAGAACAAGCTAACGTAAACATGTTTATTTTGTCTTTTAATTACTTAAATTGTGACCTGATTAGAGTTTTGTACTTAAAACTTGACATATCTTTGATAATAAATTGAACTTTTAAAAAATTCCTATTGCATTAACATAGTTTTCCCAGAAGACCCAAAGTTTCGTTGGAAGATTAGAAGAGTTTTATTTTCATGCAGCTTACCAACACATGTGCCTTAACTTTCTGAAGTGGCTTTTCTTCACAGTCTGAACGTATCAGAGTCTAGGGAATGGTATGATAGCTTTATTCATCAGTTCATCAAACATTTACTGACTGCTATGTTAGGCATTTTGTTTGGCCTGATACTCTATTAAAGCCTCAGAAAATTGCTTGAAATATAAAACACTAGCATACCCCCCAGTTTTGGGTAAACTTAAAGTAAATATTAACATAATAAAGTAGATATGCACAATGGTGATTTGATAGCTTCAGGGATTTACTCCAGTTTCATTTTTAAAGTGTGTGTGTGTGTGTGTGTGTGTGTGTGTGTGTGTGTGTGTATTCTTTTTTTTTTTTTTTTTTTTTTTTTTTGAGACAGGGTCTAGCTCTGTTGTCCAGGCTGGAGTGCAGTGGCATGATCTCAGGTCACTGCAACCTCCACCACACTGGCTCAGGCCATTCTCCCACCTCAGCCTCCCGAGTAGCTGGGACTACAGGTGCATGCCGCCATACCCAGCTAATTTTTGGCATTTTTTTGTAGAGAGGGAATTTTGCCATGTTGCCGAGGGTGGTGTCCAACTCCTCAGCAGAAACGATCCACCCGCCTCAGCCTCCCAAAGTGCTGGGATTACAGGTGTGAGCCACCATACTCAGCCAAAAATGTATATATTTCTAATAAGGTTTTATGAATTAGCAGTGATAGAAATATTTCCATCTGTAACAAAAGACTGCTGTAGGAAAATCACCCTGACCTACTGAAAATGATTCTTATAAAAAAGATTCCCCCCCTCAATTAATTGCAGTATAATCCCTCTACTTCTTTCCATCTTTGGCATCAGAAAAGTAACAAAGGAACCTTGTTCTTTGAAAGTTGTCATAAGTTTCCCAAGCAATAAAGGTCTCAAATAGAATTACATCCTTAAAGCCATAATCATAAGCAGCTAGATTTGCATTTGTTGGAGCAGAGTAGAACTGAGCAGTTGCTGCAGGCTGACCACTTTTCCTGGGGTGCTGGGAGGGCAGCTAGCCAACACAGACATGCTGAAGGACAGTGAGGGTGACAGAGGAAGTGAGCTCAGGTACACCTTGCTGGACTGCTGAGCACATATGGAAGTCACACTGAACATTCAGAAATTATTTTTATGGAATTCCATGCTTTCATAGACTCTTTTCTGTTGTTGTGGTATTTGATAAAATTCCCTAAAAGCATTTTTTAGAGGGCCAGCTATTAAAATCTTTAACAGGGAAAAGGTTGCTTTTCATAGTTAGAGTTTATATGTGCATGGTTTGTGCATACAGACATTTGTCTCTTTTTCTTCCGTGTCCTCTCCTCTCCCGCAGTGAAGTTATTCGAAGTCATTGAAACTGAAAAAACACTCTACCTAATCATGGAATATGCAAGTGGAGGTAAGAACATTTTTATATATATTGGGTTTTTTTTCTTTCTCCCTTTTAAAAAAATACACAACCATACTGCCCATATGGGTCATCATTAAGGTCTCATTTAACGTCCAGAGCCATAATACGCTAGGATGAGAGTCGGAAAAGCTGACTCTTAGCACTTCTAGGGGTTGCCATGAAGTGTTTCACTATTAGCATTGTTAATTGGTAATATCTAAATACCTGGATATTTTTTGTGGTAAAACATGCATCACTGAAAATTATCGTTAAAATCATTTTTAGGCGCACAGTTCAGTGACATTAGCATGTTCACGTTGCCCTCACCACCACCCATGTCCAGAATGTTTTCATTTTCTAACACGAAACTCTATACCCATTAAACACTAACTCTCCATTTCTCCTTCTCCCAGTCCTTGGCAACCATTCTCCTTTCTGTCTCTATGAATTTGACTACTCTTGGAACCTCATACAAGTGGAATTTTACAGGATTTGTCTTTTTTTTTTTTTTTTTTGAGACGGAGTCTCGCTCTGTCGCCCAGGCTGGAGTGCAGTGGCGCGATCTCGGCTCACTGCAAGCTCCGCCTCCCGGGTTCACGCCATTCTCCTGCCTCAGCCTCCCGAGTAGCTGGGACTACAGGCGCCCGCTACTACGCCCGGCTAATTTTTTGTATTTTTAGTAGAGACGGGGTTTCACCGTGTTAGCCAGGATGGTCTCGATCTCCTGACCTCGTGATCCGCCCGCCTCGGCCTCCCAAAGTGCTGGGATTACAGGCGTGAGCCACCGCGCCCGGCCAGGATTTGTCTTTTTGTGTCTGGCTGATTGATGCAGCATAGTGTCCTCAAGGTTCATCCATGCTGTAGCATGTGTCAGAATTTCATTCCTTTTTAAGGCCGAATAATACTCCATTGTGTGTGTGGGACACACACCTCACATTTTGTTTATCTTGAGTATGTGGCTATTTAAACATATGAATGCTTAGTCTGTTTGAAACAAATGTGTGCTTTGGTTTAGATGCTTTTCTTTACCAGATTTTAATGTCGCTGGTGTCTGTCTTCCCCAAGGCCAGAAATGATGGTTACAGTACACATCACTAGAGTTTCCTTAAAATAAAGATTAATGACTAGTAACTATTTGCCTATGGTTTTGTAAAAATGTAGACATTTTCTGAAATGCGTGTTTATAGCTGCTGTCTTTTATAATGATTTGTATTTTATGGTTGAGATTGGGCTGGGTTTGTAGTTTGCGACCACACGTGAGTTTCATTGTCTGTGAAGGGCAGAAGCTTTCTTGTTCATCTTTTTGTGTCCCCTGCCTCTAGCACACTGCCTGGCACACAGCAGATACTCAACAGATAAGAATTAGACTGCATTTAGGAATTATAAACTACTGGGTACACATTCTGTTAAACTCTATCGTAATTTTATCATTAGCACTTTGATCCATGTTACAAAACCTGAAGATAGAAAGTTGGATTATAGTCTCATTTGAGTGAGTTTACCATTGAAAATAAAAAGATTGTAAACCTGTTGTGGAAAACAATGAGTTGTAGTAAGCATACCTTTGACACCACTTTTTTATACTCCTAATTCATTATTAGTTGTGTATTTTATACTTTATATATGTCTAGTTTGGGAATTTCATTGGGATTTTCAAAACTTCAGGGGTAGTAGAAAGAGGGGAAGGTTAATTTCAGGACCAAAAAGCTTTATGGAGTTCTAATACTTTCTGTGGGCAAACAACACAGAGTAATGTTCATAGCCCTCACGTTGTACAGCCTCTACAGTGTACAAGGTGCTTTCTCTTACCAGATCTCCTTTGACCTTCACAGCGACTCCATGCTGTGGCCAGGCAGTGAGCGATGGGCTTTTTACCCATGAGGAAATGGAGGCTGGGAAGTCTCACTGTGGGCGCTCTGGGCCTGGACCGCCAGTGCTCTGACAGCAGATAGCCTTTCTAGTTTGTTGGTCAGTCACGGCTTTCTGTTCCCATCTGTTTTAGCTACCCAGGTCACAGAGATTACTCATATAGGGGCAAGACAAAAACATCTAAGAGTCATCCAGGTTTAGTAGAAAGAGGATGGGCTCTGGAAGAGACAGACATGGAGTGAATCCAGCCAGTGGCCCTCATTGGCCATGTGACCTGGCAAGTAACATGTGCTGAGCTGAGCTTCACGGTGAGCATAGGAACCCCCTCTGAGGGCTCAGTGCACTTGGCAACATTGTAAGAGCCTTTAATCATTTAATCGAAGGTGGTGGTTCTGTATTACCTTGGGTTTTTTTTTTTTTCTTTTTGGAGACAGGGTCTCACTCTGTTGCCCAGGCTCAAGTGCAGTGGCGCCATCTCAGCTCACTGCAACCTCTGCTTCCTGGGTTCAAGCAATTCTCCTGCCTCAGCTTCCTGAGTAGCTGGGACTGCAGGCGCACACCACACCTGGCTAATTTTTCTAATTTTTATAGAGACAAGGTTTTGCCACATTGGCCAGGCTGGTCTTGAACTCCTGACCTCAAGTGATCCACCTGCCTTGGCCTCCCAAATTGCTGGGATTATAGGTGTGAGCCACAGCACCTGGCCTCTTTAACAGTGTTTTGTTGAGTTTATTAAAACAATTTCCGGGACATATGTTTTATTGTTGATGTGTTTGCCATTGTGAAAAGTTTTATTAAATTGGCCACCCATTCCACCATTGCATCTCCCCCACCCGCCAGCCTGCTGCCTTTTGATTTGGTAAACTCATAGAATTTTAGAATTGAAAATAATCTTAGAAATTTTAGGGCAGCGGTCTAATTTTTACAGATGAAACTGAAGCTCAGAAAGTTTGTTCTATGCCAAGGGGTCCATAGCTAGTTAGTTTCAGGACCTGAACTAGAACTAAGGGCTTTCTGAACTGGCCTGTCAGTGTCCTTCCATCCAGCCACCTGTTCCTGCCCAGGCAGGAGAGCCACTCTTTGCTTCTTGTTTCTTTTATCTCTAATAAATAGCCTTAGTATTTTTCAGTTCAGCTGCTTAACCTGAATGTTAATACATTTTTAATAAGGAAAAAAGATCTGGATTGAATTCCTGGTTTAAAAGTTGAACTCCTGAATTATAATTTAGTAATTATGAGTGTGACATATGGTTCCACAAATCTCTTAAGAGGTTTGTATTGAATTCAAATTTAGAAAAAAAAATCTGTCAATTATATTGACAGACTTGGATTTTATCTGTGTTACTCTACAACAGCTGGTAGGCTTAATCGTTTAATTTTTTTAAGTGAAAACTCTCCTATATGATATTCACTCATGTTTAGTTGTTTTTGCTTATTAACCACTTGTTTTGACATTGTGTGCTTTTCTGCAAATAGGTCATTCGCATAGAAAATGCTGACACTTTACCGAGCTGACATTTAACTTCATAATTCATCATAGTTAAGTGAATTGTGTCGTGTAAACTTGACAGTATGTAATGCCTTTTAAAAGATCATTATGCAGGCTGGGCACGGTGGCTCACGCGTGTAATCCCAGCACTTTGGGAGGCCAAGACGGGCAGATCACTTGAGGCCAGGAGTTCGAGACCAGCCTGGCCAACGTGGTGAAACCCCCATCTCTACTAAAAATACAAAAATTAGCCGGGTGTGGTGACGCACGCCTGTAATCCCAGCTACTCAGGAGGCTGAGGCACGAGAATTGCTTGAACGTTGGAGGCAGAGGTTGCAGTGAGCCAAGATCGGGCCACTGCACTACAGCCTGGGCAACAGCACAACTCTGTCTCAAAAAAAAAAAAAAAAAAGCATTATGCAATCAAGTAATAACATGAAAATATTTGTGCCCATTCATTATGTAAAATTTATTCTTTCAGAGTTAGGGTTAATAAGAGTTTCAAAGTCAGATAATTGTGTAATTCATGATGACTTTCAAGTATCAAAATATTTTAGTTTAATATTTTCACTAAGCTGATGGAGGTATTCCTTATTTGTATGAAGTAAAGATGTTTCCTGAAAACACTTATATCTAATTTTCTAAATTAGTATTCTTTTCTATTGATTTCAGAGGTGGTGATTCTTTATTCTACATTGATAAGCAGTTGACAGTGCTAATAATATATTCCTTGAAGTGTCACCTTTCTTCCCTAAATAATTAATGTTGTGTAAACTGCCACCTAGGCGTGCATCAGCTGGTTCTGTTGTTTTCACCTCCATTGTATCCTGAGCTCCTACTTCTCACCACCACTGTGCTTCCCACTCTAGTCCCCGTCACTTTCATGATTGGTTTGATTATTGTACTGATCTCCCTCTTGGTCTTCCTGTCCCTTCCCGTCATTGGAAGCCTCTTCCCCGCTAGCAGCCAGTGATCCTTTTAAGAGGTCAGTCTTTTTTCATCTCTGCTTCTCATCTCACTTGTAGTAGAGCCAGAGTCCTCACCACGGCCTACAGGACTCTTCCTAGCCTCATGAACTACCCTCTTCCCCTCATTCACACTTCTCCAGCCCTGTGGCCTTCTTGCTCTTTCTCTTAATTACTGTGGAATCTTACCCCAGATAACTACATTGTCCACACCCTCAAGTAGTCAGCAAAACACAAGGGTGTGCACACACAGGCTCACTTGTCTGTCTCTCCTACTTTTTCTCCACAGCACTTACTGTCCTCTGATACACTATATGTTTATTCATTTATTGCCCCCTCCCCCAACTAGAATGTAAACTCTATGAGGAAAAGGATCTTGTGTTCACTGCTGCATCTCCCCAGAACCTACCTAGAACAGTGCCTTGCAGTTAGTAGACATTCAGGAAATATTTGTTGAATGAATGAATATACTCAGGAAATGCTTTGTTGTCATAATCCTGCAGTGAGGATGTCCTCTTCTAACACAAATAACTTCATCCATTTTAATTTTCTGTTTTAATTGCTTAGTTTTTATTAAAGCCTATTGAAAACGCTCTTTAAAATAAGAGTTATATAATTTAAGTATAGGGAATTTAATTTTAAGGCTTTTCTTCAGCTTAAAGATTTTGTTGGTGAATTTAAATGCCTGTAGTTAAAGCCAGCTTAGTTCAAATTCCACATATTTCTGGCTAACTTTATATCTATATTTAAAAATTAGAGCATTGCTAAAAGTGAAACATCAATTTATGGGAAAATTAATACTCAGAAGTAGGATTTCTACTTACTTTTATTTCTCTCACCTATAGGTGAAGTATTTGACTATTTGGTTGCACATGGCAGGATGAAGGAAAAAGAAGCAAGATCTAAATTTAGACAGGTATGAATTAATGTGTCTTTACTATGTCAATTTGATAATTTATCTCACTTAAACCCTGAAGCAAACAAGTGTTTGCCTCCATAAATGCTTATAAGGCCTGTTGGATGGCAGGGGTTGGCCATTCAATTCAACAAAAATTGATGAAGAACTTTTCATACCTAAGGCACTGTGCTGGAGGCAGCCATGGTTCTATTCCTAGCTTTGTAATGGGAGCATTAGTCTTATACTTAACCTTCCCTTTTTACAACTGAGCCTTAAAAATCTAGAGCCTTTCAAAAACACCTGTGATTACATTAATTAAAGCCATTTCAGAGTTTTTAGCAAGCAGAATGTCAGAACCCCAAAATTCATTATTAGCTTTGTCTGACATAAACCAAGGCCAAGTGTAACTGAAACTGTTAATTAGTAACTTTACTTCTTGCTTTGTTTTTACTCTGCTTTTTAAAGAGACTCGGGTTTTAATAAGCAGGTTTTAAGCAAACAGGTTACTTGACTCTCCTGTCTTTATTAATAATAATTACTGTTATCTATTGACCATGCCACACACTGAGATAAGTACTTTACCAACATTAAGGTAAATCTTACAGCTGCCTTGTGAGTTAAGGACTGTTATATCCATTTGCTAAAAAATAAGACAACTGAGACATGGGAAGATTAAATAACTTGCCCAGAATTGCCTTTCTTTTTTTCTTTTTCCCCCTTATTGTGGAGAACGGGGTCTCGCTGTATTGCCCAGGCAGGTCCCAGAATTGCCTTTCAAGTAGGAGACCTGCCATAGACTCAGAGTCCCAAACCCTCTGACCCCAAAACTCAGATTTGCAATCATTATATTGTGCTATTATTTAGACTGGGAATCAGCAAACTTCTGTAAAGGGCCAGATAGTGAACATTTTAGGCTTTGTGGGCCACACTGTCTCTGTCGCAACTATTTAACTCTCTTGTTGTAGCTTAGAAGCAGTCGTAGGCTGGGTGCGATGGCTCATGCCTGTAATCCCAGCACTTTGGGAGGCTGAGGTGGGCGGATCACCTGAGGGTCAGGAGTTCGAGACCAGCCTGGTCAACATGGTGAAAACCCTGTCTCTACAAAAACACAAAAATTAGCCGGGCATGATGGCAGGTGCCTGTAATCCCAGCTACTGGGGAGGCTGAGGCAGGAGAATCGCTTGAACCTGGGAGGCGGAAATTGTAGTGAGCCAAGACCGTACCATTGCACTTCAGCCTGGGTGACAGAGACTCCATCTCAAAAAAAAAAAAAAAAAAAAAGAAGCAGCAGCTGTAGACAATACCAAATGAATGAACGTGACTGTGTTCCAACAAAACTTTATTTACAAAAACAGGGATGGGCCGGATGTAGCCAGAGGCCATAATTTGCCAACCCCTGATTTAGACGAAGGAAAGGAGCAGTGCTTCACTGCTTTTAAATTAATTCTGTATTCTCACAAGGCCTACATTGAAATGGAATTATAGCCTCATTTTTTCTTAGAACCTTTATATTTTGTTTTATTCATATACAGGGTTGTCAAGCTGGACAGACTATTAAAGTTCAAGTCTCCTTTGATTTGCTTAGTCTGATGTTTACATTTGTAAGTGATAGGACTTATTAAGTTTCTTATAAACGTTGCTTATATTTTGCTGTTGCTTAAATACTAATGGTACTTTGAATTCAAATCTAGTAAAACCAAAGTAAAAATCAGCTTTGGCTATCATTTAACTTCTCTGATCCTGTTTTTAAAGCTATAAAAAAAAAAGAAATTATTCTTGATGAATTCCATAGTTCTTTGCAATTCTAATATAATTTGATTGTATGGTCTATTAAAGGAAATTCAGATTTTTATTAGAAAAAAAGTGTGTGGCTCTTTCCATAACTGTACTCTTAATTTTTATAAATTGGCCACCTAAAAGGGAACATTTTTTTGCTTCATACAATTTACATTCCTTCCTACTCAGATGAATCTGACTTGCAAACATGTGTGAAGATGGCTTATTGACTATGAGGAAGGGGCTGGTGTCACCCAGCAAGAGCTTACTAACCTAAATCTTGAGGAAATTACTCTAATTTTTATTGTAAATTCCCTGCAGAAATTCTGAAGCCTTTATTTGAGGAGCCTGTTAGTTGGACTAGGAAAGATGGTTTGTATGTATGTGTTTTTTCAATTAGCAAATTGATTTAGAGTGCTTTAGAATTGACCCTTTCTTCCATGGTATTTGCCTAAAACAGCTCCATTAGACTTGGAAGGATACGCATCATATTGGTGTTTCCACTTTTCTGTTTCAAATGCTGTGGTTTCTTTGTTTTTTCGTTTTTGAGATGGAGTCTCCCTCTGTCACCAAGGCTGGAGTGCAGTGGCCCGATCTCAGCTCACTGCAACCTCCGCCTCCCAGGTTCAAGCAATTCTCCTGCCTCAGCCTCCCAAGTAGCTGGGATTACAAGTGTGCACCACCACGCCCAGCTAATTTTTTATTTTTTTTTTTGTAATTTTAGTAGAGACAAGGTTTCACCAGTGTTGGCCAGGCTGGTCTCAGACTCCTGATCTCAAGTGATCTGCCCTCCTCAGCCTCCCAAAATGCTGGGATTACAGATGTGAGCCATCGTAATGTGGCCTCAATTTCTGTGCTTTCTAGGAGCTTATAAGTCATAATTACTTTGACTAAGTAAAACAAGTTTTTCTATTTATGACAAAAAGGAAGGTATGCCACACACAAAGTACACTGTGTGTGATCCCTTTTCCATATTCATCACCAGATGGGTTTTCCCCTTCTGCTTCCTTCACCATGCCCATCCTAGTTACTGCTTATGACATTTTAATTTTTTGGTTGAGCTCATTCTTTTCCAAGAAAAAGAATAGATTTCCAGCTCCATCTTTTTTTTTTTTTTTTTTTTTTTTTTTTTTTGAGACAAATCTCGCTTTGTCGCCCAGGCTGGAGTGCAGTGGCGCGATCTCGGCTCACTGCAAGCTCCGCCCCCTGGGTTCACGCCATTCTTCTGCCTCAGCCTCCCAAGTAGCTGGGAATACAGATGCCTGCCACTACGCCCGGCTAATTTTTTGTATATTTAGTAGAGACAGGATTTCACTGTGTTAGTCAGGATGGTCTCGATCTCCTGACCTCGTGATCCACCCGCCTCGGCCTCCCAAAGTGCTGGGATTACAGGCGTGAGCCACGCGCCCGGCACAGCTCCATCTTTTTTACTTACCTCTTTATTGGTGGGCTGGTAATATTGATGATTTGACGCTCTTTTATGTATGATTGAAAGTGAATTAGGTTAAATCATAGTTTAACCTAAATAACATCTGTTAGAAATCACCATTTCTACCTGGTAATAGAATGCAAAAAAAGCAGTAAGTTCAAGTTGAGTCTTTTCAGCTTATTGTGGCATCAGGTTAGCTTTGAGCTGTTTTGGAGCTAAAGAGAGAGAGAAATCCTTTGATCTCTTTGAGAAAGGGCAGGAAATCAAATCTGCTTCAAAAGCAGAATTTGAAAATAACCTGTAAGAGAAATCTCAATATGAGGAAAAACTAATATAAATTCTGAATGAGAAAAGGAAAAAGATTAGATAAAATTTACCTGTGTCCTAGGTGACAAAGCTATGACTTTGTTTTGGGAAAACAAAGCTATTTTACTTTTCAAGTTTTCATGCTGACTGAATAGAACAATAGTGATAAATCCAAAGTAACAGATGCTCTAAAACCCGTTTTTTGGCATTGGAATTTTTGTACCTTTTGTTAATTATAAGTGGGTCTGATATTCTGAATGTTAATTTTAAATAATGAAGCTGCTTAGTAAAGTGCTGATTTTTGTTATCATCTCATCCTAACCCCAGTTCACCTTGTCCTTGCTGCTTATTCTGAACCAAAATATTATACAGCCCTCTGAGATTTTATGTCCACGGGTGGGTCCATGGGGCTTAGAGCTAAGAGTTGATGATGATTTGGAGGAACCAACAGTAATTTTATTATAACCTCAGTTTTGTGTATATGTAATCATATGTGTCTAAATATACATGCAGAATACCAAAGAAAAGACTAGATGCAAGTACAGCAAAATAGCAAGACATGTTACCTCTGCTTAGTGGTAATGCAGGAATATATTTCTATAGACTTTTCTGTATTTCCTGAAATTTCTACAATGACCATATAAAGCTTTAATATTAGAAGACTTTTTTTAAGTGACCGTAAGTGTGAAATTTCAGTAAAACAATTGTTTAATCATAGGCATGACTGCAAGTTGACTAAATAAAAGCATACTATTTACTGAAAGTGGGAGGAATCCTTAATAGTGCACGTAGTAGTTTTCATAGTTCACGTACGTCGCAACATTCATTCCTCCATTTTAATAAAGGAAGAGGAAACTGACCCTCAGAGAAGTTAACTAACTTTTGCTTTCCATGATCCACATCAGTTAGAAGGAAGACTGTTGCAGGGAGCAGGCTGAGAAGGGCACTTACAGAAGAGAGCCAACCTGGATTAACACCTGGGTATGGGCAACTCTCTAACCGCTGGTTTGGTTTGGAGTTGACTCTATGGGTATGGAAAGGTTGCACCAGGCCGGGCGCAGTGGCTCACACCTGTAATCCTAGCACTTTGGGAGGCTGAGACTGGCGGATCACCTGAGGTCAGGAGTTCGAGACCAGCCTGGCCAACGTGGTGAAACCCCATCTCTACTAAAAATACGAAATTGGCCGGGCATGGTGGTGCACACTTGTAATCCCAGCTACTCGGGAGACTGAGGCAGGAGAACTGCTTGAACCTGGGACGGGGAGGTTGCAGTGAGCCAAGATCATGCCATTGCACTCTAGCCTGGGTGACAGAACGAGACTCTGTTAAAAAAAAAAAAAAAAAAAAGTTGCACCAGAGCCATCGGAGCCTAGGGGCAGCCAGGGTCCTCCAGATCTAGGCAATTTGTTGGGTCCTGGCACTACACTGTAAGTGGAATGTCAACGGATAGGGTCCAAAAAGAGACTTCAGTTAAAACAGTAGAAAACGGAAGAACGTCCTCACCTATTTGTTTTTGCCCTCACCCATGAATTTCTCCAGACTGGAAAGTTCAAGGCATAGGAAAATTGTTTTTAGAAATCCACACGGACATTCGAGCGTATACTGAGTATTCATTATGTGTGAACATTAACAAAGTTATTTTCATCTTAATTACGAATCTGCACCAGTGATGACTGACTCTGCGTCTCTCCTATTCAGATTGTGTCTGCAGTTCAATACTGCCATCAGAAACGGATCGTACATCGAGACCTCAAGGTGAGTAGAAGTGCCTCACTCAGTGTATGCTCTGTCTGTTTGTGTGCAGTTCTCTCAGTGGTCATTACACAAATGAGGTATAGATTAGCCTTATTAGCATTTTTTAAAATCCCACAATAATTGAATCCTCTTAATCAAGTTATGGGAAAGAGCATTAAAAATAAAGAAAAATAAAGGTTATTGAAAGTATTTTACATTTCAGTTACGGTGACTGGTGGTTGATCTCTGGAGAACAGTCATCACACAGCCAAACAAATGTGGGCCTCCAGAAATGTATGGTCACGCCCACAGCATCCTCAGTGCCACCCGGCATTCATTTCTGCTGCTTTCATCAGTATTCTCTCCCGTTAACAGCAGTGCCTGTTTGAGACCTCTTTCAAGGTCCTCAGCCTCTGCCCTCACTCTGGCATAGGATGAGGTTTCGTATCGCACAGAGAAAATAGAAACACCATGCAGAAACTCTCATTTTCTACCAGGCCCTCAAACCTAGCAGCACCTACCCCCATCCATCACTTCTTTCCTCCTGTTACAGGAAAGTGGGGTGCTTCTGCTCTGAGCTCTGGGTCCTGATTCCCTCTGGGGGCTGTGCTCTGTCTGATGCCTCTTTTCTCTCCGTTTGTTTATTCACTCTCCTTCTCTACTGGCTTTTCACCAGCAGCATTTACACATGCTCAAGTCTATATACCTTTTTTTTTTTTTAACTAAAAAGCCATGCCTGTTCCTCTTTCAGATACACGCTTTTTCTCTCTTCCCTTTCATAGCCATATTTCTCTAAACATTTCCTAGATTCTGTGTCTTAACTTGGCACTCACTTTCACTCTCCCCTTACGTAATTGCCATTGACTTGCTTGTTCTCTGCACCCGCCCCTAGAGCATTCACATTCACTCTCTCAACTGCAGTGGCCAACTGTATGCTGATGGCCCCAAATCCATTCCTACGGCCAGAGCACTCTTCTGGGATCCAGGACCCAGCTGAGCAAAGGGTGTCTTCATATAAGCATCCCTTGGGTGCAGCAGGTTCAAATCCTATAAACATGAATGTTCACTTCTCATTCAGGTGTCTGATGTCCCTCAAGTACCTTACTCTCCTGTGCTACCCACTCAGTCACCAGGTCCTTTTGCTGCTGTGTTCCAAGTATCTCTTAAGCTCACTCTTTTATGTCCCTGTTACACTATCCAAGGCCAGACCACCATTATCTCATAGGTGATTCCGACACTACTTTCTTATATGTTCTTCTCTGTTTCTAGTGCCTCTTCCTCCCATGTATGTTTTCTACACTGCACCCAAAATGGTCTTTTAAGGAAACACAAATAAGATGGTCATTTCTCTGCTTGAACAACTCTTCATTGGCTTCCCATTGCTCTTACGATGAAAACCCAAACTTCTCAAGTACAATCCTTTGTGATTAAGCCCTGACCATCTCCCCAGCCCCCTCTACACATCTCTATCTCACATACTGTCTTTCAATTTCTTGTGTGAAACATACTGTGTCTCACATGGGTTCTCAGACTCTTTATTCTGCCTGAAATACCCCTCATCAACACATCCATTATGATCAGATGCACCTTCTGGTGCTTTGATTTCACTTCATCTGGGAAGCCATTCACACCTTTCAGTGCCAACCCACAACTCCCTGTGCCTCTTCAGTTATGGCATTTTGTCTCAGGACAGCTGCTTATCATTCTCCTTCTTCCCTTCTAAACTGTGAGCTACTGAGGGTAGGGCTTTATCTGTCTTGTTCATCATTATCCATCCAGACACTAATATAGCATCTGCTGTGGAGTAGCCACATAGGAAATGTTTCTTAAAGTGACTGTGATTTGTCTCTTTTTTTTTTTTTTTTTTTTTTTTTTTGAGACGGAGTCTCACTTTGTTGCCCTGGCTAGAGTGCAGTGGTGCGATCTCTGCTCACTGCAACCTCCACCTCGCAGGTTCAAGCGATTCTCCTGCCTCAGCCTCTCAAGTAGCTGGGATTACAGGCGCCCACCACCATGCCCAGCTAATTTTTTGTATTTTTAGTAGAGATGGGGCTTCACCATGTTGGCCAGACTGGTCTCGAACTCCTGACCTCAGGTGATCCACCCGCCTCAGCCTCCCAAAGTGCTGTGATTACAGGCGTGAGCCACCGCACCCAGCCATGATTTGACTCTTGAATGAGGTTTAGGATTCTCCCCTCCTCATTAACAGCCGTTTTATAGCTATTTAGCCGTTTTTATGAAATGCCCCTTTTTAAAAAAAGTTATTTATGTTTTGAGACAGGGTTTTACTCTGTCACCCAGGCTGGAGTGCAGTGGCACAGTCATAGCTCACTGCAGCCTCAAACTCCCAGGCTTAAGAGGTCCTCCTACCTCAGCCTTCCAAGTAGCTGGGATTGCAGATGTGTGCCACCATACCCAGCTAATTTTTAAAAATCTTTTGTAGAGAAAGGGTCTCACTATGTTGCCCAAGCTGGTCTTGAACTCCTGGGCTCAAGTGAGCCACTGTACCTGGCCCTGCCCCATATTATTCTTGTTTTTTGGTTTTGAGATGGAGTATTGCTCTGTCGCCCAGGCTGGAGTGCAGTGGCACGATCTTGGCTCACTGCAACCTCTGCCTCCCGAGTTCAAGCAATTCTCCTGCCTCAGCCTCCTGAGTAGCTGGGATTACAGGTGTGTACCACCACACCCAGCTGATTTTTGTATTTTTAGTAAAGACAGGGTATCACCATGTTGGCCAGGCTGGTCTTGAACTCCTGGCCTCAGATGATTCGTCCACCTCGGCCTCCCAAAGTGCTGGGATCATAGGTGTGAGCCACCGTGCCCAGCCCCCATATTATTATTATCAATTGAAAAACTCAAGGCTTTTCTTGATCTTGGGACATTGATGTTTAAATTAGTGCTAGAATTAATCTGTACTTCATGTTTGTTATTGTTAATATTATAAAATAAGGAGTTCTGACTTGTCTCCTGTTTTTTTCTCTAGAAAGAATGTTTTCACATTAATTAGGAGGTAACTTCATATCATTACAGAAAGCTTTTCTAAAATGCCTAATCCTGTCATAATTCTAATTCTATTTTGGCTAAATTTCATTTTTGTCTTGATGTTTTCCCTCTAGGCTGAAAATCTATTGTTAGATGCCGATATGAACATTAAAATAGCAGATTTCGGTTTTAGCAATGAATTTACTGTTGGCGGTAAACTCGACACGTTTTGTGGCAGTCCTCCATACGCAGCACCTGAGCTCTTCCAGGGCAAGAAATATGACGGGCCAGAAGTGGATGTGTGGAGTCTGGGGGTCATTTTATACACACTAGTCAGTGGCTCACTTCCCTTTGATGGGCAAAACCTAAAGGTATAAGAAGCTGCACCCATGTACTTCACTAAACTAAAAGAAGTTTCCTAATATTACATGGCTTAATATTTTTAACATTATATCAGTGCGGGGGGTTTCAGGGGGTTTTTTGTTGTGTTTTGTTAACTAAACCTAAAGGTTGACTTACTCGTTTTCTTTCCTCTGTACCTCTCCAAAGGAACTGAGAGAGAGAGTATTAAGAGGGAAATACAGAATTCCCTTCTACATGTCTACAGACTGTGAAAACCTTCTCAAACGTTTCCTGGTGCTAAATCCAATTAAACGCGGCACTCTAGAGGTAATCATGTAGGTGGAAACAAGCAGTAACTTTGGAGAGTCTTTAGAGTGACCTTAGATCTTTGCTTGATTTGTATGCCATACTGGATATATCCTGCGGCTTTTTAAGCAAGAATTGAAACATTAAAAAATATTTTTTGAGTTTATGCTTTGAACGATAGTCAATGAAATGTTGAAAATAAATTTTTGTAAATATTACGGTTATCAGAATATTTCATTTTACTCTGCTAATGAACAGTTTACCTTTTTTAGCAAATCATGAAGGACAGGTGGATCAATGCAGGGCATGAAGAAGATGAACTCAAACCATTTGTTGAACCAGAGCTAGACATCTCAGACCAAAAAAGAATAGGTAATCACTCCATGCCTGCATGTTCATGTGTTTTTGTCTAAGTAACATATTTCTGTTTTGACTCATGTCTGTGCCTAAAATGTGAATAATGGAAAGTTAAGCACAAGTCATATGAACAGTTTATCTGTTCTGTCATATTTAGGAACGTAACTACCTGCAGTTTCCTATAATGGCACCCAGTAACTCTGAAACAAGTGCCCATTTATGTTACAAAATATATGTAATATGTCATCTTTTAGGTCAAATGAAAATTATTTTACCCTACAAAAGAATGATTTCTGGCCGGGCGTGGTGGCTCACGCCTGTAATCCCAGCACTTTGGGAGGCCAAGGCGGGCAGATCACCTGAGGTCGGGAGGTCGAGGCCAGCCTGACCAACATGGAGAAACCCCATCTCTACTAAAACTACAAAATTAGCCAGGCACGGTGGCTCATGCCTGTAATCCCAGCTACTCGGGAGGCTGAGGCAGGAGAATTGCTTGAATCTGGGAGGTGGAGGTTGCGGTGAGCCAAGATCGCGCCATTGCACTCCAGCCTGGGCAACAAGAGTGAAACTCCGTCTCAAAAAAAAAAAAAAAAAAAAGGATGATTTCTTACCCAAACAAAACACATAAACTGTATTATGCCCTTCTTTTAGATATTATGGTGGGAATGGGATATTCACAAGAAGAAATTCAAGAATCTCTTAGTAAGATGAAATACGATGAAATCACAGCTACATATTTGTTATTGGGGAGAAAATCTTCAGAGGTAAGAGTAATCAGAAAGAGCTGAAATACCCTGTATGTAATTATTAGTTTATATAAACTGTTTTCTT
The DNA here is from genome assembly GCF_000001405.40 of Homo sapiens. Taxonomy (NCBI): domain Eukaryota; kingdom Metazoa; phylum Chordata; class Mammalia; order Primates; family Hominidae; genus Homo; species Homo sapiens. Next base: position 103,467,259 of record NC_000014.9, read on the forward strand.
AGTTTTTATCTTTTGAATATTTGTAACATTTGATACATCATTTTTTAGATTTACTTGCAAATAGCAAATCTAAATCCTATGACTATTATAAGCTATTTTAACTTAACCCTTAATGATGGATATTGGCCAGGCGTGGTGGCTCATGCCTGTAATCCCAGCACTTTGGGAGGCCAAGGCGGACAGATCACTTGAGACCAGGAGTTCGAGACCAGACTGGCCAACATAGGGAAACTCTGTCTCTGCTAAAACAAACAAACAAACAAAAAATTAGCTGGGCGTGTTGGCGCTTGCCTGTAATCCCTGCTCCTTGGGAGGCTGAGGCAAGAGAACTGCTTGACCCTGAGAGGCAGAGGTTGCGGTGAGCCAGGATCACGCCACTGCACTCCAGCCTGGGTGACAGAGCGAGACTCTGTCTCAAAAAAAAAAAAAAAAAAAAAAAGATGGATGTTGTCATAAACCTGGTCTTTCATAAATTAACCTGTAGTCATTAATAGCTTAGAAATGACGTAAAGCATCAGATGAAGTAAATACAACATTTAAAGTTATTTGAGAAAGCCTGGAAAGAAAATCATAAATACCTTACCTTTAGTGTCTTTCCAGCCGTCAGAAAACTACTTTTGCTTGAGTTTAGGGTTGTCATTTTTGTACGTTGTGATTCCTCCTCTCTCTGAATGAACGGTTTATGAGAGGTCTGTGTTAATGAAAAGTTTAACTTCCTAATAAGCCATTTGGGTTCGTGTTGTGGTTTGCTCTGTTTTTCTCATTTTCTCTTAGCTGGATGCTAGTGATTCCAGTTCTAGCAGCAATCTTTCACTTGCTAAGGTTAGGCCGAGCAGTGATCTCAACAACAGTACTGGCCAGTCTCCTCACCACAAAGTGCAGAGAAGTGTTTCTTCAAGCCAAAAGCAAAGACGCTACAGTGACCATGGTAAGTTTTGGAGTATCCCAGTGCCTTCTCTTAGAGTCCAGGCAAGAGGTCTCCTAGCACTGGGAAGCATTCTCTTGCTCAGAGCCTGGCTTGATGTCCTTTCTTGGCATTGCTTTCTTTCTTTCTTCTTTTTTTTTTTTTTTTTTTTTTTTTTTTGAGACAGAGTCTCACTCTGTTGCCCAGGCTGGAGTGGAGTGGCACAATTTTGGCTCACTGCAACCTCCACCTCCCAGGTTCAAGCGATTCTCCTGCCTCAGCCTCCTGAATAGCTGGGACTACAGGTGTGTACCACCATGCCTGGCTAAGTTTTGTATTTTTAGTAGAGACGGGGTTTCACCACATTTGGCCAGGCTGGTCTTCAGCTCCTGGCCTTAAGTGATCCACCTGCCTTGGCCTCCCAGAGCGCTGGAATTACAGGCATGAGCCACCGTGCCTGGCCAGCATTTTTTCTTAGTGTTCCTGCAGGTGCTGCCATGATTACATATTACTTCAAGGCTCTTATCTTCTTTATACATGCAGTAGATTTTTGCTGGATAAAGCTTAGTTGAGTGGAAACCTTACCATTTGCCCTTCTAGAACCTCTGCTTTAATCTGTAGTTTTCCTTTTTTTTTTTTTTTTTAAATGGAGATGGGGGTCTCGCTATGTTGCCCAAGCTGGTCTCAAACTCCCAAGTTCAAACTATTCTCTCACCACAGCGTTCTAAAGTGCTAGGATTACAGACGTGAGCCACCATGCCCAGCGCTAGAACTGGGCGCTGTACCGAACTGAATAGAACTGCTAGTCTGTAGTTCTATTCACTCTCTTCACCTCTGCATTGGATTTACTTTGTAGAGTAGCACTGTCCAGTAGAACTTTCTGAGATGATTACAGTTTTGTGTATCTGTGCTGTCCAGTCAAGAAGCTACTGGCCACTTGTGGCTATCAAGTACTTGAACTGAGGAAATGATTTTTACCTTTTTTATTTCTATTTATTTTTTATTATTTTTATTTATTTATTTATTTATTTATTTTTCAGATGGAATCTGGCTCTGTCGCCCAGGCTGGAATGCAGTGGCATGATCTTGGCTCACTGCAACCTCCACCTCCCAGGTCCCAGCAGTTCTCCTGCCTCAGCCTCCTGAGTAGCTGGGATTACAGGCATGCACAACCACACCCGGCTAATTTTTGTATTTTTAATAGAGACAGGGTTTCACCATATTGGCTAGGCTGGTCTTGAACTTGGGAGCTCAAGCAATCCACTCACCTTGGCCTCCAAAAGTGATGGGATTACAGGTGTGAGCCACCGCGCCTGGCCTTATTTATTTGTTTATTTTTTGAGATGGAATTTTGCTCTTGTTACCCAGGCTGGAGTGCAATGGCATGATCTCCGCTCACTGCAACCTCAGCCTCCGAAGTAGCTGGGACTATAGGCACACACCACCACACCTGGCCAATATTGTATTTTTAGTAGAGACGGGATTTCACCATGTTGGCCAGGCTGGTCTAGAACTCCTGACCTCAGGTGATCCACCCACCTTGGCCTCCCAAAGTGCTGGATTACACGTGTGAGTCTGTAATTGGCCTGGCTGATTTTTACCCTTTTAAAATTTTCCTGGCCGGACATGGTGGCTCATGCCTGTAATTCCAGCACCTTGGGAGGCCGAGGCGTGTGGATCACTAGGTCAGGAGTTCGAGACTAGCCTGACCAACGTGGTGAAACCCCATCTCTACTAAAAATAAAAAAATTACCTGGGCATGGTGGTGTGTGCCTGTAATTCCAGCTACTCAGGAGGCTGAGGTAGGAGAATCGCTTGAACCTGGGAGGCAGAGGTTGCAGTGAGCCAAGATCGTGTGACTGCACTCCAGCCTAGTGACAGAGTGAGAGTCCATCTCAAAAAAAAAAAAAAAAATTTGTACTTAAGTGTAATATATAGCCAGTTGTGGCCAGTAACTCTCATAATAGACAGGACAGCCCTGGAGAATATATGGAACCTCAGTTTTGCCTTAATTGGTTTAAATGTTGTACTGTGTCATTCTCATCCATACTCTTGCTGTTAGTGTGGTTAAGCCACTCTCCCTTTTAAACTTCACCTAGAAGCCAGTCCTTTATGAGACATAAGACTCCCAGTGGGTAGGCTTACCAGGCTCTACAGTTGCTCTGCCTTCAAGGCAGCCTGTGTGTCAGAGTCCTGAGGCTAGCGTGTGTGTTTACTTGCCCATAACTATAAATGTTAACATTGCAGATATTTCCTTTAATTCTACTATTCCAGGATTCAGGAACTAAATCTATTTTTTTTTTTTTTTTTGAGATGGAGTTTCACTCTTGTCACCCAGGCTGGAGTGCAATAGCGCGATCTCGGCTCACTGCAACCTCCGCCTCCTGGGTTCTAGCAATTCTCCTGCCTCAGCCTCCCGAGTAGCTGGGACTACAGGCATGCATCACCATGCCCAGCTAATTTTTTTATTTTTAGTAGAGACGGGGTTTCACCACATTTGGCCAGGCTGGTCCCGAACTCCTGAACTCAGGTGATCCATCCACCTCAGCCTCCCAAAGTGCTCGGATTACAGGCATGAGTCACTGCGCTCGGCCTCATTTTATTTCTCTTCTCTGGACATTTTCCATCTTAATACTTTCATCTTGAGATTTGACACTTAGGACTGCACAGGGCATTTTAGGTGTGGACAGCTTTGATTTTGTACTAAAAATGATTACACTTGGCTTGATTTCCATTTCTCTTCCTTCTGTTGCTTGCCTTTCTACATGGTTTAGACTGAAGCAACAGTGTACTAATATCACTAGTAAACCATCTACAGTGCCTGCTATTCTAGGGTGTAACTGAGAGCTCAGAACTCATTCTCACATCAGGATTTGTGCTCCTAGCATTTGTAGGTGACGTGTTGATCTAGGTCTGCCTTTTTTGTGTTCATGTTAGTCACTAACAAGGGGGGTTTCTAGTGCTTATGGACCACATGGCAATTAAATGCCCATATATTGCCCTGAAACCATCTGGTTTAACTTGTCCCTCAATCCTAGAAGAAACCTGACAATGGGATTTTCACATTTCTCTAAGGAATATGTTAGTAAGTTATTCCTTAAGCACATAGATTCCATCCAGATTATTAGTGCCTTTTTCCCCCCAGCTCAATTTTAGAGATAAAAAGAGCTTTAGACATGGTATTGTACACTCACCAAACCTCTGTTTTATCCCTAAATAGACCAAGAGAGATTACCAAGTCTCCCAAGGTTACATAGTAAATGAGAAACACCTGGGGCAGAGCTCAGGCCTGCTGGTCCAAGCCCTGTGTTTTTTCTCCACTGAAGCACCTCATTGGAGTAGCTTTTTCATAATCCTCATCTTTCTTGGAATTTCTGAAGGCAGGCAAGCCTGTATAGCCGGGCTAACTTTCACCTCATCCTCCTGCCTCGTCTCACCTCTCCCTTCCCTTTTCCTTGCCTGTGGATGCTGACCTCTGCATGGGTGCCTGCTTCTCTAAAGCTACGATGTAATCTGTAGCTGTCCTTCCTCGTTTGAGACCCACATGTGAACACCCCATATGTGTGCACTTTTTCTGCGAATGGTGATCATCTGATTTTCAAGGGGTTAGCTTGTTTTTTAAAAAATGAAAAAAAAAATCACTGTTTACTAATCAATGAGTGGTATTGGGGCAATTTGGTAGTTCTCAGAAAAAAAATTAATTTGGATCAATTTCTCACATCTTATACAAGGATGAATTCTAATTGGAGTTAAGATACAAATATAGGGCTGGGCGCAGTGGCTCATGCCTGTAATCCCAGCACTTTGGGAGTCCGAGGCAGGTGGATCACGAGGTCAGGAGATCGAGACCATCCTGGCTAACATGGTGAAACCCTGTCTCTACTAAAAAATAGAAAAAATTAGCCAGGCGTGGTGGTGGGCACCTATAGTCCCAGCTACTCAGGAGGCTGAGGCAGGAGAATGGATGAACCCGGGAGGCGGAGCTTGCAGTGAGCCGAGATCGAGCCACTGCACTCCAGCCTGGGCGACAGAGCGAGACTCCGTCTCAAAAAAAAAAAAAAAAAAGATGTAAATAAAACTCCAGAAATATTGAAAGAAACCTTGGGATTATTTGCTTTGTAACTTGGACTGGTGAAGGTGTTTCTGTCACCCCAAACACCAAACCCATGAAATAAAAGACTTACAAATTTGATTACATAAAAATGAAATTTCTGGCCGGTCGCATAATCCCAGCACTTTGGGAGGCCGAGGTGGGCGGATCACGAGGTCAGGAGATCGAGAACATCCTGGCTAACACGGTGAAACCCTGTGTCTACTAAAAATACAAAAACAAAATCAGCTGAGCTTGGTGTCAAGTGCCTGTAGTCCTAGCTGCTCAGGAGGCTGAGGCAGGAGAATGGCGTGAACCTGGGAGGTGGAGCTTGCAGTGAGCCAAGATCATGCCACTGCACTCCAGCCTGGGCCAACAGAGCGAGGCTCCATCTCAAAAAAAAAAAAAAAAAAAATGAAATTTCTGTGTGACACATCCATACCATGGACTACTACTCACAATAAAAAGGAACAGGCTGGGCGCGGTGGCTCACGCCTGTAATCCCAACACTTTGAGAGGCCGAGGCAGGCAGATCACGAGGTCAAGAGATCGAGACCATCTGGCCAACATGGTGAAACCCCGTCTCTACTAAAATTACAAAAAATTAGCCGGGCATGGTGGCAGGCGCCTGTAGTCCCAGCTACTTGTGAGGCTGAGGCAGGAGAATCGCTTGAACCTGGGAGGTGGAGGTTGCAGTGAGCCAAGATTGAGCCACTGCACTCCACAGCCTGGCCACAGAGCGAGACTCCGTCTCGAAAAAAAAAAAAAGGAACAAACTATGATGTGCACAACTCAGATGGATCTCAAGGGAATTATACTGCATGAAAGTACACAAAAGGTTACATTCCATGGATGCCCATTCATATAACATTCTTGAAATGACAGAATTCTAGAGATGGCGAGCAGGTTAGCGGTTGCAGGGGTTTAGCAAAAGGGAGAGTAAGAGGGAAGTGGCTGTGGCTATGAAAGGGTAGTCTACAGGGTCTTTGAGATGGAAATGTTCTGAATCTTGACTGATGGTGACCACATGAATCTGAACATGTAATAAAAGAGTATAGAATGAGATACACAAACATACAAATTAGTGCAAGTAAAACTGGGGAAATCTGAACGAGGTCAGTGGATTAGATCAAGGTCTGTTTCTCTTCAGAATCTCAAATCTTAAAAGGTTTTGTATTTTCTAAACACAAATAAAAGCTGGAAAGCCAATCAGTAGTAATCTGAAAGTTCACAATGTCAGTAGACGTCTCATGGTATTGGGAAGAAAGATAAGCATTGAGGCTAATATCACCCTATGCTTGATTAAGTTTTTGTTTTATATGTTAAAATCACTAAACCGAAAGCTTAGTTGTTGTTCTCCCACAAATAAAATTAAGCCCTCATTTACTTTTAATTCAGTTCCAAATAGGTTTGCCATTTAGATTTTTGTCCAAGAACTAACTCCTCCCCACTCCCGGTTTTTGTTTGTTTGTTTTTTAAATTTATTTATTGAGACAGGTTCTCACTCTGTCACCCAAGCCACATGTAGCCTCAAACTCTTGAGCTGAAGCCATCCTCCCACCTCAGTCTCCCAAAGTGTTGGAATTACAAGCATGAACTACCACACACCTCCCACCTTTAATATATCTAAAATATAAATTCTCTTCTGCCTTAGAAAAAACAGGCTGGGCGCAGTAGCTCATGCCTGTAATCACAGCACTTTGGGAGGCCAAGGTGGGTGGATCACGAGGTCAGGAGATCGAGACCATCCTGGCTAACACTGTGAAACCCCGTCTCTACTAAAAAAAAAAAAATATATACAAAAAAAAAAAATTAGTTGGCATGCGCCTGTAGTTTCAGCTACTCCGGAGGCTGAGGCGGGAGAATCCCTTGAACCCAGTAGGCAGTGGTTACAGTGAGCCGCGATTGCGCCACTGCACTCCAGCCTGGGCGAGAGAGCTAGACTCCGTCTCGAAAAAGAAAAAACAAGCATTTGACTCTGTCTTTTAAGATTACCACTGGATTATCATATCTGAGGCATATACTAGTTATCATGTTCATTTCCAAGATTCTTTGCCCTCTGAATCTCCTGTGCTGCTATTGGAGTCTCTATATGGTTTACTACAGGACATTAGTCTGTCATCCACATGTCCCTAGGCACATGTCCCTGGACACACTCCTCCTGGAGTGGCAGGAATGACTAGTGACCTCCACCGACTTCCTCCCTGTCGCTTGCATGATTCCTCTGCTTCTACACCTTCCCCTGTCTACTCAAACTCCGGTTTATCTAGAAGATTATGAGTGCTTTTAAAAAGATCCAAGATAAAACTTCAAAAGAAGTGGCCCATAAAATCTATACTTTTCTCTTCCAAAAGGTGATGGCATCTCTCCTACAAAAGAGGATGTAATTCACTCAGATGTACAAGATGAACTGGTTCATTCTGCTTGTTACGTATGCATCTAATTAGTTTGAATCTATGCAGTACCACCACCTTAAGATGTTTCCAAAGGACAACTCTAAACTCTTACTATTAAAAAAAAAATGTTTTAAGTAGAAAGGAGTATTAAGTGAAATTTCAATATTGAATTCATTGCATAAGGCAAACATTAGATATAAGTGGGAAACATCTTAGAGGATTTTACTGTTTTACATTTTTTAGGTGAATAGCAACCTTAGATCATCTTACAAAATATGGTTACTGTCACAAAATAAAACTTGAAACTATATTCAGTCATTTAAAAAATGAACTCTTTATTTTAGCTGGACCAGCTATTCCTTCTGTTGTGGCGTATCCGAAAAGGAGTCAGACCAGCACTGCAGATAGTGACCTCAAAGAAGATGGAATTTCCTCCCGGAAATCAAGTGGCAGTGCTGTTGGAGGAAAGGGAATTGCTCCAGCCAGTCCCATGCTTGGGAATGCAAGTAATCCTAATAAGGCGGATATTCCTGAACGCAAGAAAAGCTCCACTGTCCCTAGTGTAAGTGTTGTTGAACTATAGAGTGGTCTTAGGGTGGTAGGGTTGGAACCAGCTAGACACCAGGTGTTCATTTTACTCCTGTGGTCTCTCGTACTGGAATGCCCTCTCTACTAGGCAGCCATGCCCAATCTTAACTTACAGAAATCCTACCTGCTGCATTGTAGGTATTTATTGTTGACACTCTCTTAGTTCATTCTTGCTGCTGTAACAAAATACCTGAGACTGGCTAATTTATAAAGAAAAGACATTTATTTCTTAACAATTCTGGAGGCTGAGAAGTCCAAGATGAAGGCACCAACAAGTTCCGTGTCTGGCAAGGGCCCTGTTCTCTGCTTCCAACATGATGCCTTGGTGCTGGCATCCTCCAGAGGAGACAAATGCTGTGTTGTCATGTGGCTGAAGGGACAGAAGGGGTGAACTCACCCCCTCAAGCCCTTCTATAAAACACTAATCTGGCCGGGTGCGGTGGCTCACGCCTGTAATCTCAGCACTTTGGGAGGCCGAGGTGGGTAGATCACGAGGTCAGGAGTTCAAGACCAGCCTGGCCAAGATGGTGAAACGCCATCTCTACTAAAAATACAAAAATTAGCTGGGCGTGGTGGCAGGCACCTGTAATCCCAGCTGCTCAGGAGGCTGAGGTAGAGAATTGCTTGAACTCAGGAGGCAGAGGTTACAGTGAGCCGAGATCGCATCACTGCACTCTAGCCTGGCGACAGAGCGAGACTCCTTCTCAAAAAAAAAAAAAAAGATACTAATCCCTTCATGAAGGCGGAGCCCTCGTGGCCTAAACACCTAAAAGACTCATCTCCAAATACTGTTTTCTCCTATGGGAGATAAAGCTTAAACATGAGTTTTGGAGGGGACACATTCAGAGCATAGCACACCCACCATAGACACTAGATGGTGATAGGTCCTTTATTTCAAGGCCTGGTTCCAGTTATTTCGGACACCTGCTGAGCCTTAGGTTGTCAGGTGCTGAGACATGGAAAGACCTCACAGTCTAACAGGAAGTGAATGAAAACAGTGACAGTGCAGATGGAAGCCTACGTGCACACACGGGGAGGTCTGACTGCCAGTGCCCCAAAGATGTGGTGTTCACACTGAGTCTTCAAAGAGCTCTAATGATGAAGAGTGTTGGCTGAGTTCTTACCATGTGCCAAGGACCATGCTCAGTGCTTTTTCATGGATTAGCTACATTTTAAGGTGAAAAAAAAGTTGGGTAATTGCCTAAAATTACACTGCCAACCTGAATCCAGCTCTTAATCCCTATCTGTAACAAAATCTCCCCAGTAAGTAGATAATATTTACTAAATTAAATTGAATCCATTCAGCTTCAGAAACTTTTTTCTGTGTATTGAAGTATGTTCTATCTAACCTAACATATTAAAGAATTTGCAGAGAAGTAAACAATCTTAAGATTATTCTGTAAGCACGTTTTTCCCTACAAAATTAACAATGATGCAGCCCTGCCTCCAACTCCAGAAAAACCCTGGACTGAGGAGGCTGTGGAGAAACCCTGTTGCTCTCTGAAAGCCCTTCATTGTTCCATTCTGGGGACTGGGTGCATGAAGGACCCCAAGGGGCTTTGCATGTTTCATCCTCTGACCTTATGCTTAGTCGAAGTAAACCCTGTGTGAAAAGTTTATTTTGGCCTCCAAATGCCATACAGTAGGATTATTGTTTCCATACTCCTGCAGTTAAAATTCCGTCTCCAACGTTTGTTGACAGTTACCAGAGAAGATGAGGGCATTATTCCCTGCCTTCATGACTTCTCTTCCCCTTTGCTCTTGTCTACACACGCTGCCCTTCTGAAAGTGAATCATGAGTATTTTCAGTCCACCCATACTAAATTACTTACAAAGGAAAAAAGGTAGTTAGCAACATTATTATTTTCTCCCATGAGTCTTTGGGATTTCTCTGTAGATGGTCTGCTCAAGCTGTAGTAAAAGTGACTGCTCTATCTTTGTTTAAAAATTATCTGATAAAATTCCATAGCTATGGCCAGGCACGGTGGCTCACACCCGTAATCCCTGCACTGTGGGAGGCCAAAGTGGGCGGATCACTTGAGGTCAGGAGTTCAAGAACAGCCTGGCCAACATGGTGAAATCCCATCTCTACTAAAAATACAAAAATTAGCCGGGTATAGTGGCGTGCTCCTGTAATCCTAGCTATTCGGGAGGCTGAGGCAGGAGAATTGCTTTAACCGAGAAGATGGAGGTTGCAGTGAGCTGAGATTGTGTCATTGCACTCCAGCCTGGGTAACAGAGCGAGACTCCATCTCAAAAAATAAAAAAAAAAGTCCATAGCTGTGACTTGTTCCTTGCTTTTTAGTTTTTTGTTTTGGAAGTTAAATTCATGTGAATCCACATGACAATGATTAACCATTTTAAAGTGGGCAATGCGGTGGCATTTGGTACACTCACAGTATTGTGCAGCCAACACCTGTCTTTAGTTTCAGAACTTTTTCAGCTCCCCAGAAGGAGCATCTGTTTAGGCTGGGCACAGTGGCTAACCCCTATAATCTCAGCGCTTTGGGAGGCTGAGGTGGGAGGATCACTTGAGCCCAAGAGTCTGAGATCAGCCTGGGCACCAGAGTGAGACCTCATCTCTACAAAAAAAATTAAAAAGAAAATAGCTGAGCGTGATGATGCACACCTGTAGTACCAGCTACTTGAGAGCTTGAGAGGCTCAGGTGGGAAGATCATTTCAGCCCAAGAGGTTGAGGCTGCAGTGAGTCATGGTCACATCACCATATTCCAGCCTGGGCAACAGAGCAAGACCCTGTCCTTAAAAAAAAAAAAAGTGGCCGGGCGCAGTGGCTCACGCCTGTAATCCCAGCACTTTGGGAGGCTGAAGTGGGCAGATCACAAGGTCAGGCGTTCAAGACCAGCCTGGCCATCATGGTGAAACCCCATCTCTACTAAAAATACAAAAATTAGCCAGGCATGGTGGCGGGCACCTGTAATCCCAGCTACTCGGGAGGCTAAGGCAGGAGAATCGATTGAACCCAGGACGCAGAAGTTGCAGTGAGCCGAGATGGTGCCACTGCACTCCAGCCTGGGCGAAAAAGCGAGGCTCCATCTCAAAAAAAAAAAAAAAAAGAACACCTGTATCCCTTAAGTAATCACTTTCCATTCCTCCTCTCCCCTCTGCCCCCCTCCCTTCCCCCTCATTCCCTGGCAACCACCAGTCTGTGTTCTGTCTCTGGATTTGCCTGTTCTGAATATTTTATATAAATGGAACCATTTCACATGTATCCTTTTGTGTCTACTTCTTTCTTTGACTCAGCATAATGTTTTCATGGTTCATCCAATTTGTAGCATGTATTTTCTTTTCCCTTTTTTTTTTTTTGAGATGGCATTTCGCTCCTGTTGCCCAGAGTGCAATGGCACGATCTTGGCTCACTGCAAACTCCACCTCCCGGGTTCAAGCGATTCTCCTGCCTCAGCCTCCTGAGTAGCTGGGATTACAGGCGTGCGCCACCATGCCTGGATAATTTTGTATTTTTAGTAGAGACGGGGTTTCTCCATGTTGGTCAGTCTGGTCTCGAACTCCCGACCTCAGGTGATCCACCCGCCTCGGCCTCCCAAAGCGCTGGGATTACAGGCGTGAGCCACTGTGCCCAGCCTGCAGCATGTATTAGTACTTTGTTTCTTTTGGGGGTAATATTCCATTCTGTATATATACTACAATTTAACTGTTCATCTGTTGATGGACATTTATATTATTTCCATGTATTGGTTAAAATGAATAATGCTACTATAAACAATTGTGTACAAATTTCTATGTGGACTTAAATGTTTTAATTTCTTTCCTTCTTTCTTGGGGAGGAGACGGTCTCACTCTGTCACCTAGGCTAAAGTACAATGGTGCAAACACGGCTCATTGCAACTTCGACCTCCCAGACCCAAGTGATCCTCCCACCTCAGCCTCCCAAATAGCTGATACCACAGGCATGCATCACCATGCCTGGCTTATTTTTTCTGTTTGTTTGTTGTGGTAGAGATGAGGTCTCCCTATGTAGCCCAGCCAGGCTGGTCTCAAACTCCTAGGCTCAAGCAGACATCCTGCCTCAGCCTCCCAAAGTGCTGGGATTATAGGTGTTAGCCTCTGCACCTGGCTGTGTTTTCATTTTTCCTGGGTATATATTTAGGAATAAAATTGTTGAGTAATATGGTAACTCCATGTTTAATTTTTTGAGAAACTGCCAAACTGTTTTCCTCACAACTGTACCATTTTATCCAGCAATAGTGAGAGTCCCTGTTTTCTTCACATTCTTTCTAACAATTAATAATTATTTTATTATTTAAAGCTTTCCTAGCAGGTATGAAGTAGTACCTCATGCTTTTGATTTGCATTTCTTTAATGACCAATGATATTGGGCATCTTTTCATGTGTTTCTTGGCCATACGTATAGCTTTTTTTTTTTTTTTTTTTTTGAGACTGAGTTTTGCTCTTGTTACACAGGCTGGAGTGCAATGGTGCGATCTCAGCTCACCGCAACCTCTACCTCCCAGGTTTAAGTGATTCTCCTACCTCAGCCTCCTGGCCTCCTGAGTAGCTGGGATTACAGGCATGCACCACCACAGCCAGCTAATTTTGTATTTTTAGCAGAGACGGGTTTTCTCCATGTTGGTCAGGCTGGTCTCGAACTCCTCACCTCAGGAGATCCGCCCACCTCTGCCTCCCAAAGTATTGGGATTACAGGTGTGAGCTACCGCGCCCAGCCGTTGTATAGCTTTTTTAAAGAAATATCTATTGAAGGTGCCGATTTTAAAATTAGGTTGTCAGGCCGGGCACCTCAGGAGGCTGAGGCAGGAGAATCGCTTGAACCCAGGAGGGGGAGGTTGCAGTGAGCCGAGATCGCACCGCTGCATTCCAGCATGGCGACAGAGCAACACTGCATCTCAAAAAAGAAAAAAAAAATTAGCCAAATGTGGTGGCACATGCCTGTATTCCCAGCTACTTGGGAGGCTGTGGTGGGAGGATTGCTTGATCCTGGGAGGCAGAGCCAAGATTGCTCCACTGCACTCCAGCCTGGGTGACAGAGTAAGACCTTGCCTCAAAAAACAAGTAAATAAAAGACTGACATTCCTATTTATGTAGATAAGTTCATTTTTTCTCATTGTACTGTATTTACCAAATAAATTTAAGACAAAAATGCCCTTTTTTATAGAGTAACACAGCATCTGGTGGAATGACACGACGAAATACTTATGTTTGCAGTGAGAGAACTACAGCTGATAGACACTCAGTGATTCAGAATGGCAAAGAAAACAGGTAGGAGATTCTACCTGTTTGTAAGAAAAGTTGTTTTTCCCAAGAGAAATGGAAGCATGTTATTTACTGCTTTGTTCTTATAATCATTTTCAAATTAAAACTGTAAGTATTCTCTGAAGGTAAGTTAAATTTGTATACTAATTTTTAGCAAGATACTAGAATTCTAAATTCTTTTTGTTGTCCAGAGCATCATCCTCCTGCCTGGCTGTGTATGATGATTAAAAGGCTTGAGTTAAACCCAGGGGGTTTCCTAGAGGAAGTAGATAGTAAGCTGTGGTTATGTTGTAGAACAGTGAATAAGGAAATGGAGATTGTCTTGTGCTCATTAATAACTTGAACAAAAGCCGAAAGTGGGGGAAGATAAGGACGTGAGGCAGAGAGTCATACCTCAGGAGAATGTACAGCACCAGGTAGCATTAAAGGTCCGCAGTTTACCAAAGGGTCCAGATGGCTGAGTCTAAATAGAAACACTGGAGAAGCCAAGAGAAGTGGAAAGTCCAGCCTTCTGAATGCTTTTAATTTGGCTACATAGCAAGCATACATAGGATGAGCGTGACTTTAAAAAGACAATGATGTTACATGTCAATAAGGAGAGCATCCTATCATGCACATGATTTTCTTGGGGTTTTGAAATAAAATAAGTAGAGTCAGTAAAATGGGATTGGATAGGTGTAGAGACTCTGAGGTGGGGTTAGTCTGGGTGGAGAGAAAAGAGAAGTTAGATTGGTAGAGAATAGCTAAATATGCTATATTCTGTTCAGAACAAATTTCCCAGGCTGGCATGGATTTTCCTTCTTTGTTTTTGGAAGAGCAGTAAGTGTACATCATTCTTTTAACTTGAACATTGTTTGCATCAGAATTGTTCTGACATTTACTTTCTGCAGTTACGGTGTGAGGTTCTGTTTCTTAATCCTAACCTATGTTTGATCTCATTAGTCAAACAAAATGTTTGATCACTACATTTTGTGACAGCCTAATCAAAAATTCTCTCCTCCTTCATCCTTAGTTCCAAACTGCTTATCACTTCCCTGTTCCATAGGCCACTTAGGATTGAGTTGATATGAGGAGTAACATTTGTTCTGTAAGATTATGGTTATTATTCGTTGAATTTTTAGCAATATTTACATTCTCTTGTTCTCTTTTATGACTCGTGTGTGTGTGTGTGTGTGTTTCAACATTGTCTTTTCTTATGATTAAAAACTACTAAGAACTTGAGTATAGCAGCTGGGGTAGATAGTTTACAGATAATGATTGATATAGGTATTTCTTTTTTTTTTTTTTTTTTTTTTTTTTTGAGACAGAGTCTCACTCTGTCACCCAGGCTGGAGTGCAGTGGCCTGATCTCGGCTCACTGCAAGCTCCGCCTCCCGGGTTCACGCCATTCTCCTGCCTCAGCCTCCCGAGTAGCTGGGACTACAGGCGCCTGCCACCACTCCCAGGTAATTTTTTGTATTTTTAGTAGAGACGGGGTTTCACCATGTTAGCCAGGATGGTCTCGATCTCCTGACCTTGTGATCCACCCACCTCGGCCTCCCAAAGTGCTGGGATTACAGGCGTGAGCCACCGTACCCAGCCAGGTATTTCTTAATAGTAGTCTACTCTCTGGTAGATTTGTATTATAGTTCAGTTCTTAACTTTCAAATTTCTTCTAGTTCAAAAGTGACTTAATAGAAAATATCAATAGAAGACTTAATTAGAAGTTTCTGGTGTTACAGATTGTAGTCTACAGGACTACAGAAATGTTTCATGGTCAGGCACAGTGGCTCACACCTGTAATCCCAGCACTCTGGGAGGCCAAGGCAGGTGGATCACTTGAGGTCAGGAGTTCGTGACCAGCCTGGCCAACATGGTGAAACCCCGTCTCTACTAAAAATACGAAAATTAACCATGTGTGGTGGCACGCGCCTGTAGTCCCAGCTACCAGGGAGACTGAGGCAGGAGAATTACTTGAACCCAGGAGGCAGAGTTTGCAGTGAGCTGAGATCGCGCCACTGCAGTCCAGCCTGGACAACAGAGCAAGACTCATCTAAAAAAAAAAAAAGTTGTTTCATTACCTTTACTACTTCTAAATTCTGAAAATGCACTACCCAGCTCCTTCTGAACTTTAGGATATGTGACTGTCTGAGGTGCAGAGTCAGTCTCCTCAAGGGTGTTAAGACTAAGATCTGCTCTCTGCTTCCATCCTGTGCTACACGTATCATACACCAGGCACATGCATATATGCCTGTGTCTTCTGATTCTCTTTTCCTAAAATTTTTCGTTTCACTCTTTGGAAATAATATTTAAGACTTCTTTAATTTCTTTGGCAATATTTCCTTTCTGCATTCCCCCTGGAGACACCTGCCTTGTTGGGGCCAACTCTTTCATATCCTGACCTGTCTCGTTGCTTCTCTTAGCATCAGTCATTGAAATACTTTGCTTCTGAAGGTGTCGTCTTTCTCTTTAGTCAAAGAGAGTCTCACCGCCAAACCTTAAAAGACAGGGCCCATTGTTTTAATAATATTTGGACTTTCCTTTCCTATCTTATAAATGAATTAAAAGACTGGAAAATTATTGGGTTTAACTTCTTTAGTTAAGGCACTAAATGTGACAGCTTTCCCTTAAAATTGATGCTTGAGTCTTCAGTGAGATACAATTAGCTTTCCCTGCACAGATGACTTCTTCGGCAAATTGTTCCTTTTCCCTCTCTTCACCCACCCATATATCTTATTTCTTCACTAATTTAAAATATGAGTGAGCTGTAGGATGCCTGGACCTATGTTAACTTCTGAAACAAACATGTTAAGTTCCAATTTTAGCCTTAAATATTTTCGACATTTAGCCTTAAATGTTTTCTTCTTTATATGAGTGTTCATACGGAATTTCAACATGAGAATAATGATGGCTGATTTTTTAAAAACTGTGTGAAGGTTTAAACCAGAGACTCCACATATCTTAAGCCCTTACTACCTTCAAAATCCTACTGTAAACAGGATATTTTAAAGGCTTACTAAATGCAAGGCTTTTTCTCGTCATAGGCAATATAATTAATTTTAATTATTTTTTCTTTTGAAAATTAGTTTTATTAATTGGTTCTTACTAGGCCAATCTTTGTTTTATCAGCTTTCCTGTGGGAACAATAAAGTTAATGACACAGGGAGCATAGGTTAGGGCCAGTTGTTACTTTGGCACAAACACCTGTGATTCGTTTTCTGAGACTAGTTTTAAACTGGTCGTGCTGAAGGCCAGCCCACTTTCTGCTGTAATTATTCTGCCTTCTGATGTTATTCTCGAAAAATGGCCAGATTCCAGGCGTGACTAATGGTTGGTGTAAACTAGGCATGAGAAGGTTTGATTACACCTTCAATTGTATGATTCTATCATGATGGTATAGGTTTGCAGTGAGTCTTAAACCACATAGCACTGACACGTAGTGAGTGCTCAAACAAATGTTAGCTTTCATTATTAATTATAGACTGTTCAGACAAGGTTATGCAGAATTTTCTTAGTTTGCACTGACTAAACCTAATCTTTCAAGTTAATAATGTTGCTAAACCACCTACATAGCAGAGACACTCTGCTCCTACGATTTCATATGCTTTAGATACCCGGACGACACTGTTTAGACTACTTCATTTAAAGACCCCAGAGAAGTGACGTGCTGGTGTTACAGTAATGCAAACAGAATCTTTTCTTTTTTTTTTTTCTTTTTTTCTTTTTTTTTCTGCGATGGAGTCTCGCTCTTTTACCCAGGCTAGAGTGCAATGGCACGATCTCGGGTCACTGCAACCTCCATCTCCCGGGTTCATGCAGTTCTTCTGCCTCAGCCTCCCAGTAGCTGGGATTACAGGCACACACCACCACACCTGGCTGATTTTTGTATTTTTAATAGAAATGGGGTTTCACTAGGCCAGGCTGGTCTCAAATTCCTGACTTCAAGTGATCCACCTGCCTTGGCCTCCCAAAGTGCTGTGATTACAGGCATGAGCCACTGCACCAGGCCCAGAATCTTTCAAATAAATTTTAGATATTGGATATTACTGTAAAGTTTCAAAATTGTGAAGTGGCTTATTATTTTATCCACTTTACCCTGCATCAAGTCACATAGAGATTGAGCAGAGAAGGATTGAGGACACTTAGCGTATGTATCTTTGGACTACATATAAAAGTTGCTTTTTTTAGGCTGGGCGCGGTGGCTCCCACCTGTAATCCCAGCATTTTAGGAGGCTGAGGCAGGTGGATCATGAGGTCAGGAGATCAAGACCATCCTGACCAACATGGTGAAACCCTGTCTAAAATTAATTAGCTGGGCGTGGTGGCATGCGCCTGTAGTCCCAGCTACTTGGGAAGCTGAGGCAGGAGAATCACTTGAACCCAGGAGGCAGAGGTTGCAGTGAGCCGAGATAGCGCCACTGCACTCCAGCCTGGCAACAGAGCAAGACTCTGTCTCAAAAACAAAAAAAAAGGGCTGAGCACAGTGGCTTACGCCTGTAATCCCAGCACTTTGCGAAGCTGAGGTGGGCGGATCACCTGAGGTCAGGAGTTTGAGACCAGCCTGACCAACATGGAGAAACCCCATCTCTACTAAAAATACAAAAAAAAAAAAAAAAATTAGCCAGGCATGGTGGCGCATGCCTATAATCCCAGCTACTTGGGAGGCCGAGGCAGGAGAATCGCTTGAACCCAGGAGGCAGAGGTTGCGGTGAGCCAAGATTGCACCATTGCACTCCAGCCTGGGCAACAAGAGCAAAACCCCATCTCAAAGAAAAAAAAAAAAGGCTGCTTTTTTTTTTTTTTTTTTTTTTTTAAGATGGATGGAGTCTTGCAGTGTGGCCCAGGCTGCAGTACAGTGGCTAGTCACAGACATGATCATAGTGTACTGTAGCCTTGAACTCCTGGGCTCAAATGATCCTCCTGTGTTGGCTTCTTGAGTAGCTGGGACTACAGGCATGGACCACCACACCTGGCTAATTTTTTATTTTTTGTAGAGATGAAGTCTTCCCATGTTACCCAGGCTGGTCTCAAATTCCTGGCCTCAAGGGATCCTCCAGTCTCAGCCTTCCAAAACACTAGGTTTACAGGCATGAGCCACCATGCCTGTCCTTGGACTATATTTTTAATTCTGCTTTTGCCCAGTCACTTGAGTATGCTTTTAATCAGCAGCCAATACATTTCTTATCAGAATGTTCTGATAGGGGCTAGAGGTCATAGCAACAAATTCAAAGTGCCTATCCTTTAGTAACCTTAAGTGGATTAATGTTTTAGAAAAGATAGTCAAGACTGGGCACAGTGGCTCACAAGCCCTGTCATCCCAGCACTTCGGGAGGCCTAGACAGGAAGATCACTTGAGGCCAAGAGTTCAAGGTCAGCCTGGACAAAGTAGCCTGAGACCCCCGTCTCTATAAAAATATATATATTTTTTAATTTTAAAAGATAGTCATGAATACAAAACAGTTGGGAAGATTAATAGGAACTCTCTTCATGCAACTTGAATTTTAAGAAAAACATTGCTATTTCTATCAATTAAGGTTTAAATGTAGACCAGGCATGATGGCTCACGCCACCATGTAATCCCAGCACTTTGGGAGGCCATGACAGGAGGATTGCTTGAACCCAGGAGTTCAAGACCAGCCTGGGCAACATGGTAAAATTCCATCTCTACCAAAAATACAAAAAAATTAGCTGGGTGCCAGGCACAGTGCCTCACACCTATAATCCCAGCACTTTGGGAGGCCGAGGCAAGTGCATCACCTGGGGTCGGGAGTTCAAGACCAGCCTGGCCAACATGGTGAAACCCCATCTCTACTAAAAATACAAAAATTAGCTAGGTGTGGTGGTACATGCCGGTAGTCCCAGCTATTTGGGAGGCTGAGGCAGGAGGATGGTTTGAGCCTGGGAGATGGAGGTTGTAGTGAGCCGAGATCACACCATTGTATTCCAGCCTGGACGGTAGAGCCAGACCCAGTCTCAAAAAAATAAAAATAAAAAAATTAATGTAATACAGCTACTATGAACCCACAAAAACTTTAAAAAAATTTTTTAATTATTAAAAAAATGTAATGCTGCTACTGTTTTGCTTATGTAGATTGTGGGCTAGAATAGGAAATAAAACTATCATTTTTAACACTTTTCTGGGGGGAAATATTATTCGAATTTCATAACAATTAGCTTGATGACCTTTTAGAATATATATGTAGACCATTGTGATGTTGGGGCTGCCTGTTGTAAATAGGATTTTTGTGAGCTTGATTGTACAAAATTGAAATTTGCAAACATCTTACTGAGTTTACTGTTTCCTTCTGGGTGTTAGGCCTACTGTAGAAATCAGAAAAATCGGAAATATTTTGTTGCTTGCTTTGTGAAACTCATGATGTGACATGGATTAAATTTCTAAAAAGTTTATTTAATTGCCTTTAAAATTAGTATGTCAAAAAGTTTATTTATTTATTTATTTATTTATTTTAATTTGAAACAGTCTCTCTCTGTCACCCAGACTGGAGTTTAGTGGCATGATCTCAGCTCACTGCAGCTACCACCCCCGGGTTTAAACGATTCTTATACCTCAGCCTCCTGAGTAGCTAGGATTACAGGGGCCCGCCACCACACCCAACTAATTTTTGTATTTTTAGTAGTGATGGGTTTTTGCCATGTTGGCCAGGCTGGTCTGGAACTCCTGGCCTCAAGCAATCCACCCGCCTCAGCCTCCCAAAGTGCTGGGATTACAGGCGTGGGCCACCACGCCCAGCCTCAAGTTAATAATTTATAATCCCAGCACTTTGGGAGGCCAAGACGGGCGGATTGCCTAAGCTCAGGAGTTCCAGACCAGCCTGGGCCATGACGAAACCCTATCTCTACAAAATTTTTTTTTTTAATTTATAATGAGAAAATAAATTTACATTTCCTTCTTAGGTCTCTAGAGGATCCATTTTTTTTCTGCAAAGCATCTGTCCACACCCTCTTACCATGCTTGTATGCCTTAAAGATCTAGCTTGGCCTGTCAGCAGTGTGCTTCATTGGGAATCGATGCAGCACCCTCCTGCCTGCAAGCTGACTAAAAGCCTTTTCCTTCTCCAAAGACTTTGGGACCATTTGTATTCACCAGGGAAAGGGTCAAACAACTCCTGCATCTTCTTCCCCTGCTTTTCTTGGCACATCTACTGATACTAGCTCCTAATTTGGGCAAGAAAAAAGTCAACAACTGGAGGTAGAGTGTGTTGACCCTGGACTCACCCTGAAAGGTAAGGGCACAAGAGATAGTTGTATTTAGCTGTATCTTGTTAGAAAAATACATTTGTGTAGCCAGGCGCGGTGGCTCACACCTGTAATCCCAGCACTTTGGGAGGCTGAGCCGGGTGGATCACGAGGTCAGGAGTTCAAGACCACCCTGGCTAACATGGTGAAATCCCGTCTCTACGAAAAATACAAAAAATTAGCCGGGCGTGGTGGTGGGTGCCTGTAGTCCCAGCTACTTGGGAGACTGAGGCAGGAGAATGGCGTGAACCCAGGAGGCAGAGCTTGCAGTGAGCAGAGATCACACTGCACTCCAGCCTGGGCGACAGAGTGAGACTCCGTCTCAAAAAAAAAAAAATAAATAACATTTGTGTGCATTCATGTGTACGTGTGTCTGTACACATGTACAAGAAACAACCGAGCATTTCTTTAAAAACCTTAGTCAGTTAGAACTGTCTCTGTTGCAGGTGACAGAAAACCCAGTCTAAACAGGCTTAAATATAAAAGGGCTGTTAGTTCATATAACTAAAAAAAGTCCAGGGCTAGAGTTACGGTCCATCTGCTTCTGCCTCCTTGGCCGTAGTTCCATGATTGGGCTCGGCACCATCAGACATAACTTCTTCCCACACACAGCTGTGCTCAAGCAGAAGCCCTCAGGTGGTCTCCTTGATCTGTGTGGGGCCTAGAGTTACTTCCACCACAGCAAAATCTCATTATTGTTGCTGCAGGAAAAGAATGGATACTGAGTGGCAGAAATACGAAACTGGATAAATTTTTGCCTTTATAAGACATTTGTTTCCAGTCCTTCTCAGACTGTATAAATTCTCCCAAGTCAGAGAGCAGAATTCTCAAACAAAAATGCAGGGACAGAACCAGGCACAGTGGCTCACAAGGCCTATAATCCCAGCACTTTGGGAGGCTGAGGCAGAAGGATCAGTTGAACCCAGGAGTTCAAGACCAGCCTAGCCATCATAGTGAGACACCATCTCTACAAAAAATTTAAAAATTAGCCAGGCATAGTGGCACACTCCTGTGGCTGAGATAGGAGGATCGCTTGACCCCAGGAGGTTGAGGCTGCAGCAAGCTGTGATAGTGCCACTGCACTCTAGCCTGGGTGAATACAGCAAGACCCTGTCTCCAAAAATAAAAATTTAAATAAAAATGTTTTAATTCAGGGACAAGCAGTTCTTGATTTTAAAGACGTATCTGCTTTATGTTGGGGCTATCAGAATTCCAGTTGCTAATTGATTAATCTGCTCTGTTAGGAGAACGTTTGTTGAATACCTGCCCTGCCAGGCTTTCTGCTTACACTGGTGGGGGGCACATTGACAAGATTTTGGGCTGTGTTTTCAGGGACCTCCAGCAGAGAAGGGTCACTAGGATACAATGTGGCATGCATGAGCTAAAAACAGAAGTGATTTAACTCTCAGAGGGAAAATGGATCAGATAACACTTCATAGAGATGACGACATCTGGTTCATTTTTGAAGAGTGAATAGAAAGATCCCAGCCCTCCATACCAAGAGAATAACTCCTGCAAACATTTTCTGACCTGGTGCCTGACCAATGGACCACACATCATCAGGAAGGCTAGAAAGTTGAGTTCCAGGAGGGAATGATAGAAGGCAAAGCCTAGAGAGATGGCAGGGGCCAGACTTCAGGGGCCTGGGGATGTGTACTTGCACTCCAAGTCGAGGAGACTGAACTTTTTACCAAAGACTTGGTGTTCTGTAGAAGTATGAGCAGATGAGTGACAAGATCTGGTTTATATGTTAAGAAGTTCTCAGCTGTAAGGTGAATAGATTGGAGGTGTTGGGGCAAAGGCAGGGGACCCAGTGAAGACAAGGAGCGAGGCTCTATACTGAGGCCCTGGTAGAAGTGGAGCAGATGGGCCACCTGAAGAGCTACTAGGAAGTTGACACCAATAAGATGTCGTTAGTCTGTGTATGGGGAGTGAGGGAAAGGAAGAACTTGCCAGTTTCCAGGTTTTAATCCTTCCAAAGGATTTCTGCAGAAAGACACTGGAAGAGCTGTATTCCTACTTATCCTTAAAGGAAAGAAACTGCCCTTGAATTCCAAGGACATGATTACTGAGCTGGAATTCCAAATAATGTGTCCCAGTGAGACTCCTGGGGGTAGTTTTGTCCGGTAACTGTGTGTGTTAGATGAAACTGCAGACTTCCAGCCACTCTATCTTACCATGTCTGTTAACAGTTAATTTGCTCTGATGAATTTGCCCATCTTGGAGAAGGGGGCTCTGCTGACTGTTTTTTATCTTGGAGTAAATGTCCTTTGATTAGGAAGGTTCTAGACTATATTGTTAAAACAACATTGGAAGGCTGGGCATGGTGGCTCATGCCTGTAATCCCAACACTTTGGGAGGCCAAGGCAGGCGTATCGTTTGAGCCCAGGAGTTCAAGACCAGCCTGGGCAACATGACAAAACTCTCTCTACTAAAAATACAAAATTAGCCAGGCATGGTGGAGTGCGCCTGTATTCCCAGCCACTTAGGAGGCTGAGGTGGGAGAACCACCTGAGCCCAGGAAGTTGAGGCTGCATTGAGCCATGATCGTACCACTGCACTGCAGCTAGGTGACAGCAAAACCCTGTCTCAAAAAAACACCAAACAACATAGGATACTGTTATATAACAGCTAGTTCCTATACCTGTAATCTTATTAATTCATTTAAAATACATCAGTGCGGGCCGGGTGTGGTGGCTCACACTTATAATCCCAACACTTTGGAAGGCCAAGGCGGGAGGATCACTTGAAGCCACAAATTTAAGACCAGCCTGGATAATATAGCGAGACCCTGTCTCTACAAAAAAAATAAATAAAGAAAAAATAAAATATGTCAGTGTGTTTTGGGAACAGGTTGAGAGCATAGCATGCTCATATTATATATTCATTTTACCACTTAGATTTGAATTGAGGCATCTCTTAGAATAGGTTTTATTTTGTGCATACCCTCAGAGGACATTGTCCCTCTCATAGAAACAGATATTCAAACATGTAATCTGCTATTTTATTTTAAGGTAATAGATTTTTATGATTACTGTTTGGAAAAAAAAAAAAGCAACTATAGGTTAGCAGTTGCTCCAGAATCTCCAAAACAAGCTTAGGAGATTTTTATTCTTTACCAGAAATGAGATGGCTTGGGAGGAAGGTGTGTGCATTACACACAGGTTGCTCTGTGGTCACTGCTCCTTCATACTGTGTTTCTGCCTCTGCCTGAACCCAAACCCCTCCCAGCCTGACAGAAATGTTCGCTTACGCAGCTAGCCCTGCCTCAGTTTGTACATCTACCTGTCGGCTGAGACATCAGAAGTCGATGTCCATGTCAGCCTCTGGGCACCCCAAGATGATGTTACCTCCAATAGACAGTGAAGGAGATAACTTCAAGGCTATGTAAGAAAAATGCACATTCTTTGTGAAACTAATGTGTACCCACTGCTTCTTAATTTTGTGCTGTGGATTTTATAGTCTGAGATTTTGTTACAGTTGTCCACAAGGCGTCCTTCCTCCATGTGATTTTAGTTAAGCACATCTTTTGTCATGATGTCCTCGGTTGTGTATTGTGTGTCTTCGTGCCTTCGCGTACTACAAAATGTATAAGAAGTTCCTGCTCCTCCCAAGTTGCTTTCAGCATGTGGAATTTTATACATATATCATTTGTTTACTTCCAAAACTTTTTAGTTGCCTGTTCTTCAGTTACGCCAGCATATCCTTTATTTCTTTCGTATTGGCACAGTTCTCTATGTAAGCAATTTGAGAGGGAAGCAAAGGGGAAAAGTTTGAGTTAGCTGTTCTCTGTCCTAGAATTTCCCTGCATTAATCTTGTCCTTGAAAATATATATAATACTGGTCCCTTAAACTCCATGAGGCTTTGTCTCATTATGTATTGTTCTTTTGGTACCCTTTCCCACTTAACTTACCTTTTGCTCCTAAGTCCTATAAAATACCCCTTGGATCTGGATTTTTTATACCCGATTTTCTCCACTGTGTATAAAAGGTATATTGTGACTGTAAATTTTTGTATATCATGTTCTGAGAGCTTCTTACTTTCTGATCTCATAGCACTATTCCTGATCAGAGAACTCCAGTTGCTTCAACACACAGTATCAGTAGTGCAGCCACCCCAGATCGAATCCGCTTCCCAAGAGGCACTGCCAGTCGTAGCACTTTCCACGGCCAGCCCCGGGAACGGCGAACCGCAACATATAATGGCCCTCCTGCCTCTCCCAGCCTGTCCCATGAAGCCACACCATTGTCCCAGACTCGAAGCCGAGGCTCCACTAATCTCTTTAGTAAATTAACTTCAAAACTCACAAGGAGGTAAGTGCTAGGTGCTGGTTGTTTTGGAGTGAACACATAGAGCAAAAGGAAAGATGTCTTTTTTGTTGTGTGAAGCCACTGCTACCTGGATGCTTTTCAGTCTGCCTTCAGCTCATGGTTTTCTGGTTTTATATATATCTAACTTTATACTTTAAAACCTTTAAAGTAGAAATTGTAGAGCTCAGAGTCTTCATAACACTAAAAGTTAACTAGCATTTAGGAGGTTTTTGTTACTGTTCTTTAATTATTGTTCCTTTTGCTCACGTATCTGTCTGCATGGCATGTTCGTTGTTGTTGAGCAGGCAGACCTCGAGTTCTGGTGTGGGGTGGGGGGCTGGCACTCTGTAACAATCAGCAGGAAAGACCATGCATGTCTTTCATAATCATCTCCAGCCCCAGAGGAAAGAGACAGCTTCTCTTTTCTCACTTTATTGTTGTTAAGGAGCAGTAAATTTCTTAAGAGTCCAAATCTTGAAAGTTTCTCTCTCAGTCTTAGTAATTTATATTGAGAGCAAGGTAATGTCCTTAAATGGTATAGTTTTGGAGATAAAATCTCTGGTTTATTATCAAAAAATAATGTTACTATTATTAAGTTATTTTTATTAAATGCTGCATGATTCTTGGCTGATGGTCCTGGAAATTTTTTAAAATGTTCCATGTGTCTAGTAGGCTAGCATCTGGGGCCTCAGTAAACTCTCAAGGGTCCTTTGAGATTAACTTCATTTCCGTAACCTTGTTACCTGTTACAAAAGCCCAGAAATACTGGCTGCTTCAAGAGGAAAAAGAAAGGATACCACTTTGAACCGTAAACAATAGTGAAAGGCACCTTTCCGAGAAGGAGCCCAGGAAACCCAAGAGCCCCTGCAGTTTCAGGACATCCTTGGAGAAATGTTTTGAAATTAAGCCTAGCTGTGGATGAGTCTGTCTGTGGTATCTTGCAGGTTTGCCTAGGACGGACCCTCTTATTTGTCATCTGTAGCTTACAGGACAGCAGTAGGAGTCTTTCCCGAGTCTGAAATGATCAGTACCCTCCTCTGTTTTTCTGCATTCCCTATGGCCTATAGCCTATTACTTCATTTCACTCCATCTCCATTATTTAAACTAAGCTAAATGTAATCTTGTATTCGATCATCTGAAACTTCGGTGAGTCACATTAAAGTCTGATCTACTTATTATTAGGACATGGAATAGATTAGGGAGTATTCCTTTTTTTTTTTTTTTTAATTTTTTTTTTTTTTTTGAGACGGAGTCTCACTGTCGCCAAGGCTGGAGTGCAGTGGTGCAATCTTGGCTAACTTCAACCTCCGCCTAGATTAGGGAGGATCTCTGACATCCATTAGCATTAACTAGAAGTCAGACGCATCAGAAGGTTTCTATTTACCCTCTTACTCACTTCTTAGCCCCTTTATTAAGCCACCTCATTTTAAACTGGGCAAAACAGAATCAGCCAAAGAGCTTTGCCAGGTTTGGGACACCCATTCATGACCAGCCAGCAAGAGAGACAGTGAGTTCAATCTGAGAAGAGTCTGGTGACTCCCAGAATAAACCATTCCTTCCTGGCCAGCCGTGGTGGTTCATGCTTGTAATCCCAGCACTTTGGGAGGCCAAGGCGGGTGGATCTCCTGAAGTCAGGAGTTTGAGACCAGCCTGACCAATATGGTGAAACCCCATCTCTACTAAAAATACAAAAATTAGCCAGGCATGGTGGTGGGCGCCTGGAGTCCCAGCTACCCAGGAGGCTGAGACAGGAGAATTGCTTGAACCCGGAAGGCAGAGGTTGCAGTGAGCCGAGATCGTACCACTGCACTCTAGTCTGGGTGACAAAGTGAGACTGTGTCTCAAAAAAAAAAAAAAAAAAACTTTGAGTTTATTTTTCTTCTTTGTACTCTTTTTTCAGTCATTTTAAGACTAGTATTGGGCTGGGCCGGATGGCTCATGCCTGTAATCTCAGCACTTTGGGAGGCCAAGAGGGGCGGATCACCTGGGGTCAGGAGTTTGAGACAGGCCTGGCCAACATGGCAAAACCCCATCTCTACTAAAAATACAAAAATTAGCCAGGGGTGGTGGCGCTCGCCTGTAGTCCCAGCTACTCTGGAGGCTGAGCCAGGAGAATCGCTTGAACCTGGGAGGCGGAGGTTGCATCTAGCCAAGATCGCGCCGCTGCACTCCAGCCTGGGTGATGACAGAGCGAGACTCCATCTCAAAAAAAAAAAAAAAAAAAGACTAGCATTGATTGGCCAGGCATGGTGGCTCACGCCTGTAATCCCAGCACTTTGGGAGGCCGAGGCAGGTGGATCACCTGAGGTCGGGAATTTGAGACCATCCTAGCCAACATGGAGAAACCCAGTCTCTACTAAAAATACAAAATTAGCCGGGCATGGTGGCACATGCCTGTAATCCCAGGGAGACTGAGGCAGGAGAATCACTTGAACCTGGGAGGCAGAGGTTGTGGTGAGCCGAGGTCACGCCATTGCACTCCAGCCTGGGCAACAACAGTGAAACTCTGTCTCAAAAAAAAAAAAAAAAAAAAAGACTAGCATTGATTTTATTACATGTATATAATGGAAAAAAGGAAACAAGATTATCATTGATAAAAATATCAGCTACCTCTTTTTTTTTCCCCACAGAGTCTCACTTTATCGCCCAGGCTGGAGTGCAGTGGCATGATCTCAGCCCATGGCAATCTTCGCCTTCCAGGTTCAAGTGATTCCTGTGCTTCAGCCTCCCGAGTGGCTGGGACTACAGGCGCCCACCATCGCGCCTGGCTAATTTTTGTATTTTTAGTAGAGACCCGGTTTTATCATGTTGGCCAGGCTGGTCTTGAACTGCTGACCTCAAGTGATCCACCGCGCCCAGCCAAAGCTACCATTATTTGAATGCTTATTATGTGCTAAGGTAGATGTCTATATACATAGATACAGTCATATTCATTTTATACATATAAATATGTATGTACATTATATATATGCATATTTTATGTATAAAATGAGTATCATATATATACACTTATATGTGTGAAATGAGTATATTTATACACATGTACAAGTGTGCACACACACTCATTTAATTTAATCTCCATAGTCCACCCCATTTTGTAAAAGAAACTGAAGGTGAAGTTTGGAGAGATTAAGGCACATATTTTAAAAAGTATCAGGGCCTGGTGCAGTGGCTTACGCCTGTAATCCCAGCACTTTGGGAGGCCAAGGCAGGTAGATCAGGTAGATCACTCAAGGTCAGGAGTTCAAGACCAGCCTGGCCAACATGGTGAAACCCCATCTCTACTAAAAATACAAAAATTAGCTTGATGTTGTGGCACATGCTTGTAATTCCAGCTATTTGGAAGGGTGAGGCAAGAGGATGGCTTGAACCCAGGAGGCGTAGGTTGCAGAGAGCCAAGATCACACCATTGCACTCCAGCCTGGCGACAGATTGACACTCCATCTCAAAAAAAAAAAAAAGTATCAGGCTGAGCCAGGTCTATCTGACCAGACTCTGCCCTTTTAGCCACTACACTGTGCTCCCTTTAGAAAAAACAGTTGCAGGCGTGACAGTTGCATTACATTTATTTCATATATTTGAATTAAAATTGGAGACTCAGGCTTGTTGTTTAAAAAAATTCTAAGTGGTCATCTTGTTTACAATTTCCAGGCTATTTCCACACCCCCAGATTTTTGCAGAAAGATAGTCTTTTATCCTGTCTTGTTAAAGTTTATTAACTGAGGTCTGTTGTCTCCCTTAGTGCTATACTTAATCAGCTACTGACAGTTTGTTCTTAAAAACAATCAAAATCCTTGCTAGAGTGGTTGAAAGTTCTTATCCTCCTTTAGCAATAATTGGTAGGATTAAAATTGCATTGCCTGAAAGGCTGAGGTGTTTGCACTTAGATGCTGCAAGGGAGACCTGGTGTGGCCAGGTCTGGAGAGGGCTGCAGTCAGGAAGCCTGCACTCTGCTTGGAGAGCACATGGCTTTGGAGAGCTATGGGCTATTTGTAGTCGGGAGCAAAACTCTCTCTCCTTAGGATCAGGCCTGGCCTTGCTCAGAGACTGCAGAGTCACCCATACCCTGCAGGCAGAACAGCCAGGCACACGCAAGTGCCTCTGCCCTCAGGTTGATCCATGTTGCCATGGGCAGTGTGAAGG
The DNA here is from genome assembly GCF_000001405.40 of Homo sapiens. Classification (NCBI taxonomy): domain Eukaryota; kingdom Metazoa; phylum Chordata; class Mammalia; order Primates; family Hominidae; genus Homo; species Homo sapiens. The sequence goes on from NC_000014.9 coordinate 103,496,175, forward strand.
CCTCCTCCTGCAGCTGCCTCCTTCCTCTTTATACCTCAAGGGATTATAGGAGGAAAAGTTAAGAAAAGCACTTCTATAGTAATTGACCAGTAACCCTGATTTTTCCGGTGGAAGATTAGGAAATGTCCAGGCACCATGGCTCATGCCTATAATCCCAGCACTTTGGGAGGCTGAGCCACATGGATCACTTGAGCCCAGGAGTTCAAGACCAGCCTGGACAACATAATGAGACCCCATCTCTACTTTTTTTTTTTTTGAGACGGAGTCTCGCTCTGTCACCCAGGCTGGAGTGCAGTGGCACGATCTTGGTTCACTGCAGTGTCTGCCTCCTGGGTTCAAGCGATTATCCTGCCTCAGCCTCCCCAGTAGCTGGGACTACAGGTGCATGTCACCACGCCCAGCTAATTTTTGTATTTTTAGTAGAGACAGGGTTTCACCATGTTGGCCAGGCTGGTCACAAACTCCTGACCTCAAGTGATCCGCCCACCTCAGCCTCCCAAAGTGCTGGGATTACAGGCATGAGCCACCACACCCAGCCTTTTATTTTTTTAATAAAAAGAAAAAAAGTTGGGAAATGGGCCAGGCACTGTACATGGCTCATGCCAGTAATCCTGACACTTTGGGGGAAGGTGAGGCAGGAGGATCATTTGAAGCCAGGAGTTCAAGGCTGACCTGGGCAACATAATGAGACCCCCATCTCTACAAAAACATTTTTTAATTAGCCAGGAGTGGTGGTGCATGCCTGTAGTCCCAGCTACTTGAGAGGCTGAGGCAGGAGGATTGCTCAAACCCAGGAGTTTGAGGTTACAGTGAGCTATGATCACACCACTGTACTCCAGCCTGGGTGATTGAGCAAGACCTTGTCTCTAAATAAATAAATATTTAAAAGTAAAAGAAAATTAGGAAACGAAAATATATCTTAAAGACTTTTAATCATTTTCAACTAAAATATTTTGGATAATACTGCCTTATATTTAGGCAGTATATATTAAAGATTTTCACATGCATGATTGTACTGTCGATGACCCTGCTGTATACTACTGATCTGATTATGAAGTGGTTGGCAGTTATTTATAGTAGTTAGACTTTTTTTAAATTGGTAGATTAATACCTAAAGCAATGCCAAAGTTATCCCAACCAAGGATTTCATTAATTTAGTCATTCAGCAGATATAGATGACTGCCTGCTATGTACAGTTACAGAACTGGACTTTACAAATAGAAATTAACAAACTCAGCCTATTTTTGCCCAGGGAAGCTGATCGCATTGATCATAAAAACCTCATTCGTAGTTTGAAAAATATTTTGTCAGATTATTTTCAGCACAACCTGCACATCTCCTTAAATTTTTTTAATGACCAGAGTTACCCCTTTTAAATAGAATTCTTCGTGTTTACTACATAAAAGTAAAATTCATACTGTTGTCTTGACACTTAGTTTTTATTCATTTTGAGATCTAAGACTGAAAAGTCTACTTGTTTAAATCCCCAATCACCTATTTTTTTCTTAAAAAGTGATTTATGTCATACCACTGTAGCAAATAATATGTTAATGTTTGTTTCATTTTCCTGAAAGAAGTAATGATTTTTACTTAGTGGTTAAATATTTTATAATGAAATTTTTAATGTTTATGTAATAAGGCAAGATTTTTGTTCATAAGGTATTCTGAAGAAAATTGAAAAATGTTTTATTACTAGTACATTGCAAATGTCTTGTCACTTCTTTAACATAAGACATAAATTTTATCTTAGAAAGTGTATCTGGCCATTGCAGTGGCTCATGCCTGTAATCCCAACACTCTGGGAGGCCGAGGTGGGCTGATCACTTGAGGCCAGGAGTTCGAGACTAGACTGGCCAACATGGCAAAACCCTATCTCTACTGAAAATATAGAAATTAACTGGGCATGGTGGCGCGCGCCTGTGATTCCAGCTACTCAGGAGACTGAGGCACAAGAATTGCTTCAACCCGGGAGGCATAGGTTGCATTGAGCTGAGATTGCACCACTGCACTGTGACAGAGTGAGACTCTGTCTTTAAAAAAAAAAAAAAAGTGTGTCCATCTGAAGAACTTTTAATTACAGCTAATGTCAATATGTACTGCTAAACCTTTTCTTACTTTTTTTTGATATATTAAAAGATCACATACTCATTTAATTACCTGTAATAATTTTACTTTTTCAACAAATGTCAGCATTTCTTTGTTCATTGGCCAGAGAAGGAACCCTGCTTTGTTTTTTTTCTTTCTCTCTGTAATTGATTAGATTTTCTGTTTAATTTGTGCGAGTTATTTTTGTTAATTTTTTTTTTTTTTTACTTAATTTCTTTTAGAAACATGTCATTCAGGTTTATCAAAAGGTAGGATTTATATATACACATTTATTTTTCAATCCTCACTCCCAAATGGCTCCTGCAATTAACATTAGGTTTGGCTTTCTGGCCCTGTTTTTTCCTTATAAACTAAACTTTCTGCTGATAACTAAATACTTAATTCCTTGAAAGGAAATTGAAAAGAAATAGATTAACTCTGTCAGGCATTTTAAAGGGACTATGGTACCCATGCAACAAAAGGCTGATGCATGCTCTGTGTATTTTCTTTCTTTGGTAGAATTATTTAGCATCCAAATAATTCTGTCTTCATACTAATAACACTTAGCATGCTCCTGTTTGAAGAATGAGATGCTCAGTAATGTTAATGTACAATTAATGATTATCCACAGGCATGCAAAAGGTAAGTATTAGTTGTGTTATTTTTATTTCACTGAGGATGGAATTAGCAAAAGGCTTTAAAATGACAGGAAAATTAGCTAATACAGAAAACAAGCATAAAATTCAAAGCTACAGCCTCATTTGATTTGGCTTTTTCAGAAATTAAAATGTGAACAGCTGCGTAGCAGAAATGTTTTAATATTTTCAGAGTTGAAAGCCACTTTCCAGCAACCACTGAAGAAAGAGTATCTCATTATTTTTACTTAAAGCACTACAGAAAGTGGTGTTCTGATTTTATTAATATTTTTTAGGCCAGGCATGGTGGCTTATGCCTGTAATCCCAGCACTTTGGGCGGATCACTTGAGCCCAGGAGTTCAAGACCATCCTGGACAACATGGCAAAACCCCGCCTCTACAAATAATATAAAAATTAGCCGGGCATGGTGGCACGCATCTGTGGTCCCAGCTACTCAGGAGGCTGAGGCAGGAGGATCACCTGAGCCCTGGGAGGTCAAGGTTGCAGTGAGCCATGATCATGCCACTGTGCTCCAGCCTAGGGGAGTGAGACCCTGCCTCAAAAAAGAAAAACATATTTTTTGATGGTGATAATCAAGAAACCAAAAATATTGCTTTCTTAATGCACACATGAGGCAGGAAATCTTTCCTGAAGGGCTACATTGTACCTGTGCCTCTCAAGTCACCAGAAGGCCAAGCTGCAGGTCAAAACTGCGGGAAAAGCACTTTCTTCCTGTTGGCAGTTCCATTCTATTATTATTTTTTAATTGATCTTCCCACTTGTCTGATTTTTCCTTGGACAGAACAGGTAATAACTGAATATAGAATCCAGCTGATAGCCTCATTGGCTTTTAATTGGAAACCCATTATACTGTGTGGCACAATTAGAAAGTGAGAATAACCCCATTCTGAGGCCGAGTGTGCTCAGGCTGAAGAGCCAGCAGGAGTGCCCGCTGTGCGTGCGTGGTGTGCGGTGTGTGCAGTGTGCAGCGTGCAGCGGTATGGCATGCAATGTGTGTGATGTATGCAGTGTGCAGCATGGAGCTGGCCCCTGTGCACACCCCTGCAGCCTTGTGGAAGAAGGTAGCGCTGGCTCAGTCAAATGAGAGGAAGAGTTTTCATAAGCCCGGCTGGTGTTTAAAACGTGTTTTGGCTTTGTTCATTTTATGGTGTTGGTGTTGGTATTGGTGGTCATGTACTGGCATGTAAGATTTCTTTTCTCTTTCCCTCTTCTCTCTGCTTCTACATTCTGTTCATTGAGGCTTCCAACTGAATATGAGAGGAACGGGAGATATGAGGGCTCAAGGTGAGGGAAATGATTTTTACTTAAAATTTTTTTCAGGTGTTTACTTCATTTCTGTGGCAGAGGCGACTATTTTCTGAATGTTCCCTACTGTATTCCTGCTGTCTCTGTAGGAGTTACGTAGAGAGGGTGGCCACAAGGGGGCGCCAGCCTGCCATGAGCACCGTCCAGATCCAGCTTGGCCTCCGCTCTACATTTGTGTTTGTGTTCAAAGCACGGCGAGGCCTTCAGCCTTCCTGCCTGGGCGTTAACAGCCTTTGGAGGTCTGGGTTGGGTAGCAGTGCTCAGAGAAATAAGCCCTCAGTTCATCACTGACCCCTCACATGGTTCTCTTCACAAGGAATAAAAGCAAAGTACTTAATAGAATGTCCATATTTCAAACTAGATATGTTTTCTTCTAAGAATGGTGATTATATAGTTGAGTGTTTTGCTTTTCTTTTTTTTTTTTCTGAGACACGGTGTCGCTCTGTCACCCAGTCTGGAGTGTAGTGGCGTGATCAGGGCTTACTCGAGTTCCCAGGCTTATGCGATCCTCCCACCTCAGCCTCCTGAGTATCTGGAACCACAGGCACTGCCACCATGCTGGCTAATTTTTGTATTTTCTGTAGAGATGGGGGTCTCGCCATGTTGGCCGGGCTGGTCTCAAACTCCTAGGCTCAAGTGAACCTCCCACCTCAACCTCCCAAAGTGCTGGGATGACAGACATGAGCCCCCGCACCCAGCCTTGCTTTTCCATTTTGTATAGTTATCATTGCATGGATTTGAGGGGAGGCAATCACCAGGTAGCCTTAGGACTCTATGTCCCTTGTTCTAGGTCTCTTCCACTTGTGCCCTTTTTTTATGCCAGTCACCAGCAGGCTATTTCAGGTCCTCATTCACCGTTTGTCCTTTTGGTCTTTCTAAAAGCCCGCTTCTGGTCATATGACCTTTCTGAATTAAAACCTTCAGTGACCTCCACTATTTCACCTGGCCACGTCCCTGCGAGGCCCTGAGTGGCGTGGTCCAGGCTGCCCCAGCAGCCCCAGCTCTGCTGCCCCATCAAGGCAGAGCACTAGGGTGAGTGCCAGGCAGCATTCCCTCTCCAGGCCTACCCATCCCAGCCAGGAGCAGGCTCTAGATCCTGGTTTGTTTCCCCACCCATAATAGGAAGGTGACATAATAGGACCTACGTGGGCATCAAGTAAGTTGGGGCCTGACCACCACAAGTGCTCATTAAGTGCCACCAGCTGTTGTGGGGGTGATGACACTGTGCCTCCAGTTCCACTCAGTCTGTGTACTTTATTATGCCACAGACACATCCTGTACTTTCCTACCTCCCCTTTGGCTGTGATCCCCTCTACTCAAAACAAACACTCTTCCCTATCTTCATTGCATTTTGTTGAAATCCCATGGCTCTTCATAGCTCTCCTCAGATGCAGGCCCACCCCCACCCGTGCTGTTTCCTCCTTGTCTCATCCTGCCTGTCACGTTCTCCTGCTCGGCGGGCTCCACCTCTTCTGCTGCCCTCTAGGAGATGGCCAGCCTTTCCTGTGCTGCCACTGTTGTCTCACCTTACAGTCTTCCTGGCTCCAGATGAGTTTGAGAGCTTTTGCTTATCTTTGTAACCCATTTAGTATCTAACGTGGCATTTTATACATAGGAAGCTTCTCTCATCAGTATTGGTGGATGTGAACCAAATTGAATACTGGCAGGTTGGTGACACGGAGAGCTATGTGCATATGCAAAAGCTGTAGCCCCTCACCTCTGGTTAGTTGGCCATAGGATGGAGTGTACTTAAGGTACATAGACTATTTTACTCCCAAGAATGCTAGGCACTCACTGTCTTAATTGAGGCCACCAGATACACACATGAGAATATAAATAACGGCTTGTGGCAATAATGACTAAATGCCAAGGAGTGGCTGGTAAACCGCGGTGTTCCCTAGAGACCCCGGCCTGGGCTCTACTTAGGCTGCCTCTTGGACATCAGACCAAGGCTTACATTCTGAATCCACAGGGCATCCACATGGGTGGTGTCAGTCCCCCACAGACAGAGAAGTGTCCCGTTGCATTTTTCCATCTATTCCAGTAGTAAGATTGTGTCATTTGAGATTTTCTTTAACTGTATAATTGGACGTTTAATTAACAAACCAGAGAGGAGGAAAAACAATGAGGTGGGTAGAGCATCATGTTCAGCCTCAGGGCTGTACAGCAAAGCAATTTTAGACTGCGGATGTTGAGTCTCCAGTTACCCTGAGTGCCAGTTACAGTGATTCACATCTGAAAGAACAGTACTGCAGGAGAGGGACAGCCCAGGGTGGATGGGTGGGGTGGGCAGGAGCTGGCTGGCAACTCCTTCCCTGAGCTGGGCCTGCAGAGCCCTGAGGAGTGGGGCATGCTGTCCTTTTTGCCTGATTTCCAAGGATTCTGCTTAACGAATTACTTCGTTCATTTTAGTAAGCACAGGTGGCTGGTGAAGATTTTCCAGCTAGGTAGATCTTTTTGTGTGTGGCTTATGACTTTTAGGGGGTGAGGGAAGAAAATAGACGAAAATAGACTTAGTTACAAATGTGAGTCTGTGCAGGAAAATGTGGAGGTCAGTCGTTAGTTGTGTTGTATCAAAGACGTGAATGAGGAACTAGCTGAAGTGTAAGAGGTTGATTTTCCTGTACGATTAAAAATAAACCTGCCTCTATGCATTTCAGTCGCAATGTATCTGCTGAGCAAAAAGATGAAAACAAAGAAGCAAAGCCTCGATCCCTACGCTTCACCTGGAGCATGAAAACCACTAGTTCAATGGATCCCGGGGACATGATGCGGGAAATCCGCAAAGTGTTGGACGCCAATAACTGCGACTATGAGCAGAGGGAGCGCTTCTTGCTCTTCTGCGTCCACGGAGATGGGCACGCGGAGAACCTCGTGCAGTGGGAAATGGAAGTGTGCAAGCTGCCAAGACTGTCTCTGAACGGGGTCCGGTTTAAGCGGATATCGGGGACATCCATAGCCTTCAAAAATATTGCTTCCAAAATTGCCAATGAGCTAAAGCTGTAACCCAGTGATTATGATGTAAATTAAGTAGCAATTAAAGTGTTTTCCTGAACACTGATGGAAATGTATAGAATAATATTTAGGCAATAACGTCTGCATCTTCTAAATCATGAAATTAAAGTCTGAGGACGAGAGCACGCCTGGGAGCGAAAGCTGGCCTTTTTTCTACGAATGCACTACATTAAAGATGTGCAACCTATGCGCCCCCTGCCCTACTTCCGTTACCCTGAGAGTCGGTGTGTGGCCCCATCTCCATGTGCCTCCCGTCTGGGTGGGTGTGAGAGTGGACGGTATGTGTGTGAAGTGGTGTATATGGAAGCATCTCCCTACACTGGCAGCCAGTCATTACTAGTACCTCTGCGGGAGATCATCCGGTGCTAAAACATTACAGTTGCCAAGGAGGAAAATACTGAATGACTGCTAAGAATTAACCTTAAGACCAGTTCATAGTTAATACAGGTTTACAGTTCATGCCTGTGGTTTTGTGTTTGTTGTTTTGTGTTTTTTTAGTGCAAAAGGTTTAAATTTATAGTTGTGAACATTGCTTGTGTGTGTTTTTCTAAGTAGATTCACAAGATAATTAAAAATTCACTTTTTCTCAGTAAAATCTTGCATTGTCTCCTAATGCTGTATTTAACACATCCTCAAGTTGAGCAGAAGTAATGTGTATGAAGGCTTGGGGCCACGTGGACCTTCGCAGGGGTCCCAGCATTTTGTGATTACCAGCATATTTTTTCTCCCAAGGCAATAAAGAGAGAAGATGGCCCTCATGGTGACCCAAGAAGGAAGGGAATCCAGAGCAGCTGCAGCTTAACCCTGGGAGTTGTGGCACAGCCCTATGGAGAAACACCAGGTCTTGACAGTTCTGGGTTGGTTCTCTGTGAAGTATGTAAATTTCCTTTCTCCTTTCTTGTGATTCAGTACATGAATCAGACCTGCAGCTTTTGTCCAACACCTACATGGTTGTGTAGGGGTAATGAGCTCATAACTCATTGTGTTGCTTTATTCTCACAGGGAAGTTGTCACACTGATTGGTGTGCTATTCTGGGTTCTGGGTTTGTTGTTGGTCAGAGTATGAAAGTCTGGAGGCCGGACACAGTGGCTCACACCTGTGAACCCAGCACTTTTGGGAGGCTGAGGCTGGAGGAACATTGAGTCTGGTAGTTCAGGACCAGCTTGGACAACATGGTAAGACCCCATGTCTTCAAAAAATAAAAACATGGGCCAGGGGCGGTGGCTCACGCCTGTAATCCCAGCAATTTGGGAGGCTGAGGCAGGCGGATCACAAGGTAAGGAGATCAAGACCAACTTGGCTAACACGGTGAAACCCCGTCTCTACTAAAAATACAAAAAAATTAGCCGGGCATGGTGGCGGGCACCTGTAGTTCCAGCTACTTGGGAGGCTGAGGCAGGAGAATGGCGTGAACCCGGGAGGGGAGCTTGCGGTGAGCCGAGATCGCGCCACTGCACTCCAGCCTGGGCGCTAGAGCAAGACTCCGTCTCAAAAAAATAATAATAATAAAATAAATAAATAATAAAAACATCAGCCAAGTGTGGTGGCACACCTGTGGTCCCAGCTCTTCGGGATGCTGAGGTGGGAGGCTTGAGCCCAGGAGGTTGAAGCTGCAGTGAACTGTGATTGTGCACAGCACTCCAGCTTGGGCAACAGAATGAGACCCTGTCTCAAAAAAAAAAGAAAGAAAAAGGAAAAAGTCTGGACAGTCAATCAGAAATATTGTTGTCTCTCTCTAGCGTGGGCAAGGCACTGTTGTGATTGAGATCCTCAGCAAAACAGACACCTCTCTCCTTGAGCCTGACATTCTAGGCAGTGGATAAACAAGTAAGTTACCTAGTATGGAGCACAGCAGCACGTGTGAGAGAGCGCAGAGCAGGCACGGGTTTCATCAGCACTCTGGGTGTGAAGAGTGCTGCTTGGGCAGAGGCCTGGGTGGGCACGTTCACACAGATTTCTGGGGAAGAGCACTGCTTGGGCCTGAGGCCTGAGTGCATGGCGTGCCTGGAGCAGAGCGTAGAGATGCTTCTCCTACATGGCAGCAGCTGAGGGGATGACAAGGGCCTTGTGGCCTTGGGCTTTCAGAGGATCACCAGGCAGCTATGTTTGGAACTCACTGAAATGGGGCAAGGAGAAGCTGGGAAAGCCGCCTGGAGGCTCTCAGCAGTAATACAGGCAAGAGGTAGTGCAGCCTTGGGTGAGGATGGGCCTTGGCGCTGATGGTGGTTGGGTTTTGGACATGTTTTGAAATAAGAGGCAACTGCATTTTCCCTGGAGTTGGATATGAGGTGAGTAGAGCCAAGGACAGCTTCATGATTTTTGATCTGAACAGCAAAAAGGCCGGAATTGCTGTTTGTTGAGATGCGGAATGTGGCTGGGGAGATGTTTGGGAACAGGAGGGGAAGAAGATGAAGAGAGCAAGCTGGAATGTGCTGAGTTTGAAGTCCCTTTAAACACTGAGTGGCAACGTCTAGTGGGCAGTTGGATAAACGTGAGGGGTTCGGCCAGGCGCAGTGGCTCACTCCTGTAATCCCAGCACGTTGGGAGGCCGAGGTGGGTGGATCACGAGGTGAGGAGATCGAGACCATCCTGGCTAACACGGTGAAACCCCGTCTCTACTAAAAATACAGAAAATTAGCCAGGCGTCGTGGCAGGCGCCTGTAGTCCCAGCTACTCGGGAGGCTGAGGCAGGAGAATGGCGTGAAGCCGGGAGACGGAGCTTGCAGTGAGCCGAGATCGCGCCACAGCACTCCAGCCTGGGCAACAGAGCGAGACTCTGTATTAAAAAAAAAAAAGTGTGAGGGTTGGGAGAGGTCGGGTCTGGGAGAGACCATAGGAAGCCCTCAGCAGGTGGAAGGCTCCTGCTCAAAGCTGTGAGACAGAGGAGAAACCAGGACTGAGCCCTGGACACAGCACGGGGAGAGGCCCCGGGGAGAAGAAGTGAAGCTGGCAAGGCAGCAGCAAGGAGGGAGGGCCCTCCAGGTGTCAGGCAGGTGGACATCATGACCTAAGGCTCACCTTGCGGGAACTTTCTAACTTGACTTTTAGCAAGTAAGTCCCCTTCCCTCTCTCTGTCCAGTGCCTTTCAGAGTGGAGTCCTCTAACGGAGCTGATTGTGCCCAGTCACAGACAGTGAGGACTTCCCCAGCTTTTTTTGCCTGGTGCAAGCTGGTTTTTATATCCCATTAAAGCATCATAAAGCCAACCCGGACAAGAGAATTGGGATGTCTCTCTGCACACATGAGCCTTTTTGTTTGTTTGTTTGTTTCCCCGGAGACGGAGTCTTGCTCTGTTGCCCAGGCTGGAGTGCAGTGGCGTGATCTCGGCTCACTGCAAGCTCCACCTCCTGGGTTCTTGCCATTCTCCTGCCTCAGCCTCCTGAGTAGCTGGGACTACAGGCACCCGCCACCATGCCTGGCTAATTTTTTTGTATTTTTAGTAGAGACGGGGTTTCACCATGTTAGCCAGGATGGTCTCGATCTCCTGACCTCGTGATCCACCCGCCTTGGCCTCCCAAAGTGCTGGGATTACAGGCGTGAGCCACTGCGCCCGGCACACATGAGCCTCTTTAAGGAGATCTACACACAGACTTCTCTCCCCCTTTGCTGTCCTTGTCTGTCACTGTCCCTTCTGCTGAGCAGAAAACCAAGGAGATGTTCTGCCATAAATTACTTCCTCCTCTGGGTAGATGTTTCTGAGCTGTTCTATGAAATTCATGACTACGAAACTGACTTCCTTAAGATTCCTACCCCAAGGCCAGGCGCAGGGGCTCATGTCTGTAATCCCAACAATTTGGGAGGCCGAGGCGGGTGGATCACCTGAGTTCAGGAGTTCGAGACCAGCCTGGCCAACATGGTGAAACCCCGTCTCTACAAAAATATAAAAAAAAATTAGCCAGGCATGTGGCGCACACCTGTAATCCCAGCTACTCGGGAGGCGGAGACAGGAGAATCGCTTGAACCCAGGAGGCGAAGGTTGCAGTGAACCGAGATCTTGCCATTATGCTCAAACCTGGGCAACAGAGCAAGACTTCATCTCAAAAAAAAAAAAAGATTCCTACCCCAGAAACACCCATCACAGCAGGTTCCTGTGCATAATTTCTGCAGAGGTGGAGCAGAGCCCTGCCAAGCAGAGGCTGGGCCACAGCGGACTTCCTCTTCCTTATCTTTGTAGCTGGGACTGATTTTGAATTGTTTTCCATTTTTGCATTCTCAAGGACACATTGAGTACTAGAAGTTAAATTCCTTTAAGAAAAATGAGTTTCTGGAATGCCCTGATGCAGTGGCCACTCTTTATGCTCGTATTTTCTTGAGGGGCTCACTTGTCATAAGCAGTGGCTGCGTTTTAATGTGTTACTTGGTCAAATAAGGAGTGCGTGTCTCAGAGACTAGTATTCATCCACAGAAAGTTACCCAAGTGCGTTATGTTTATAAGACTATGTTACTAATTGATCTTGGCTTGATTTTCATGGCAACATGGGTAGTATTCCCTTTACGAAGGTTAAAATGTGAAAACTCATTCATTACTAAGGTTCCAGGCCCTTTCTATAGATTCTCCATTCTCAGAATGTGACATTTTTATTCTGCATACAATGAATTTTGAAAAGGGATATTCTACGACCATTGAAAATCAAAAGAGACTGCATTTTTCCCTCATCAACCACCTGGAAATCTCTCAGAAGTGAGGTGAGACACCTAGTGGGGCTGTGCTGCTGGTTTGATTTACCTGCCAAGCAGAGCATTCTCCTAATCCTGACAATGGTGTTCCTCTTCGTTGAGTGCCGACTTCCCTCTCTTCTACATCAGGCACATTAGAGGAACCAAAACCATACTCCTACAAGTAAGTGAGGTGCCCAGCTCTCAGGCCACCTTTGCATTTCTGAAAGTGAGGGTCCATGCAGAAAACTGTTACAGAAACATGACTGGCTTTTAGGAGCACAGCCGTGATCATTTTCACAGCATATGCTTCTCCAAAAGCCTAGACAATAATGATTTCTATTTTATTTTATTTTATTTTTTTATTTTTTTAAGACAGAGTCTCACGCTGTGGCTCAGGCTGGAGTGCAGTGGCGCGATCTCGGCTCACTACAAGCTCCGTCTCCCGGCTTCACACCATTCTCCTGCCTCAGCCTCCCGAGTAGTTGGGACTACAGGCACCTGCCACCACGCCTGGCTAATTTTTTCTATTTTTTAGTAGAGACGGGGTTTTGCCGTGTTAGCCAGGATGGTCTTGATCACCTGACCTCGTGATCCTCCCGCCTCGACCTCCCAAAGTACTGGAATTACAGGCGTGAGCCACTGTGCCCATGATGATGCTTAGAATAATGATATTTAGAAGAAAAACCTCCATACATGGGCCTGTGAATAAATTATAGTCACTATGGAAGCTGCGTCAGGCAGCCCCTACCCAGTAAGCGACCTTCGTGCTGACCTTCAGGTCTGCAGAGCAGTTGCCCCTTCCATGGGTGTGGCACCAGGCAGAGCAGGGGCAGAAGAGGGGTGTTTCCCACGCACTGTCCCTTCCAGTCCGTCTCAGAGGGGCATCAAAATGAGAAAGAGCTTGTGCTCAAGAGTTGAAACCTTACGACTCTGTTGCAGGTTTTTTGTTTCTTTCATTGCTGGTTTGCCACGCAGCTCAGGGGCCCTTTAGACGGGAGAGATTGTTGCTCTTCAAGGGAGTGAAGTGAAGATGGTGCCTTAGAGGTGTTCTGACAGTGCACGGGGAGTCCCGGAGTGACTCCTCCATGAGTGGAAGGAACTCAGTGTCATTGCCAGTCGAGGAGAAAGGAAACAGTTCAACAGCTATTTTTGTTTGTTTTGTTTGTCTTGGGTTTGTTTTGTTTCGTTTTGTTTTTGAGACAGGGTTTCGTTCTGTCACCCAGACTGAAGTACAGTGGCGCAATCACAGCTCAGTGCAGCCTTGACCTCCTGGGCTCAAGTGATCCTCCCACCTCAACCTCCTGAGTAGCTGGGACCACAGGCTTGTGCCCAGCTAATTTTATTTTTCGTACAGACAGGGTCTTGTTCTGTTGCCTAGGCTGGTTTGAATTCCTGGGCTCAGGCAATCCTCCTACCTCAGCCTCCCAAAGTACTGGGACTACAGGCGTGAGCCACCTCACCCAGCCCCAACAACTATTTTTGAATGGTTCCTTGAAAAGTTCCATTAAAGGCCAGGCACAGTGGCTCACACCAATAATCCCAGCATTTTGGGAGGCTGAAGTGGATGGATCACTTGAGGTCAGGATTTCAAGACCAGCCTGGCCAACATGGCAAAACCCCATCTCTACTAAAAATACAAAAATTAGCTGGGCGTGGTGGCATGCACCTGGAGTCCCAGCTACTTGGGAGGCTAAGACACGAGAATAGCTTGAACCCAGGAGGCAGAGGTTGCAGTGAGCCAAGATTGCACCACTGCACTCCAGCCTGGATGGCAGAGCCAGACCCTGTCTCCGAAAAAAAAAAAAAAAATCACACACTAACCCTCTTCTCTTCCTCCCTCTCCTGGCTTAGCCAGTGCAGTCAAGTCCTTGAATGGCGTGCTCCCTGGCCCTCAGGAGAGGACATTGCCTATCGAGTGGAGACTTGGTAAGGAAATTGTTCCCATTTCTAAGATGGAGAGTTCTGGACTCTGGACCTTCTATTAGGAGTTTACAGGCCTGTACTGCCACCTCCCTGGGCCAGAGCTTTTGCAGATATTCCTAGAGAACAGGTAAAAGCAATGAGCTTGGGGTAAGAGCTTAGACCAACTGAAGGCTCTCTGCCTCCCTCCTCCTCTAAGAGGCCTGCCCTGGCTGTGACACCAAAAAGCGCACTCGGGCCTCTGTGCCCAACTCTGCCCTTTCACCATCTGCCCCTGTCACACCAACGTCAGCATGAGTTACACAGTTGTGTTGCCCTTTGTGGCTACTCTCCCCACACTTACTAGAATGTGAGCCCCATGCGGCAGCGATCTTCATCCTTTTTCTTTTCCTCTATTCCAAGTACCTAGAATAGTGCCTGGCAAAGGCACTTAGTGCACAATTAGTGTTTTTTAAAAAAAAAATGATAGGAAGCAAGCAGGAGATACATAGCAAGTACAAGACATTTTCAGTGGCTTGCAGTCAAAAGTGTCACTGAGGTCCCCCCAGCTGCCCCTGCCCCGGCTGGCCCAAGGATGAGATAGGTGGCTGCTCTGGGGTCATGTCTTGCTTTATAGCCTGGCCTGTTGGGTCTCCAGGAGCCTTTTGAGTCTTGCCTGTTTGACAGAGAAGACTGAGGCCCAGAGGACGGAAGGGATGGGACTGGCACCCAGTGAGCTTTTCCCTTCATCAAGATGCTTACACAGGTGATGTCCATCATTCAGCTTGGGTCAGGTGCAGACCATGCACGTGGTGGTGGTGCGTGCGATGGACATGAAGTAGCTGACCCTGTGTAGAGATGACATTTCCCATCGGGTGTGGAACTGGGAGTTCAACCCTTTGGCTTACCACCCTAATCTGCATCCACACTAGAGAGTCACACAGCCCAGGTAGTATTTGGATTTCAACCCCGGGAAAGAATAGCAACCTGCCGCTTGGTGGCAGCATGGGAGCTGGGGTTTAGTGAGGAGGGGAAGCAGTTGTGTAGGCATCAGCAGTCATAGCACCAGGCCGAGGCGAGACCCTCCGAGCGGAGTCCGGCTGGTTAAAGGGCCTGCACGGGTCTCTCACAGAAGAAGGAAAGCTGGTCCTGAGGGTGGAGCCAGGGGAATCTGGGGGCCACTTCAGCATTCTTTGTTGCCATTGGCTTTGGTTCAGTAAGCTTTGTTGATTTATTTTGTTGTTGTTATTGTTGTTAGAGTGATGGGGCTGATTGCTTATAAGTTCTGAGGTTCTTATTTGCGTTTCCAGCTCCCTGGGTATTCATTCATACCTGGTTTCTGGCTGTGGTGAAATGTCTTCTGACCAAGTGGGTTGATAAACAGGGGGCTTCGCTGGAGCGGGGGCAGGGGGCGCGGTCACTGAACAGAGAAAAAACTCAACTCATCCTCATCTCTGAGGGGACTCTTTCCCCCAGCCAGTGCCTTCTGCAGTTTCCTGCTCTATCTATATTCCACCCACTTAACCCACCTCTAAGAGTTATTTTAAAACAGCATTCTAGAACCCATCTCTCAAGCAAGAGGGAAGTCTCCAATGGCTCATCCTGTGCCCCGCCTGCATCTGCGGGCACCTGCAGTGCCGGGACGCTCACAGCCCGCCCCCAGGACCTGTGGGGGGAGTTCAGCTGCTTCGGCTGCTTCTGCTGCTCCGCGTGCACATGGGCCTCCTTACCACCCTGGCAGTCTCCTCCTCTTGGAAGTTTTAACTATTCAAGACTCAATGGCCAGGCGCGGCGGCTCATGCCTGTAATCCCAGCACTTTGGGAAGCTGAGGCAGGAAGATCACTTGAGGTCAGGAATCGAGACCAGCCTAGCCAACCTGGTGAAACCCCGTCTCTGCTAAAAATACAAAAAATAATAATTAGCCAGGCATAGTGGCAGTGCCTGTAATTCCAGCTACTCAAGAGGCTGAGGCAGGAGAATCACTTGAACCTGGGAGGTGGAGGTCGGAGTGAGCTGAGACCACGCCACTGGACTCCAGCCTGGGCGACAGAGCAAAACTCTATCTCACAAACAAAAACAAGGCCGGGCACAGTGGCTCACGCCTGTAATCCCAGCACTTTGGGAGGCCGAGGCGGGCAGATCACGAGGTCAGGAGTTCGAGAGCAGCTTGGCCAACATAGTGAAACCCCGTCTCTACTAAAAATACAAAAATTAGCCGGGTGTGTTGGCACGTGCTTGTAGTCCCAGCTACTTGGGAGGCCGAGGCGGGAGAATCGCCTGAACACAGGAGGCAGAGGTTGCAGTGAGTTGAGACCACGTCACTGCACTCCAGCCTGGGCGACAGAGTGAGACTCCGTCTCAAAAAAAAAAAAAAAAAAAAAAAAAAGACAAGTATTTGAAGATTAAAAATGTGTTCCCTCTCTGAATTCTTTTTTTTTTTTTTTTTTTTTTTTTCTTCCAGACAGAGTGTCACTCTGTCGCCCAGGCTGGAGTGCTGTGGTGCGATCTCAGCTCACTGCAACCTCCGCCTCCCAGGTTCAAGTGATTCTCCTGTGATCTCAGCTCACTGCAAGCTCCGCCTCCCGGGCTCAAGCGATTCTCCTGCCTCAGCCTCCCAAGTATCTGGGATTACAGGCGCCCACCACCACACCCGGCCTCCTCCCTAAATTCTTGCTTCTCCAAGTTAAGCTGCCCCAGTTATTTTCAGGTGTTCTAGAACAAGACAGGAAGACTTCTCATCAATCATTTGTTCATGTGTTCATTCATTGTAGCCATATTTTGAGGGTTAAGGTAGGAGAAGCACCTCTGTGCTGACCCCTGGAGATACAAAAATAAACAAGGTAAAACCTCCTGGCCTCGACTACCTCATCGCACAGGGAGGCGAGGGGCACTGGTGTGATACTAGGATGGGCTGATGCTGCGTTCAGGAAGGCCAGGGCCCTGGCCGAAGGGAGTCAGGCCTGGGTACAGGGGAGGCACGTAGAGGTGGCGGTGCACCGAGTCCGCTCAGTGGGAGAGAGAGGAGTGGCACGTGCAGAGGCAGGCGCCAGGGGCCTGGCTCATCTCCAACTCAGGCGTGGGGGCAGCGGCTGGGCCGCCAACTCCTGGGCAGGCTCTTTCTTGTCACTAGCCCAACATGTTATGTCTCAGACTCTGAGACACTGCACTTCTGTGAAGGGGCCTTCATTCCCCAGTACTTCATTAGGGAGTGACCTAGCAGGCTTTGGGCAGGGTTGTGCTGCTGCCAGACCAAAGCAGACTAATGCTGCACCAGACAGCCAGAGCCTGGCGAACCCAGAGAGCCTGGCATGAGACTGCCTGTGCTGGCGCCTACCAAAGCAAGGCCTGCTCTGACTCGCCTCAGCCTCCTCTCAGGAGGAAGCTGCCAGCAGGCGTGGGTAGGCGTGAGCACATTCTCAAAGCAGTTATGTTTTGCATGGAAGTCAGCTGGGAAGTAGGAGCATATGTAGTCATGTTCATTAATGTGGCACCAGAAGTCCCTGGGTGGAGCATGCCTCAGAGAGCATTTCCAACCCGCCACCACCCTCCACTCCACCCCTTCCCAAACGCACCTGTGCACTCCGCGAGTTCTGCTCTGCCAGTCACTCCCCTGCTACAGGCTGGCCTCCGCTGCTCTTTAGTACACAGCTCGGCTGTCTCTGGGACATGTGGTTCTCGTGCTCTCCACCCTAATCCACTGGCCACTCCTCTGCTACCTCCATTCTGTGGGCTCTAGAGGGCTCCAACAAGCTTGTCCCATGCTGCTCGGACATCTCCTCAGCCTGTCGCTGTGGGTGGGAGTTGCTGCTCCCCAGAATGGTGATGCTGTGTGTCCTTTTGTGTTGATATCACTAAGTACATAGGGCACATTTTGCTGGCTTGCATTTCCTGGTTTGGGAATACTTTATCTGAAATGCTTGGGACCACCCACAGGTGTTTCGGGTTTGGGGTTTTTTCAGATTTTGGAATATTTGCATTATACCTACTGGTTAAGCATCCCAAATTTGAACATCTGAACTCTGAAATGCATGAGTGAGCACTCCCTTTTAGCATTACATCCGCACTCAGGTTCAGGTTTTGGAGTATTTTAGATTTCAGATGTTTGGATTTGGGATACTCCACCTGTATATTTCATTAATTTAACCAAAACACTGGAACTTTGCTGACAAAGTTAGTCATGTTATCCTGTGTCAAGGCCAAGAGAACAGAGGAAAGCAATCCCCATGCTCCTTTCTGATCCCAAGGAAGAGTGAATAGGGTCAGGCCAGACTCTGGCCCCTCTGCCACAGCGTTTTGTCCCCCAGGTAGGTGCTGCTGCTGTGACTTGGGTGGGGGCTGCAGCACAGGGGTCCCTCAGAAGCACAGCAGTTTTGGGGCCAGGCAGAGTGGCTCACACCTGTAATCCCAGCACTTTGGGAGGCCGAGGCAAGAGGATCGCTCAGGCCAGGAGTTCAAGACCAGCCTGGGCGGGCAACATGGCGAGACACCCCGTCTCTACAAAAAAAAATTTTAGAATTAGCCAGACGTGGAGATGCGCTCCTGTGGTCCCAGCTACTGGGGAGGCTGAGGAGGGAGGATCACTTGAGCCCGGGAGATTGAGGCTGCAGTGACCTGTGATCCTGCCCACTGCACTCCAGCCTGGGTGACTTCAAGACCCTATCTCAAAAAAAAAATAAAAAATAATACATTTTAAAGGAACAATTTTGGGTATAGATGAGTAGCACCACCTTTATTATTTCTTTTTTTTTTTTTTTTTTGGTTGAGTTGATTGCTATATTTCTTTTCTTTTTGAGAGTGTAACACATTTGAAGTGCCATTTAATATGTTGGGTAGTCGATGGGTCAAAAGTATTGACAAAACTAGACTTTTCATTTTAATTTTAATGGGAGTTTCTGTCTTTTTGCTATAAGTTGTATATTTCCGGAATAGCTTTGATGTGTGTTAACACAGACCACATATACCAGTAATGGGTGCAGCTGAGTATAGGTGGAATGAGAGTAATGAAGCAAGACCTAAGCCCTGCCCTGGGAGCAGGCCGCATTCTCAAGAGAGAAGGCTCACCAGCCCAGCAGTCCTCTAATGGGGAAGAGACAGGACAGAGCCGGAGGGGAAGAGGGATGCAGAAGGAGGCCCTCCGGGAAGGAGGCCTGGGCAGGCAGGGCAGTCCTCCCAGAGGGGATTCGGGCGATTGTGGGAAGCAGAGAGCAGACATGCAGGTGGGAGCCCTGCCCCAGGTTAGGCAAACAGGCAACAAACACGTCTGGAGGGGTTGGTGCCGTCCTGAGTGCAAGTGGGTGTGGAGTACCTGGAGCCACTGGGCCAATTCCTCTGCAAGCCCAGCAGGATCCCAAGCCGAACCCCACGCTGCATGGGATTCATGAATGGTAGAACAGGGTTGCAGCCCCTTCACCACAGCAGGAATGTTGCCAGCACCTCAGGAGTTGGTGCCAGGCTGCACACACGCAGGCATTTCGCCCCACAGCACCGAGGACGGCCTTGTCCTCACAGCCTGGGCAGCTGCTGGAGCACGTTGATACCTGGCCACCCCTAGCTGCATGGGAGTCTTGAAAGTGTGCTTTCACAGCCAGGCAGCTGCGTGCAGGCTGGAAACCAGGGCGCTGTCACTCAAGCAGAGGGGAGAATGGCTGCTAGGGGACCACCAGCATCCGTGCCATGAAGGTGAATCAGAGACAGGTGCCACTGGCAGTAGCACTTTTATCTTTTGGGGGGCCTTAATTTTTGTTAAGCCTTAAATTTTGGTAAATCCCCAGGCCTGAAAAGGGTGTGAAAATCAGGACTTCTGAACCCAAGCAAAACAATACAAAGTTGGGTTTGGGGAAAAAGGTGGAAAGAGTCCAACCAGCTGGGCACAGTGGCTCACACCTGTAATCCCAGCACTGTGGAAGGCTGAGGCAGGGGAAAGGCTTGAGCCCAGGAGTTCGAGACCAGCCTGGGCAACATGGCAAAACCCCGTCTCTACAAAGAAAAAAAAAATAGAAAAAATTAGACAGGTGTGGTGGCACGTCCCTGCAGTCACACAGCTACTTGGGAGGCTGAGGTGGGAGGATCACCTGAGCCCAGGCAGGTCAAGGCTTCAATGAGCCGCGATCGTGCAACTGCCCTCCAGCCTGGGTGACAGAGTGAAATCCCGCCTCAAAAAAGTTCAGTCACTGCGAGTGCAGAAAGCCTCTAGCCAGACTGAGAAGTCTGCGTGTAAAAAACCTCAGCCTGGCCGGGCACGGTGGCTTACGTCTGTAATCCCAGCACTTTGGGGAGGCTGAGGTGGGCGGATCACCTGAGGTCAGGAGTTTGAGACCATCCTGACCAACATGGAGAAACCCCATCTCTACTAAAAATACAAAATTAGCCAGGTGTGGTGGCACATGCCTGTAATCCCAGCTACTCTGGAGGCTGAGGCAGGAGACTTTTCTTGAACCCAGGATGCGGAGGTTTCTGTGAGCCAAGATCGTGCCATTGCACTCCAGCCTGGGCAATGAGACCAAAACTCCGTCTAAAAAAAGAAAAAAAGCCTCAGCCTTCTCAGCAGTACCAAAAAAGCCTCACTTATCTAAGCTGAAATGCTGTCATCTGCTCAGTGGAAACCTCACGGCCAAAAGACTTCTTGCCAATCAAATTACTGTTTTCTTTTTACCTGTAGAAAAGGAGACTCACTTCACATCCATGTGGGTCCAATGTGCAACCCCTGAAGGGTGCTCTGGGAGGCTTTAGGAAGTGCCCGCTGGCTCGAAATAGAAATGCAGAAGGGGCAAGTGCAGCCTTTTAAGCCACTGCTAAGACAAGCAGGTCCCAACTGTGGGAGGCTAGAATGTTCTCAGAAGAGCAGTGAAAAGAGCCCAGGAGTTAGAGCCGGCGAGGCCGGACCGGTCTGTCTTCCTCTCTGAACCTGAGTTTCCCTGTCTGTGAGGCCTCAGGCCGTGGTAGTGGTAAAGTCTTGCTGCTGCTTGGTGGGCTTCCGCAGACTGGAACACATGACAGCATTTTCTACAAAACACCATTAAAAACATTATTTTGGCTTATATAAGTAATACATGTGCCCTGTAGAAAATTTGGAAAATATAAAGAAGGAAATCACCTGTTACCCCACCACCCACAGTGACTACTGTTCTTTGGGGTTTTTCCATACATATTCTGTGTGGGATCTCAGAGCACAAGCTGTTTTATAACCTGCTTCTGCTCTTGAGCTTTTCTCAGCATGTCACCACCTCACTAGATTCCTCACACTGTCCTCCCTGTCTGCACAGGACCCCAGAGGAGGGGTGGGGCTGTAGCCACTCTTCAGTGTCAGCAAGCCCTTACAGTTTCCCTGTTCTCAGTCATTGTTCACTTATATTTCTGTAGGGCAACGGGACTCGAGGAAGGGGGGCTGTTTTGCCCCCTAAGGGGCATTTGTGAATGTCTAGACATTTTTTATTGTCATAAGTTGGGGAAGCGAGGACTACTGGCATGCAGCAGTTGGAGGCCAGGGCTGCTGCTGGACGTCCTGCAGCGCACAGGACGGCCCCCACCAGAGTGGTCCGGCCCAAGTGTCTGGAGCGCCACTGCGGAAACCCCGCCGTGGACTCCTTCCCTAGCTGGGAAGTCCCTGAGTGGACAGGAGGGACAGCTGAGGTGGGGCTTGGTGCAGCCAGATTGCCCTGCAGGGAGATGTGTCCAACAGCCAGAACATCTCCCTGTGTCCCTGCCGCCCCTAGATACTGTCCTTTGCTGTCCATGTTTGACAGTGCTTTCAAGGAGAATTGCCTGTTAAAGTCTGCGGAGTCTGAGGAAAAAGGAAGGCTGTCTAGACTGTGGTTGGAGGCTCCGTGGAACTAGTGGCACAGGCAGACGACTGTAGCTCCCCCACTGAGGGGAGTGTATTTTAGGCCCTGCCTGGTCCCCAAAAGAATTAATGCAGTAAGATAAAATACGTGAGGCACAGGGAGGAGAGTGGGGCCCGGAGAGCTGGGGGTCCAGGCCCTGTGGGCGCCACAGGCCAGCCAAGGCCCCACCCACCTTCAGAGTTTTACTGCCTCAGAAGTGGTCCTGAGCCAGGCCCAGCCTTCTCGGCCTCCCCGGACAGTGCGTTGAGAGGCCTGCATGGGGTGATTAGGGGTTCCGCTTGTTTGACCACCGGTGGTTCTAGGAGTGCCCCACTCTGAGAGTCAACATGGGAAAAGGGGAGCGTTGAAACACAAGTGTTAGGCCTGCCCAGCCATGCCCTCAGCCCTGTGTTCACCTCGGAGTGGGGCCCACACCACCCCAGCGATTGTCAGGCTGGCTCTGCCCAAGCCGTGATGAGAGGGACTGAGCCAGCAGGAGGGGCTGCCGCTGTTGAGCGGGAGGAGGGCAGCACTGACAAGGCCCCCTGGGGGTGGGGCTTTGCTGGTCAGGTCCCCACTGGGTCTGCACCCCTTCCTCACTGCCCTCAGCCTCCCCTTTCTGGAGGGGCTCACTTCCTGTGCTCACCTCGGGCCCTTCGTCCCCGCCCTTCTCCCAAGACTCTCGATTGTACAGCTCGGCCTATCCTGGCCCGGGCCTTCCTAGCAAAAGGCTAAGCCAGAAACTGGCCTTGTGCCCAGGCTGGTCAGCCAGGGAGGGCCCAGTCTAGGGTCCAAAGGCTGGATGCAGAAGTCCCCCCAGCCTTCTGCACCAGGGGACCTGCCCCCTATGCCCCTAGCCTACCAGGTGTTCACTCAGGGAGGTGGACACTTCAACCCTGCCCTTAGGACCCCCCACAAGCCAAGCCCAGCAGCAGATTCAGGGATGCACCCCACTGCTGCTCCTGGGCCCCAGTGTCTAGGTTGGCAATCCCCTCGTGTCCCAAGGAGGTGAGAGCCCAGTGATCCGCAGCTTTTAGTGTCCAGGTGGGCATGGAGATGCAGGATGAGGCCTGTCCCAGACCCTGATCCCCAGGGGTGGGGCAGAGGAGGCCCTGGCCAGCAGGTGGCAGCACAGGCTGCGTCCTTGGCGCTTAGGAGCTGGAGGAAGGTGGGGAGCAGGATTCCTAGCCCCCGCTGGCTCACCTATCCGCCTCCACTCCCTGAGCTGGCCGAGCCCCTCAGGGTGCCCAATCATGGTAGGAGCCCTGAGCCAGAGGCTGGGCAGGGACAGTGGCAACTGGCAACTAGGGTGAGTTGGCGGGGGGGTTGCACCAGGGACCAGGGCGACCAAGCCCTAAACAGCCCCAACCCCCCTTCTGCCCAGGGTCCCTACCTTGTGGTTCCACCTTGAGGCCAAGGGGCTGGACACCCAGAGGCCCCTGAAGAGGAGCCTGCCAGTAAAGGGGGGACCAGTGGCTCCCCAGGGCTGCTAGAGGGTCTTGAGGACTGAGCCCAATGACCAGTGGAGCCAGGGGGGCTGTTCAGCCTGAAGGCCGAGGCTGGGAGGGAAGGAAGCAGGGAAGAGAAGATAGAGAGTAGGTGTTGGCGGGGTAGGAAGGAGGCAGGGAGATGCCTGCATCTGATAGTGTTGCAGCTTGGAAGACTGGAGGAGGAAGCCAGTTGGAGGGACCGGAAAGCTCTCAAGTTTCTGAGGTCAACCCCCCACCTCCACTATCCCTACCTCCCCCACCCTGCAGGATGGGCCTGAGGAACGTGCCAGGCTCCACACCCAGGCCTGAATGCCCTCAGATGCTCAGGCCTGGAGCTCCTCCCTCGCTCTCTCCCATGTTCCTGCCTGCACAGCCCGATAGACACGAGGGAAGGGGCCCATGGACTAGGTAGGGCAGGCAGAACAGAGTGGCCACCTCCTGGCTCTTGTCCCATCTCACAGAAGGCGAGGCCCACAGCAGGCCCAGGACTCAAGACTCCTGGGGCCTGGCTGCTGCCCTTCCCCCTCCCCCCTGGGAAAGGAGAGGCACCACTCAGACGCAGGCAGGCCAAAACCCTAGTTTATTTCAGCATCAGCAGTATCTTAGCCATCAAAAAAATAAACTCTACCAAGGGTGACGGAAGTCTCTACAGCAAGGCTAAGGGCTCGCCAGACGGCGAACATCAGGGGTGCATGGTGGGCACTGCCCAGGCAATAAGTTAGGAAGCAGCAGGGCTGGTGTCGGGTGTGGGCCGGGCTTCATTTCTGGGCAGGCATGAGGTCGTCGATGGCCTGGCCCTGCTCCAGCCGCTGCTCCATCTCGATGAGCAGCTTCACTCCGTCCACCACCATCTGCACCAGCTCCACCTCTGAGAAGCCCAGGCGGTCAGCGTTGGAGACGTCGAAGACCCCGCCCACCGCAGCCGTGTCCACACCGCCTGGGGAGACAGCAAGTCAGGGCGGAGGAAACAGGGCTGCCCAAAGGCCACGGGAAGCCGCAGCACCTGCCCTGCTCACCTGTGCCTCGCTTCTGAAGTCGCAGCCGCTTAAGCACCTCCGAGAACTTCTCATGCTTGCCCAGGTTGGGCAGCTTGATATGCACACCTGCCCGCAGCCCGGTGCCCAGGTTGGATGGGCAGGTGAGGATGTAGCCCAGGTGAGGGTTCCACATGAACTCATAGTCCTTAGACTTGAAGAGAGTTTCAATCTGCAGACGGAGAAGAGGGTATGAGGGAGAAGGCCTGCCTGAAACCCCTACAGGCCCTGAGACTCCCCAGTGCCGGAAATCCCCCGGGGGGACTGATGCTGGGGCACCCACATCCCTGCTGGGGCCCTGGGGTCTGGGCCTGCCCCGTCCCTGGCACCTGGGTGAGGCCGGTGCAGAAGCGGGTGAACACCTCCTTCATGTTGCCCCCCTTCTGCATGGAGATGACCCGCAGGTGGTCCTCCTCGTTGACCCACACCAGGAAGGTCTTATTGTCATTGTGCCTGCGGGAGGGCTGGTCTCAGGGCATACCCAGAAAAAAGCCCCAGGCCGCCCCCAGACCAAAGGAACTTCCCAAGTCCCTGAGGTGCTGCTCCCTGCCATGCCCAGGAGTGGAGGCTGCTGCCAAGACTCCACCCGCCAACACGGGGCGGGCGGGGGAACCGGGACGCCTCACAGCAGGAGAACCCCAGCTGCCATCATGCGCTGTGGCCTGAGGTGGGGCGGGGCCAGGGACCGCCAGGACAGCCCGACCCGCCCCCCACAGTGGGGGTAGGAGCCCTGCCCCTGGAGAAGCTTTGGCGTCACCAGCCCCTGGTAGAATCCCAGCGGCGGAGGAGTGAGAAAAGAAAACAAAGAGCTCCAGCTCCCAGGGCCGTCGGGGAGAGGCGCCAGAGAGCCCCGCCCCCACCTCACGTCTCGGGGTGGGGAGGTGTTGCTGAGTCCTGAGCCCCCACGGGCCGGGGCCCAGTCCCTTAACGCACCTGCTCGGCCAAGGTCACCGGCGCAGGAGGAGGCGCGGCACGGAACCCAGACCCGGAGCGCGGCCGGCCCCTCCCTCCTCCTCCTCCTCCTCCTCGCCGCGAGGGGCCCCACCCCCGCGAGGGGGGCGAGAGGGAAAGCGGAGGTAGCGGGGAGGGAGGACGCCGCGAGAGGGCGCAGAGGGACACGCACCAGATACCGCGGGCGTCGGGCCAGTCGCGGGCCATGCCCGAGGCCAGCAGCAGGGGCGACACGGGCTTGTCGAAGAGGAAGTGGTCGTCGATGAGCTGCTGCTGCTCCGCCTCCGTCATGCTCTTGAGCGCGTAGTATCGGCCCGCCAGGTCGCCGTCCAGGCTGGACAGGGCTGCGAGGGGTGCGCTCAGGACGCTCGGCTCCCGCGCCCGCCCCTCCAGCCCGCAGCGCGGACCCGCCCGCCCCCGTGCCCCACCTCGGGGGACGTCAGAGGGCCCCACCCGCCCGGATCTGCGGGCGTCCAGTCCTCACGGCCCGGGCGACGGTCCCAGGCGGTGACCCCGCGCCAGGACCCGCCCTCCCTGGGCCCCAGGCCGCTGTGGGCGCGGGGCTGGGCCTCCGTCCCTCGGTCCCTCCGGGAAACTGAACCCGGGCGCGCGCAGATAAGAGCGCGACGGCGGCTGCCGCTCCCGGGCGACGTAAACAAAAGCGGGCGGGGACCGCGCCGGGAGGGGGACGCGGCCGCCGCCGCCCCTCGGCCCGCCCGGCCCCTACCTTCCACCGCGAGCTTCTCGATGGCGCGGCGCTCCCCGCGGCTGCAGTGCGGGGGGAGGCAGAAGCCACGGATGCTGCGGCCCGTGCGCACCCGCGAGCTCAGCACGTAGTTGGGGTCCAGGTCGTCGCCGCCCTGGGAGGCGAGACGGGAGTGAGCGCCCGAAGACCCCGGCCCCGCCCGCCCGGCCCGCCCGCAGCCCCGCACCTGCAGGTTGTCGGGGTTGAGGTCGGTCTTGTGCTCATCGCTGGGCTTGTAGCCGCCGTGCCGGTCCTCGATGATGGGGTCGAAGAGATCCTTGAACACTTCGTAGGACTCCTCGTCGCCCGCCACGCAGCCCACGGTCATGATGTACGGGTGGCCTGGGGGAGGGGGCGCGGGACGGGGACAGTGACGTCACTGCCGGGCCCGAGCGCGCTGCTGAGGACCCTGCGGCTGCGCGGGGGGAGGGGGGGCCGGGACCCCGGCCCCGAGGGGTCGCGTACCCGGGTTGTCCACGCCTGTCTGGATGACGTCGTCCAGCGTGAAGCCGCTCGGCGTGCTCTTGGCGCGCAGCTCCGCGTACAGCTCGGGGGTCAGCACCTTGGCCATGTGGTTGTTGTGGGCGCTCAGGTCGGGGAACTCGTCCTCGGCCGGGAAGCGCAGCTTCAGTGCGTTGTGGCTGTTGGAGAAGGGCATGGCGGCGGCGGGCTGCGGGGAGACGCGGGGTCAGAGGGGACCGGCACGCCGGGGTTCCCGGGCTCCCGCGTACCACTCAGGCCCCCGCCGCCGGGCCCCCCGGCGCCCCCCGGGACGCGGCCAAGGTCAGCGGGGTCCGCAGCGCGCGCGGGGAGCGCCATCATCGCCGGGGACCCCCGGCCGGTCCGGCGCGCGCTCCAGGCGACGCGCCCCCTTTGCACGCAGCGCCCCTAGCCCGGGCGCGGACGCCCCCGGCCCCCGGGCCCACTCACCGGGCGGCCGGGCGGGGGCGGGGGCGCTCCGTCCGTCGGCAGCTCCCGGAGCGACGCAGGCGAACAGCGGCCGCTCCGCGCTCCCGCGGCTCTTAAGGGGCACAACGCGGGCCGCCCATTGGCGGCTATTTATAGCCCATTCATTCCATTGGCCCGCGCCGCGGGGTGGTGCCGCCGCTTTGTCCGCCGCCCGCAGCCCCCAACACCCTGGCCGCCCACCCGAGCTGTCCCCTCGCTGGGACCCCGCGCAGCCTGCCCAGTCCCCCGCCCAAGACCTCGAGGCCGAAACCTCAGGTCCTTGGATATCTGGATCCCCTCGCACGCCCTTGCCTCTGGGCGGGAAACTGAGGCGGAGAGCCTCCGGGCACTCGAGGACGCTTGGGTTCATCCGCATCCTCGAGCCTGCCCGCCTAGTCCAGCCAGCCCCCGCGGCGGCGGCGAGGGGCCGGGCGAAAGCTTTCGGGGCTTCCGCAGCAGGTACGGCCCCCGCCCCACCCCCGGCCAGTGCGAGCTGGCCCGGAGCCGCCGACCTTCCTCAAGGTGCCCGCAGGCGTTTCCTGGGCGATCCTGGTGCAAAGCGAAGGCGCGCGGGAAGCGCAGTCTGGCTGCGGCCCAGCCCGGGGGCACCCGCGGTGCCCTGACCTTGGACAAGTCCTGGGTCTCGGGGGGCTGCGAGCCAGAAACCACGGGGACGCTGTGGCCTTAAGAGGCCGCTGGCAAGTGCAGCCTCGGAGTTTCCAGACCCCAACCCTGGGCCCTCTTCGCAGGGGACAAGTTTACCCGACCCCCAAAGGCAGTCCCCGGAGACTTCAGGCAAAGATGGGAGGAAACGCTAATAAACAATAAGCATAAGTGCGATTAAAAAAAAAAACTGATCTCACGAATAACCAGAATCATGCAAATTAAGCAGTGACTCCACCTGCCCCTACCCCCAACACTCCCAGATCGACCCCAGCCATTGCTGGCTTTGAGCTGGAATGCGGGAAGACAGGCGTCCACACGCTGCCTGCAACTTAAATTGCTGCATGCTTTTTGCAAGATAATTTGGCAGAATCTATTAACGTTAACAATGTTCGAACTCCGTGACCCAGCAATCTCCCCTTCTAGGAATGCAGCCCTTAGAAAGGATGTCTCAGTTCTCTCCACTAATGGACCAAGAGATCTGTGGAGGGAAAAACAAACATAACTGGATACAACCCGATGCCCCATCAGGCGGGAGTGGCCAAGGGTAGGGAGGCATCTGCTTGCTGTGGAATATTATGCAGCTGTTAAGAGGGGGAAGTGGAGGATGTGGGGTTAATATCCATCAGGGACCCTCATCTGTTGCTCTGTGAATAAAGCAAAGAAGGGGGGAACTCTTATCTGTGGGTATATTTGATACAAATCCCTCCAGCAGTGGCACAATGAGCACCTAACAGGTGCCAGCCGCTGGGGATACAGCAGGCAGCGAGGTACACAGCGCCTGCTGCTGGAAGAAGACTGGCCATGAGCCAGCAGCCCAACAAACCAGATGACATCAGATCGGTGCTGCTGGGGCCAGGGGGACACAGAGCAGTGGCGTTCCAGGTATAAGGGACCCCGAATAGGTGCCTCAGAGCAGAAGGCACCAGAGCCAAGGCCCAAAGGCAGGGGAAGCCTGTTCGCCTCTGCCTATGTGAGCATCGGTGTGGGGGCCTTTTCTCCTGTCTCATCCCCATGGTCACTGCAGAGGAGACACATGCCTCTTTGCTCCTTGGCATGCTTCGTCCTGTTCCAAGCCAGCATTTTTTAGACTTAATAAAACCAACCCATGTAAAAAGGCAAACGGCCCCTCTGGGCTGGCCAGACAGCAGGTGTCCCTTAAGCCTGGAATTCCTGCACTCTGTGCCCCGTGCAGCCTCTTCGCCCAGTTTTAGAAATTTCTGCAGCTGCCCACCTGCTACCCCACAAAACCTGAAGGGCTTAAGTTTCTGTTTCTGGAAGGGATAGCTGCAGCCCCTGGAGGCAGACTTGGGGGGAGGGAGAGACTTGGGGGCCACACTCAGGACTTCCTCTGTCTTCAGCAACTGCAGCTTCTCAGAAGGCCAACCCTCCCCTCTCTCACCCTCCTGGCTGAGAGCCTAACCTGCTTCCCAGGTCCCCCATGGGAAAGGACCCCCTTTCCCCTTTCCTGAAGGGGGCAGCCCCTCCCCCCAACACCTGTGGTTATTTCTCGTCAGGTGGGATGAGACTGAGAAAAGAAATAAGACACAGAGACAAAGTATAGCGAAAGAACAGTGGGCCCAGGGAACTGGTGCCAGCATATGGAGGACCCGCGCCGGCACTGGTCTCTGAGTTCCTTCAGTATTTATTGATCACTATTTCTACTATTTCAGTGAGGGGGATGTGGCAGGACTTTAGGGTAATGGTGGGGAGAGGGTCAGCAGGAAAACATGTGAGCAAAGGTCTCTGTGTCATAAATAAGTTTAAGGAAAGGTGCTGTGCCTGGATGTGCACGTAGGCCAGATTTATGTCTGACTTTACACAAACATCTCAGTGCAGTAAAGAGCGGTATTGCCGCCAGCATGTCTCACCTCCAGCCATAAGGCAGTTTTCTCGTATCTCAGTAAATAGAATGTACAATCGGGTTTTACACCGAGACATTCCATTCCCAGGGAGGAGCAGGAGATAGATGCTTTCCTCCTATCTCAACTGCAAAGAGGCCTTCCTCTTTCACTAATCCTCCTCAGCACAGACCCTTTACGGGTGTTGGGCTGGGGGATGGTCAGGTTTTTCCCTTGTCACGAGGCCATATCTCAGGCTGTCTCAGTCGGGGGAAACCTTGGACAACACCCAGGCTTTCTTGGGCAGAGGTCCCTGCGGCCTTCCGCAGTGCATCGTGTCCCTGGGTACTCAAGACTGGAGAATGGCGATGGCTTTCACCAAGCACACTGCCTGCAAACACATTTTAACACAGCACGTCCTGCACAGCCCTAAACCCATTAAACCTTGAGTCAACACAGCACATGTTTCTGCGAGCACAGGGTTGGGGCTAGGGTTACAGATTAACAGCATCTCAAGGCAGAAGAATTTTTCTTAGTACAGAACAAAATGGAGTTTCTTATGTCCACTTCTTTCTACATAGACACAGTAGCAGTCTGATCTCTTTCTTTCCCCTACACTTTCCCTCCACAGGCAAGGTCAGAACTGCAGATATGAGATCCAGAGGGCAGGGCTGCCTATGGCAAGCAGTGAGCCTGGCACTGGGGCGGCTCCGGCCTGGCGCCGCTGGTAACCCTCAGCTTTCTGAGGTGGGTGTTTTTGTCCCCAGTGTGCAGACAGAAGATCATTTTATTTTTGTTTTTATTCTGTTGAGACAGGGATCTTGCTGTGTTGGCCAGGCTGGTCTCAACGTGCAGATAGATCAGAAGTTGGGTGACAGAGGTGTCCAGTCATGGGCCCAGCAATCCTTCCACCCTCCCAGAGCGCCGGCCCTGTGCGAGCCTGCCTGGGGCAAAATGACAGTGTACGGGGGCCAGGCAGCTGTGACGGGGACAGCAGCAGCAGATAACAGTGGGGAGGTGGCCCTCAAGGCCTTCAGACCTAAATGTCAGGGTGAGACCCCCCAGGCAGGGGCTGATTGGGAGCCTTAGTGTCCCCCAGAGCAGGTGCACAAGGAGAGGGGCTTGGAAGGTGCCAGCCTCCCCTCCAGCTGACCTCCCCTGTCCACAGCCCCTGCTCTCCCTGGGGCCCACAGGGGCTGCTTTGGCAGCATCCAGGCAGGAGGCTGCATGACGTTACCAGGCCAGTGTTTGGTCCAGGTTCCTCAGAAATCACACCTGGTTACACGTGAACCACTGGGCCTGGAGGGGGCTTCAAAGGAGGCCCAGGTCTTTTATCCACAGAACATGACCCGGCTCAGCAGGTCAGGCACAGGGCAGACTCCAGGCAGGGCACTGGACTCTATCCTTGTAGTCTGCTCCTCTGCAGAGTGCAGCCAGAGGCAGCATTGCTTCCTCCCAGTGCCCTGCCCCTGAGTTCTGCAGAGCCCGAAGAGGAAGCGGGCTGAGGTCAGGAGAGGGACAGGGGCTGACTGGGGATCACAGAGCACAGTGGGGTAGGAGGCTGTGCTGCTTAGAGGGGAGGGACTGCAGTCACGTGGTCCCTGCCAGGGATTTGGGCACAGCAGCCTCCCCAGTGGGCATCCTTCCTGCCTGTTCCCACCTTTCTTCAAATCAGCCATTGGTTCTCTGAAGCCGGTTTACTGGCTTTAATTCTTAATTAAGAGATAGGGTCTTGCTATGTTGTCCAGGCAGAACTCCAACTCCTGGCCTCAAGCAGTCCTCCCTCTTCAGCCTCCTCAGTGCTGAGCTTTGGGGGTTTATTGGCTTTAAATCCTAATCCCACTTTGACCTCACTGGCTGTGACTTCAGGCAAGTTATTTAACATCTCTGAGTTTCAGTTTCCCCATCTGTAAAGTGTTCCCTCCCTCCTAGGATCCTGGGGAGAAGTCAATGAGATGGCACAGCTGGGCATATACAGCATCAGCTCTTGTTAGGGGAGCCCCAATACAAACTCTGCACAGGGAATCATCAGCTGAGGTAGGGGGGATTGGTTCTGCTTGAGGACTCAGGCTGGGGACTGGGGCAGGCTCAGATGGAGCAGGTGGGCAGGGCTGAGGAGGCTGCCTGGAGGAAGGGGCACTGGAGGAGTTGACCAGCCAGTAATAGACAGAGAGGCAAGAGGGAAGTCGGAACCAAGGGAAACCACCGCCGAGTCACCAAGTCCTACCTTAGGCCCTTATAGGCACCCGGCCCTGACTCCACACCAACCACAGCTGAGAGGCTGGGGAAGAGAAACCCAAGAGAAGTGGAAAGTCAGAATCCCCCAGGGGAGAAATTAGGGGGTGACTCAGGCGGGTGCATCATCAAGGGAGAGAAGCATCCGCTGGAACACAGGTTCGGGAGCTGTGGAGGGGGCTGTTTCAACGTTGAGAGCAGAAGGCAGGGAGGCTGTAAGGCAGAAGTAGAGGCAGCTGGTGGCCAGCGTGGTGGCCCCACAGGGACAGGAGCCCACAGAGAGTGGGAGGCCATGGAAGGCCTCTCACCAGCTTACTCCTGGGGGCTCTCAGCCGCAGCTAGGGCAGGGACACAGAGGGGCTGAGGTTGGACCCCTAGGTTTCCATGATGGACCCTGAGAAGCCAATGCAAGGGCCACAAACAGCCTGGCCTGGCCTGCCCCAGAGGCGAGAGAGTTGAGAGTGCTCTACAGGCTGCCAGGGCTCCAGAGGGGAGCTCGCTCTGCAGGAGCCTGGCCACCTCATCTTACCAGGCTGGAGTGGCTGAGTGACTGGGGAGGGTGCCCTAGGGTCATTGCTAACTGGCTTGGGTTCGGGCGCAGGCTAAACCCTAGGCTGGGTAGGGGGGTCTCTGTTCCTCTCCAAGCTCTGGTCCTGAGAGCTAAGAGCTGGAGGAAGAAAATCCGTGTCCCCTGCCCCCGCTCCCCTGCACACACACTCCACAGAGGAGCCAGCTGGGAATGGTGTTGCTGAGACAGAACGCCACTCCCGCTTCCCTGTTCTGCCCATCCTCCAGCAGCACCTCCTCCAGTCTCCTGCCCAGGCTGCTCACCAGACCCAAAAGTGGGCCCAAGTCATCCAGTTCTCATTATGCCTTGGTTCGCAGGAGGGGACACAGGACCCCTACTCCCTCCTAGAAGCAGCTCTGCACTCAGGACAACGTGCCCCCGTCGGGGGAGGCAGGGCCTGGGCGGAAGGCCACTTCTGCAGACTTTTCCAGGCCCCCATCTGCTGCACAGAGCTCTGGCTGACCCTAGCCCAAGCCTTTTAGAACCGCCCCTTGACCTGCGATTCCTTTTCTGGAATTCATTTTAGGGCCCAGTCAGGGGTGTTCCCAGAGCAGTCTGCAATAACAAAATGTCTATGGCGAAGTGTCCTCATAGAGGACTGGGCAGTGAGCCACGGGCCAGCCCTCTGGTGAACCCCCAGGGGCCGTCAAAGGGGTCCGGGACAGCAGTGACAGCCAGGCCTTGGCTCCTGCCGCCCTTCAAATGTGCCTGGGTGCGACGGCAACCCGCGGCCGGCGGGGCGGGGGGACCTTTTGTTTGTTTGTTATTATTTGTAGAGATGGTGGGGGTCTCACTACGTTTCCCGGGCTGGTCTCGAACTCTTCAGCTCAGAAGAACCTCCCGCCTCGGCCTCCCAAAGCGCGGGATCACAGGCGAGAGCCACCGCGCCGGCCGGCCGCCATATGGATTTTGTCCAGTCTTTCGATCTTCCAGCGACCAGCAAATGTAAACAGAGCAGCTCACATGAGGGAAGAAGTCGCCCAGGAAACGTCCTCTGGGAGGGGCGGGAAGGGCAGCCTGGCGCTCCCAGGATCCCGTGCGCGGAGGGGGGGAGGGGGAGGCGGAGGCGGGGCGCGACGTCATCAGCGGGCGCGGAGCCGGAAGTGTTGTGGCCGCCGCCGCCGCGCGTCGCGGAGGCACGTGTGGAGCCCCGGCAGCAGGAGCGTCGCAGGTGAGACTCCGCGGGGTACAGGGTGGCAGGGCGCGGGTGAGGGTGACCCGGGCCGGGCACGGCGCGCAGGGCCTGTCCCTCCAGCCTCGCATGGGCGGCCCCCGCCGGCCCGGCCTGGCCCCTTGTTGCCTCTGCATCGGCTGGGCGGTGTTTGCGTGGACGGCCAGCTCCGCGTCCCCAGCCCCTTACTGGGGAGCCCTGAATCCTCTGTCATACCCTGCCACCTAGCCCCCGTGGGGGAGACTGGGGTGAGGAATCAAGCCTGGCTTGGAGGTGACCTCATTGACCATTTGCCTCTCCCCCGCCGGTGGACACCTCGCAAAGGCGCTTCCTCATCTCACATCTTGGGAATGGGAGTCAAGCTCCTGGAGAAGGGTGATGGGAGGGTCGGGTCCTCACTCCGGGAATCCTTGGGACCGAACTCCGCCATTGCCAAGCCTCAGTCTTTTCATCTCTGATTTAGGCTCATAGTCCCTGTCTCTTGTCCTAGACCAAGAAAGGCTTCAGAGGCCAGGCCAGAGTGCAGCGCTATTGGGCTCCCTGTCAGGCAGTGGCAGAGACTGAGGCTGAGCTAGCCACACCCCGCCCATGCCCACTGCTGGGATGTAGGCCTCGAAGCCTTCTACCTAGACCCTAGGCCCTCATCCTGCCTCCTGACTTGCTCATGCCTACACACACCCCTCCCCAGGTCCTTGGCCCTTGCCAGACATTAGCACCATGAGCTTCGTGGCATACGAGGAGCTGATCAAGGAGGGTGACACGGCCATCCTGTCACTGGGCCATGGTGCAATGGTGGCGGTGCGTGTGCAGCGTGGGGCACAGACCCAGACCCGGCATGGTGTCCTGCGGCACTCAGTTGACCTTATCGGCCGCCCCTTCGGCTCCAAGGTGACGTGCGGCCGAGGTGGCTGGGTGTATGTGCTGCACCCCACGCCCGAGCTCTGGACGCTGAACCTGCCGCACCGCACGCAGATCCTCTACTCCACAGACATCGCCCTCATCACCATGATGTTGGAGCTTCGGCCCGGCTCTGTGGTCTGTGAGTCTGGTGAGTTCCTCAGGCTGCCTCAGTTTAACGCAGAAATTGACACAAAGGTGGAGGTCAGAGCCTCCAGCCTGCCCTTCCTACAGACACATGTGGCTCCTCAGTTTCTATTTTCACATCTTTCCGGGATGCTGACAGCAGGGAGTGAAGGTGGAGGCAGAGAAGCCCGTTAGGAGGCTGGTGCTGTAACTGGAGTGAGAGGTGGTGGGAAATGGACCAGGAGGAGCTGGGGAGGACTGGTGCTCTAGTGAGGGTCCTGCTTGCCTTGGTGGGGCGTGGCCAGCTTGATGCTTGGCGCTGTCCTAGGTACTGACCGTCAACCTCTAGTCCTCCGTGCTGATGGTGAAGCAGAGAGAGTTGCCCCTTCTGGAAAGAGGCCAGGGCTACCCCGAGGAGCTCACTGTAGGTGGGGAGCCTTCCCCATCCTCATCCATGATCAGATCCTCACCTGCTACCAATGAATGTGAGCACCATTGTTGAGTCCAGGGCCTGGGCTGTGGGAACCCCTGCACATATACAGGTGCTGGGGCCGCCCAGTGTGGCGATTGAAGCCAAGATTGGCCCCAGGCGCTGATGCATCTAGGTTGTTGGTGGCGTGTTCCTCCCGGGCAGGAGAGCTAGGGTCCAGGTTCACGAAGAGTGCCTAGCACTGCCATGCTGGCTTTCTGAGGGCTGCAGGTCACCATGTCCCTCCCTGGGGTGTCTGGGTGGGAGGGGTGGAGAGCAGGACTTAGCCAACTCCATCAGCTGCTGCTCCTGTGCATCCTGTGGTGGGTGCTGGCCTCTCCGCCCCTGCCCCACTCTCGCGAGAGAGCTCAATCAAGCAGCACCTTCTCCTGGCCTCCTCAGATATGCCAGGTCCCCTCCTAGGAACCGTGAACTAGAGAGACCAGGTTCCTGCCCTCGAGGAGGGGGACACAGCCTAGGTGAGCATCTCAGTGCCGCTGGTTGCTGTGAAGCCTGTGAGACAGGGCTGCGTGTCTGAGGGGTACCCAGAGTGGGGACTCTCCAGCTAGGCCAGGCAGGGAAGACCTCTCTGAGGAGGGGACATTTGAGTTGAAAATGATGAGGAGGGACCTACGAAGAGCCAAGGGACAGCTCTGCACCAAGGAGGAGCCGTGCCGAGGCCCTGCAGTTGGAGCATGCTGCCGAGTCAGGCTCAGTGGGGGAGGCAGAGGGGCTGGGAGTGAGGTTGGAGGGGAAGCGAGCTCCACCCCGGAGGCTAACAAGTCTGACTTGCCCCTTAGTGGGAAGGGGGCATGGCCAGGCTTTGCAGAGGGGCGAGGCAGCAGGCTGGGGGCACCCAGGGGAGGGGCTGGACAGGTGGGGAGAGGGGCTGGCCCCTGAAAGGAATGTGGGAGGTGGCAGGACGTGGGACGGGATAGAGGGAGTGGAGGCACCTCCATGGGTCTGGCCCAAGCACTTGCGATGCTCAGCGCTATTTGGGTTCCAGGCATGGGTGGCAAGTGTGCAGTGGCTGCTCTAGCAGGAGTCTCCAGTGGAGGGGCCTGGGGATGGGAGTGGCATCAGGTAGATGGCCCCTGAAGCTGGAGTGGGAGGAGGGATGCAAGCCTTGACCCTCTCCATAAGACAGGAAGTCAAGCAGAGGGGCCATCTTGAGGGAAGCTGGGGAGGGAAGCTGGGGGCAGGTGCGCTGGGGAGGACTGGGGCCGTGTGGCTGGTGGCCAGGCCCTGCGTCCTGAGTCCAACCAGGCCAGGGCAGAGCCCCAGCCCCTGTGTGGTGGGGGCAGGTTTGGGCAGGCTTGGTGGGGGTGGGCTGTCTCAAGGGGACCAAGGAGCTTCTGGGGAGAGGTGGGCATGAGGACCGGCAGGGTGGGCCACTGTTGACGGGGATTGAGGAAGTGATGGGCCATGCATGGAATAAGACAGGGCTGAGTGATGGGATGGCCTCCCTGTCCCCCTTGCACAGATTTCCCCGGAGGCTCCAGGCAGCTGGGCTGCTCTCATTCCCTATACCTGCGCTAGGCAGGATAGGGCAGGGTTGCCACTGGCCTCGCCTGTGCCCACAACAGACAGCACGGCATACACAGCCTGTCAACCCCAGCTCACCCCTAGACAGGGTGCCCAACCCAGGGCTAGCCTGGGGCTTTAGGCAGCCAGGACCATACAGCCCTGGAATGACGCCCACCTGTAGCTTGGGGTCCTCCCAAGCCCTGTGTGGGTCTCCAGGGTGAGGTGGGGGTTGTTTCCTGGGAGGCTGTGGGTCCCGAGCAGTCCCAACTGATGCCTTGCCCATCCCTTCTTGTCCTGCCAGGCACCGGCAGTGGCTCTGTGTCCCACGCCATCATCCGCACCATTGCACCCACGGGTCACCTGCACACGGTGGAGTTCCACCAGCAGCGGGCAGAGAAGGCCCGGGAGGAGTTCCAGGAGCACCGTGTGGGCCGCTGGGTGACTGTGCGCACCCAGGACGTGTGCCGCAGTGGCTTTGGCGTGAGCCACGTGGCCGACGCCGTCTTCCTGGACATCCCATCACCCTGGGAGGCCGTGGGCCACGCCTGGGACGCCCTCAAGGTCGAAGGTGCATCCGGGGTTCCGGGAGAGGTACAGCCTGGGTGGGGGTGGGGCAAGGGTGCAGGACTGAGCTCCTGGGATCTCAGAGGGGTCCAGAGACCAAGCCACACCATGGCAGTGGCCAGGCCAGGGCCCCACTTTGGCCTGAGGTGAGGAGTGGGTCAGGCTGGCCAGGGGAGGCAGAGCTGGGGAGGATGGTCCCTGGCTGGGCCCTGCTCCTGGTCTCTGGCCTCTCCCAACCCCCTGATGGAGGAAGGTGGCAGCGCCACCCAAGTGCAGGGCAGGCCCGGCCGGAGGAGTCTGGAGTCCCCTCCCTGCTGTTTCCCAAAACCTCTCCTCCCCCAGGCTCTGGAGCCCAGGGAGCTGGCCCCTTTTAGGGAAGATGCTGGGTGCGGAGGCGGGGCAGCCCTGGGGAAGGTCGGGCCTCAAGCCAGGGAGGTGGCTGGGAGGCCCAGGGTTTTTCCCTTTTCTGGAGAAGGAGCAGCTCAGGCAGCAGGGGCCCCTTCCTTCTTCCCAGCTGAGAGTTGTATTCTGAGAGGGTTGAAGGGTGGAGGTGCTGGGCGCCCCACCCCACCTCAAAGATGAGCCGAGGCCTGGTGCGAACAGCAAGGCTGTGGCCGGGGGTCCCCTGCTGGCTCCAGCCCAGCCCTGACTCCTGGGTCCTGGTCTCTGCTGAGGTGGGTAGCTGTGGGGATCTCCACACCCTGCCTCCTAGGCTTCCTGCTCTGGGGACACTTCTGGGCCTGGACCATAGTCCCAGGGAGGCTGAACCCGGCAGAGCCTCCCCTGGGGCCCCCCTGCTGCCTTTGTGACTCCTTCCTCCAGCGTGGCTCGGGGAACCCGCGCCTGCCTCTGGGACCTGTCCCTTTCCCTGCGAGCTCCCCCTTCTGGGTCCAAAGGCTCCTGGCTCATTCATGGGCCCGGCATCTCCTGCCGGCCACGGGAGCCCGCTGGGGAGGATGCGGCATGCTCAGCCTCTGTGCCCTGTCTAGGCTGTTGTCACACAGCAGGTGCCTCCTCTAACCCCGAACCTCCTGGCGGCCCCGTGTTAGGGTACAGCTGAGGAGACCAAACCTCAGGGACGTTTGAGGACACTTGCCTGGGCCACATACCTCTACCCGGCCCTGGCTTCCCCAGGTCCTCCCTGCCAGGACAGGGACCCGGGCTGGGTTCTCATTCACTGCAGGCCAGGCCAAGTGAAGCCCGTGGCTGCCCTGGTGGGAGGCGGCAGGGAGGGGCTGTCATGCTCGGGCTCTGCTTCGAGTAGGCGCCTCCTGTTCCCGGGAGCAGCGACAGCCTCTAATTTCCTGTGACAGCAGCGGCCCCCGCACCGCCCCACGCTGCCGTGCTGTCAGAGCTGCTCCGGGCCCAGAGCTCCAGCAGCCCTGTGGAAGGCAGGAGAGCAGTGCCCGCTGTGGGCCAAGTGAGACAATGGCAGCGCGGGCTTGACCCGGTGCCTGGCACATGGGAGGGCCTGGCATGGCTAAGCTGGGTGACATGAACAGCGGCGCCAGGCCCCATGGGGGGCTGTCAGTTGAGGGCCAGGCCCCTCTGCCCTGCAGTCCCAGCTCTTGGAGAGCTTGCAGTCTGTGTTGGGGCTGTCTTAGGCTGGCCTCAGACCCTAGGGTGGGAGTCCAGGGATGCTAGGGCCAGACGGGCCAGGCTCTGCCACCCCTGCCCTCTGACCCTCGGGTCCTGTTTCCCACAGGCGGGCGCTTCTGCTCCTTCTCACCGTGCATCGAGCAGGTGCAACGCACATGCCAGGCGCTGGCAGCGCGCGGCTTCTCAGAGCTGAGCACCCTGGAGGTGCTGCCACAGGTCTACAACGTGCGCACTGTCAGCCTGCCACCGCCCGACCTGGGCACAGGCACAGATGGCCCTGCCGGCTCCGACACCAGCCCCTTCCGCAGCGGCACGCCCATGAAGGAGGCCGTGGGCCACACCGGCTACCTGACCTTCGCCACCAAGACCCCAGGCTAGGGGGCCGCCTCCCAGGGCACCAGGGAGCTGGGAGCACTGAAGGGCTGGGCAGGGAGGCCAGAGGCACCTTATATGGTCAGCGATGCCTGCCAGACACAGACGGTGGGGTGGGGCTTGGGGGCCTCCTGGGTGGCCAGAGTGGGACAGCAGGAAGGGCGGCTGTGATGGAGGAGCAGTGCTGGGGCTGGGCCTCAGCCATTCCTGTCCAGCCCTGTGGCCCATCCCAGCTGCTGTTTGTTGCCAATATGAAGTATCCACTGCCACAGGCTCCCCTGGGTGTTGAAGCCAAAGGGTGCAGGTGGGGGAGTCTGACCCCCTCCCAGGTGGGCCTAAGCAGGAAGGGGGTGGAGGAGGGAGGGGGGCATTGACCCTGAGACCACGCTGCGTCTGACCCCTGGGCCCCCACGGCCCTGGCTGCCCCACGGGGCCTGAGACCATCTCGTGCTTCTCCAGTCCCCGGGCCGAGGCTCCAGCCTTGGCCAGAAGCTGGGGTGAGCTGACCCAGAATCCCTGCCCTGCTCTCCCCAGCGCTAGGAGACCAGGCCAGCCCAGGAACCAGGGAGGTGACCCTGCTCTCTGGCCTCCTGGCTGATGTCACAGCACTGAGCTCAGCCCAGGCCTTCGTCCACTCATGTCCAAGAGGCGGGGCATCCCCCACCCAGCCAGAGCCCCTGACATGGGCTGCACTCGCTGAGGCCAGGCAGCGCTGCGGAGAGGAGCGGCAGAGTGGGTTGTCTGCCGCAGGCAACCAGGCAAGTGTGTCGGGGCTGGGGTGTGAATGCCAGCCTGTGAGTCCCGGAACTATGTGGGTACCCCTACCCCTCACAGAAGCCAAGGGCATGGAGGAGGTCCCTCCACAGTGACAACGGTGTGGGGTAGGGGAGGTGCATTCAGGACACCACCCAGGGACAGTGCCTATGTGATCACCTCTTAAAGGCTAAGCTTAGGGGCATTTCCCAAAGTGGGGACAGAGGGCAGGACGCCCAGGCTGGGGGCTCTCCTCGCCCGCCCTGGTGTCTGACAGCCTCAAGGAAGGAGCAGTGCCTGTGTCAGCCATGGGGCCCTTGGAGCTGCCGCTGGTGCCTAGGGGGCCTGGGTTTCTGCCCAGGCAGCCAGTGGCTGTTGGGAGCCTCTGTTTCCCCTGTGCTGGGGGCCTTGAGTGCTATGCTAGCAGGGGCCTGGCCCCAAGTGTGAGTGATGAGCAATAAACGTACCGTCCCCCTCTGTTCTGAGTGATCCCTAGCAGCCAAGGCCACCCCCAGCTGCTGTCTAGGCCAGCCCTACCTGCGCTCTGCCCCTGGTCCCTGCTCCTCCCTGTCCTGGTTTGGCATGATAGGCGCTCCAGTCTCCAGGACAAAGGGGCAAATGTGTGGCCACCCCCATCTGGCTGCAGAAAAGGCCACTCCTTCCTGGGGTTGGGGTGGTCCAGGAGTGCTGGGCCTTCTTCCACAGTCCTGGGCTGGAATTCAGTGTGGCTGCCTGGGTTACTTGTATGCGCCCCTGAAGGAAGGGTCCACTCCAGGCCGCCTGGTCCCTGCGAAGTGTCACACTGTGGGTCACCGGGGGCTGTGGCTAATGTGGTCCGGGAGGCCTGTGTCCCTGAGAGTTGCTCAGCCCTGCTCCGAGGGCTTGTCCTCTCCTTCCAGGACCCAGCTTCCCTTCTAACCTTGTTACTCACCTGGGGCACAGAGGAGGGGCCCCCAGTCAGGTTCAACATGGAAGTGGGTGACCCTAATGCCAGGAGCTTTGGGGTCAGGCTGTCCCTGGGGTGTCATGAACTGGGTGACGCACACCCCTGAGATCTCAGTTCCCCCAAGCCTGCCCTGCCCCTCCTGGCCACAGCAAAGGCCTGCATGGTGTCTGATGGGTGGACACCGGGAGGTGTTTCTTTGAGGCGCAGCTCCATGGTTTATAGGACACATAGGCCTCAGGCACCGTAGGGTCCAGGTTGTGCCCATTTTCCAGCCGGGGCTGGTTGCCCTGGTGGCAGCCCTGGGTGAGTCACCAGGGTCCGCACATGGAGAGCGGGAGGTCCCAGCCCACCCTTAGTTGTCACATGGGACAGAGTTGCTGTGTCAATCCCCTCGGCCCTGCTGCTCTGCCCTGCACACAGGCCCCCATGATGACCTTGAGCCTCCAGGCATCCACCCCCACCGTATGGCCCTCTAGACCCAGCTGGGCCTCACCCCACTCCCTCAGCTTGGATCCTCACGTGGCCTGGAGCCAGCATTAAACTCCTGTATGTCCTTCAAGACCCCTTCAAATGTCCTTTTCTCAGCATGCTTCCCCAGACATCTAATGCCCAGGCGGGAGAGTCCTGCACACCATGTCCCGAAGGAGTCCCCATAGCAGAGGAGCAGAAGGCAAGCAGCGCCCCAGTTCTGTGATGGGGAGCCTGACTTTCAGAGGTAGAGCTGGGCCCATGGCCGTGAGTGACCGATGAGCAGGCCCGGATGGTCAGCGCGAGTCAGCAGCACGGGCTCATCATGGGGCACGGATTCACCAGAAACTCCCTGCCTGGCCCAGTGTGTACTCGCCTGTGGCCCTCAGATTTTCCCTGGCAATTCCTCCCCGCTCACCCTGCTGTCCTGCACTGAGACAGTGGCACATGACTCCCAGCTGCCCAAGCCCTGGAAGGTCCCAGACCCTGGCTCTGACTCAGCTGCTTGGAGGGTCCTAGTCCTGGGAACTGCCCTAGAGCCGAGATTAGAGTACCCCTCCCTCAGGAAGCCCCGGGGTGTCAGCTGCTCCTGGGCCTCACTCTGCCCCACCCATGCCTGCCTCAGGGCCCAGCCCCTCACCCAAGAGCCCCAGAGGCCTGGGCCCAACCTGGGCTTCACGGGTGGGGACCAGGGCAGGGTTTCTGGGTGGGTGGAGGGCAGCAGGCCGGTGGGGGCACACCCTGTCTAGTAGCATGTGATGAGGCAGGGTTGCCCCTGAGGGCCCAAGAGGCCCTCACCCCTGCAGCCTAGGTCTGGGGCTGTCCCCTCCACTCCCTCTTCTCTGCCTCCATTGCGGCTTTGCTCTCTCCACCCACCACCTCTGGGCCAGAAGATGGAGGATACGTGGGCTGCCAGGGGACCCGAGTCCCCCAACAGTCCACTGCACAGGTAGGGAAACTGAGGCACAGAGCTGCAACTCCGGAATCCTGGCCATAAGTGGTTCCCCAGTGCATGACCCTAGAGGGCAGAGAGTTTTCAGGCAGAGTCCTGGAAGGTTCCTCAGAAAAGGAGACACCTGTGCAGGTGGACATTGGAGAAGGGTGGGCAAGTCATGCAGGGGGGTGGGAGGTGCCCCAGAAGCAGTGGGTGGAGAGGGTGCACTTCCAGCCTCTGGGCTGGCAAGTGCCATTTCCAAAGCTGCTCTAAGCAGGGTGGGCACTGGACTCAGTGCCCCCACAGCCCCGGGGCTGTTGGGCTCGCACGCCAGCCTGGAGGGGCCTTGAGCGAGAGGGTCCCCAGAGAGGGGCCTGGCTCCTGATGCCCTCAGGAGGGAGTGAGCAACTGCCGGGCCTCGCGCCCTGTCCTCACCAGCCACAGAGGGTGGGCGCTGTCATCAGTATGCATGGGTTGAGTGCCTCCCACGTGCCAGCCCCTGCCCATTCAGGACGCCCAGGCCTGCCCTTCGGGGCTCCCAGGAGCCAGACCCAGATCTGGGCACACAGTGCAGAGTGAGCTGTGGCTGCGGGAGCGGTGGTGGCCTGGACCCTGTGTGGCAGGTGTGGGTCGGTGTGGAGTGGGGGAGTGGACGGGCCTTTCTGTCTCAGGAGCTCTGCGCACTGCCCACTCCTGGACACTGGAACTTAGCCTCGAGAGAAGTCGCTTCCCGAGGTGGCCAGCGGGTTGGCAGCAGACAGGCTGGGTGCCAGGTGTGTGCACCCCGGAGCCAGCGGGTTGGGCCCTGCCCCCGGTGGGTCATCAGTGAACAAGGAGGGGCACAGTGGGACCAGCCTGCTGCCCTGCCCCAGCAGTGGCCTTGCCAGCCCATGGGCCCTCCCCACGCGGAGCCTCTGTGCCCAGGGGAGCCTGTGTGGCCCAGCCCGGTAGCCAGGACGAGGGCGTTTCAAAGTCAGGCCGCCTCCAAAGCAGTGGCGTTGGTGGGAGGGAATAACTTGCTCCCACCAGGCTGAGAATAGCTCAGAATTGGGTCACGCTCACCGAGATCTCCGGTCACAGCCTCCAGCCTTTGACAATAATCAGCTTTCTCCCCGACATCTGTCCCTTCAAAGAGGGGGCAGGCCAGTGCAGGCACTTCTAGAAGCAGCAAAGCAGAGGGGACGGGAGTGGGGAGGGGCGTCCTCACCTCCTGGCCCCCCATGGCAGGCCCCCTCCCTCCCATGCTCCCACCCCATGCTCCCTTCCGTGCCTCAGGTCCCACCAGCTTCCCGCGCAGGGCCAGGTAGGGGAGCAAAGCACGGCAGTGCCCCCTGACAGATGAGGACACCAGCTAGGGGCTGCGGGGAGGGTGGCGCCTGTGCCTGGCCCTCTGGTGCTCTGCCACCCATGCCCCTCAGCTCCTGAGACTTAGGGGCCTGCATGCCACTGCCCCAAGCCGCCCTCCTCTCGCCCCTCCCGGTCTGTCCTGGGCTCTTCTAACGTGGTTGAAGGGCATGGGTCAGAGCAGGCCGTCCTGCTCCGCCAGGCTTTTGGGGGCTTGTTTCCCCCAGCCCAGGACTTCACCCCGTGTCTTGTTTCCTATCCATTTTCCCGTGTCGGGCCCTCCTCATCCCAGAGCAGCCTTGAGAGGGCTGAGGTGGGTGGTGTCACAGGCCCTCAGAGCCTGCATCTGTGCTGTCACCTGCGTATGCTGCCACCAGGTGGGTGCTGAAGCCATCCTCGTAGCAGCATAGTAGGTGCCTCCTGCACAGAGAGATAGATATGCCTACCACATGCCAGGCACGCTGATTTTGGTTCTTTAATCTTTTTTTTGGAGACCGTCTTGCTTTGTCGCCCGGGCTGGAGTGCAGTAGCGCGATCTCGGCTCACTGCAAGCTCCGCCTCACGGGTTCACGCCATTCTCCTGCCTCAGCCTCCCGAGTAGCTGGGACTACAGGTATCCGCCACCTCGCCTGGCTAATTTTTTTTTTTTTTTTTTTTTTTTGTATTTTTAGTAGAGACAGGGTTTCACCGTGTTAGCCAGGATGGTCTTGATCTCCTGACCTCAAGATCCACCCACCTCGGCCTCCCAAAGTGCTGGGATTACAGGCGTGAGCCACCGCGCCCGGCTGGTTCTTTAATCTTTAAAAACCCACAAGGCAGTTCCCGTGTTCTAGGTGACGACACCATTGCTAAACTTTAGCCACAGGTATGTTCCTGAAGTGCCCGTGACACTAAGCATCTCAAGATGTGGCCCCTGGACCGGCTGGTCAGCGTCGTCCCCACCCCACCCCTGCTGAGCCGAAACTCCAAGGCAGGGCCCAGGGGGCCCCCTTTCCCCAAGCCTCCAGGTGCTCTGGTACTCAAATTTGAGAATCACTGCTGGAAGACCCGGGAGTCTCGCAAACATTTCTTTTTATTTCTTAAATAAAAACCCCCGTTATTAACTGAAGCGGCAGCTCTCTGGCAGCTTCCTGCAAGCAGCTGGTTGATCCTCTGAGGCTGCACTGTCAGTTGCAGCTCAGTTTCACCCGGTGTGGCTGGACTGTCTGCTTCTGAGCCCCAGACCCTGTCGCTCCCTGCTGCTCCCCTGTGAATGCCCTCGTGCTCCCAGAGAGAAACTGAGGCAGCAACAGCAGGTAGCTGTGCGCAGACCCCGCTGGGCCCCAGTTTGAATAAACCAAATGTCTTTTACAAAATAGGACAGTTGGGAAGCTTGAAGCTTGAGTGGCCGTTTTGTGAGTTTAAGGAGTGGCCACATTTGCGAGCATGCTGACAAAGTGCTGGGGAATGACAGGGTGGCTGAGATCCAACTCTGAA
Source organism: Homo sapiens (assembly GCF_000001405.40). NCBI lineage: Eukaryota > Metazoa > Chordata > Mammalia > Primates > Hominidae > Homo > Homo sapiens. Next base: position 103,540,737 of record NC_000014.9, read on the forward strand.
TAACAGGGTTGGGGAGGAAGGGGAGTAGACCTCAAACCAGGCTGGCCACAGACTCCTGGGAGCTGCGTACAGGATTCTTCACACGATTCTGCTGGTGCATTTCTTTGACAATTTCCAAAAGTTTTTATTTTTGAAAAAAGGAGACTGGGTGTGGTGGCTCATGCCTGAGGCCAAGATGGGAGGATCGCTTGAGCCCAGCCTGGGCAACACAGGGAAACCCTGTCTCTACAAATGATTAAAAAATAAAAAAAGGAGAGATGCCCCAGGCCAGTGGCCAGCACTGGTAGCTGGCAGGACCCAGCCTGTCACCCAGGGTGCTGGCATGGCACATGTAGGCTGAATGCAGTCCGGGGCCTGGCCCCTGCCTGGAAGCCCTGGGCCTGCAGAGACACGGGCCCTGCAGAGGAATGCTGGGCCAGCTGTGGGCGGGGGGCTGGCCATGGATGGGGTGGGGACAGTGGGGGCGACAGGCACAATAGACATTCTGGGTGCCAGGCAACGGGGAAGCAGACGCTTCTTGGCGGGGAAACCCTGAGGGGCCCAGGCCACACCTGTCCCTCAGCAATGTGGCGTGCACCCCCACCCTCAGGCCATTGAGGCTCACTGGCTGCCTGGCCCCTCAGGGTGAAGGGCAGCCACCCTCCTGGTGGGGCTTCAACACTCCCTGATGCCAGCCCCCACCCAACTGAGGACCTGGTCGGAGGGTGCCTCGATGGCTCCTGCAGCCCCGAGCTCTGGCCTGCTCACCTCTTCGTGGCCTCTGTCTCGGGGCCGCCGGCACTCCCCGCCTCTCCTGCCTCTGACTGTGCCTGCCTGGCTGGTGCCCCCAGGTGTAGGCAGGCCCTCATGGGGTTCAGAACAGGGCTTGGAGTTCTGGTGGAGCCTCCATCCCCTGCCACCCCTCTCCTGGCCCCAGACTCAGTAGCCCCCAGCCCTGCCAGCCAGGCTCTGCCAGAGCCACAGGGCCCCTGTGGCTGTCCCTGTCCAGTGGCTCCCTTCAGGCTCCACATCCTCCCCCTCCGTGGATGGCCCTGCTAAGGAGCTCTGGGCCCAGCTGGTGGCCAGGAGGAGGGAGGCTAGGAGGTCGCCGTGCCCGGTGGCCTTCCCCACCTCACAGACGGTTCTTGAGCTTCTGGGCACAGCGGCCAGCCCTCGCCCTCCCCCAACACACGCCCTCCGTCCCTCTGCCTCAGCCCCTGCCTCTTGCCCCAGCCCTGAGGGTAGAGGTCGGACCCCAGCTGCTGTCTGCAGTGGCACCCAGGGTCCCGGCTAAAGCACACATTCCGTGTGGGCCAAGAGTGTACACAGTTCCTTTCCGTCCTGGGTGAGCCAGGCGTACAGTAGGCGCTCCGTGAACACACAGTGGAACCCGCCGGGCAGTGCCGCCACCCTCCGGTGGTCTCAGCCCCCGCTGCTCTGTTTGCATGGCTTTTGCCACTCTGGTCTCTGCCACCCGTTCCTCGCTGGCCTCACTGGGCCCTTTGCCCCACACCAGGAGGTATCCAGTGCCCTCCATGGGGAGGGACGCCTCCTTTGTGCTCTGCCTGGGGAAGGCAGGGAGGCTGGGGCAGGGGCGGGTCCCAGCCCTACCACCCTGGGCGGGGCTTTGGCCAAAGGCCTTGCCCTCTCTGAGCCTCAGTCCCCTGCCCGTCCCAGGGGTACCCTCAGGAGCTCCCGAACTGGGCTCGTGGGAGTCTCCTTGAGGCTGGCATTGGAAGTGCCCAGGAGTGCCCCAGGCCTGCCAGCCCCTCATTCCACCGCGTGCACGGCAGGGAGGCATGGTTTTAGCAGCTGGTCCACACGTCTGGATGGTTGCCCCAGAGCCCCCATCACCAGGGTCACACTGCCCAGGCAGCTCCTAACACCTCAGGTTCCTCACCCCTTCCTGCAGCTGCCGTCCCCACCCCCAGAAGCCTGCCTGCCTCTCCTGGGGACCCGGGCGGACAGCTGGACACAGCCCCTCCCCCTCTGGAGGGGCTGCCCCTCAACAGGTGTTGCCACTTGATCAGGAGCAAAGTCAGGGTTGGGGTTGCTCCTGCTGCTCCCCCGCTCTGTGCCCCGCCTGGGATGGAAGCCCAGGCTCCTCCAAGGCTGAGCTGGGGCCCCTCAGCGTCTCTCCTGGGGACAAAGAGGCAGCTGCCAGCAGGGCGGGGCAGGGAGGGCGGCCTTTGTGTGCGCCAGGCCCCTCCTGGTGACCTCACCACCGGCCGGAGAAGGGCCCTTTCTTCCCAAAGGCAGCCGTTGGGAATCCGCCTGGGGACAAAGCCGCTGCCAGGCAGGGGACCAGCGAGTGGCTGGCTCCCCTCGTAGCATAAATTAGGGGGGGCCGAGGTGGGGGAGGGGACGGCAACTACTCTGACCCTGGGAGAGGGTCACTTGGTGCAAACAGATAACCAAGCCCCCAACTTACACATGGGGTGCATGGGGCCGCCCCTTCAAGCTTCATTCGTTCATTCAGCCCATTCCTTCATTCTGCAGATGGCTGCTGGGCGCTGGCCCAGGCAGGCCCTGTGAGGGCCCTGGGGACACAGAGGGGATGCATCTGATGGGTGAGGGAGCAGTGGGTGAGGGGCGGGGGTGCCCAGTCTGGAGGGGGAACTAGGACAGACGAGTCAGAGCTGCCCAGAAGCCCCAGGGCCTGGGTTGGGGCAGGCGGGAAGATCCCTGCTGAGCATGGTCACCTAGCAGGTCACCCAGCAGGGCAGCGGCCACAGCCGCCAAGCCCAAGTGCACGCAGCAGGCCACCCCAGGCCTCCAGGAGAGCTCAGGAAAATATCTGATTTTCAATGCGTGGTGTTGAGTGACACCCACCCCCCATGTGTGGCCAAGGGCTTCCCGTCCCCAGGGTCCAGGTGACCCACAAAGCGTCCTCACAGCCTTGTTGGCCCTCGGCCTGGCTTCCTGGCCCCCCGCAGGACACTGTTCCCCCCCCACCACCTCCCTGTACCCTGTCTTGAGGCCTAGGGCCTAGTGGCCCAGGGTGGCCAATGCAGAGAGCAGTGTGGCCAGCACAGAGAGACAGGTGGCCTGAGAGTCCCACAGATGTCCACTGCTACTCAGGCCCAGCTCCCAAGGCCTGTTCCTCTGCCTCCCAGGCACTGGGCACGTGCTCCATCCCCAAGGCGCTGAGCACATCAGGCCAGACCACGTGGGCTTCCTGCAGGAGGAGGCAGCAGGCCCAGGTCAGGCTGGGTCCGGGAGGCAGGCACGGGGTGTGCTGGTCAGCAGGGCTCACTGCCAGGCCCAGAGGTGTCCTGGCCATGCGGATGACAGAAGGCCAAGTGCGTAGGGCAGAGGGTGTGAAGGGCCTCGTCCTGTGAGCAGGGCATGCGAGCAGCTCCTGGCCTGACCTCCAGCCCCGACACCTGAGGCCTGAGCTTGCCTTGCAGTCATCAGCAGAGCCAAGACTCCCAGATTTCCGGGGCTGGGAAACCGTCAATGCCTTACAGAGCCACTAGGTCCACAGCTGCCCAGGGCGGGGGGCACCTGCTGGGTGCTGGACCTCCCTGCACCCCGTCTTTACCTCCGTGTGTGGATGGGCAGGAGTGTCTGCAGGCCTGGCCCAGGCCAGGAGGAGGCCTGAGGCTTCTGGGGCACCGAGCGACCACAGGCCGGGGTGCGTGGCTCCCCCAGGAGCTCCAGAGGCCCTATGCCCCCTCCCCCAGGAGCCCCAGAGGCCCTATGCCCCCTCCCCTGCAGCGAAGCGAGATGGGCGGGGGCGGGTGTAAGTAGGACAGCGCTTTGTGCGCGTTGCTATGGCGCCGCCGCCGCCCGTGCAGGCTTCCTCTGGGCGCGTTCCCAGGACGCAGAGCCTGCCAGTTGGCCCTCCCAGCCCCTGGCAGGGCCCCATCCCAGTCGGGGGGCCTCAGAGCTTTCTCCACCCACAGGCTGCTGGGGGGCAGACTAATTGTCCCACTTCGTTACACCCTCAAACCCGCAGCACACATGTGCTCACAGCCACGCAGCACACACGTGCTCACAGCCACGCAGCACACACACACACACAGGAATGTGCACATGCTCACACATACATGTACACATGCCACACACATGCATACACCCCACAGCCACAGGCAGGCGCTCAGTCCTTAGCGTGCCCTGGGGCTGCAGCCTCCAGGTTCACACCCAGGCCCCAGGGGCCCCAGGCCAGTGCGCGGCCTCCGAGCAGAGCACACGTGGTGGTGGGCATGAACGTGCAAGGCCAGGGGCTGCCCCATCTCAGCCACCTGCTGAGACTGAGAGGTCATTGCTGACCTTGAGGAGGAGGCTGGGGGCCTAGAATTCAGAGGACAAGCCAACCTGAACCCTACTCCCCACCGCTGGGCCTGTGGGACAGACTCAAGGCCCTGTGCTGGGAGGACTGGGACTTCTGATGCCGGCGAGCTGAGGCTGGGCCCTTCCTGCTGGGCCAGCGCCTCGCCGGCCACTGGATACCAAGCGCCCCATTGGATGCTCACAGCCCCACAGTGGGGTGAGCACCACCAGCCCTACACGCAGGACAAAGTGGCCTAGAGATGGCACGGAGGGGGCCGGGCAGCGACGCTTTGCCGGGGTGTGGCAGGAGGGTATCTGTCTCTTGAGGCACAAGAGGCCTTGGGTGGCCCAGCCTGGCTCCTGTTGTCAGCTGATGTCACAGGGTGGAGAACCTGGGTGTCCGGGGAGACAGATGGCCCCGGGTTCCCTGGCTGCCCTGAAACCTGCTGATGACGACCCCACCAAGGGGCGGGACGGCTTCCTTGCACTTGGCGTCCTGGAGAGGTGACGGGCTATAGGCTGCAGGGTGGGAATGCAGGGAACACCCAGGCCCTCTCTGAAGACCACAGCTGGGCCCTCTGACCCATGCCTCAGCCTCCAGCCCAATGGCACAGAGCTGGCCGAGGTCCTTGCCCCACGCGTGCCGCCACCGGCTCCTGAGGGGCCGGTGGACAGGGACCCGGCGGTCCCTTTACCAACAGGAGGCCCATGGCTCTTGGCACTGCCGCAGAGGCTGTGGCTTCCTCAGGAGCACATCTGTCCTTTGGGGTAAACGCTGCTGCCTCTTAGAATCTGAGGCCCCTGGGACAGGCTGGAGCTGAGGCTGACAGGCAGGGCCCTCGTCACAAAGCCGCTGAGTCCCCCCGAAGCCCTCCTGAGCGCGGCGCTGTATGAGAGGTACCCAGAGGTGCTCTCAGAAGGCAGGGCTGGGTTTGGGGCAGGGCAGGAGTGGGTACCGAGAGGCCCCAAACAGCTTCCTGAGGGAGAGGGGGCTTCACAGAGGCAGCTGCCTCAGTGACCCTGTGGCAGGTGTGTCTGCTGGCACCGAGGTCTTTTAGGGCAATGAAGGAGAAAGGGCAAGACAGGGAGAACTCGGGGGCATAAAGGCCAGGGCGCGGGGGCCTGGCTTGTTCCTGCAGCTGCAGCGACATGCGCCAAGGCTCGCTGTGGGCAGAGGTCTCCGCCACCAAGAAGCGAGGCTGGAGGGCAGGCACTGATTCTCCATCACCACACCCAGAGCCCCCACTGGGACCAGCGAAGCACAAGGCAGCCAGTGCCACAGCCCCACACCCCGCCCGCCAGCTGCCCTGTGTGGTGTGGAGGCGGCTCCGGGGGCGGCTGTTCACAGCAGTGACCCCCGCCTGCTGCACGGCCACTTGAGCTGTCCTGGCTGCTGCCAACGCCACTGTGAAGTATGGTGACCCCATTGGCCAGGGATGGGGTCAGCACCCACGGACGTGGTCGGGGAGGTCACCAAAGCCTTCTTGCCGGAAGTGGCATTTGGCTTGGGGTGTGGAAGAGGAGCACAAATTACCCAGGAGGGCCGGGCCAGGGTCCAAGGAAGGGCCACCTGTGCAGAGACGCAGGGCTGATGGCACAGGCCTTGCCCACAGGCCCTGCCACGGGGAAGGACAAGCCCCTGCCAGCCGGCTGTGAGCCACCACCATCCTGATGACAGACCCACACCGGCAGGCAGGGCAGGCTGCCTGTGGCAGAGTTAGGGGGGTTGGGGGGCGTAGGTTAGAGACTGCCAGATCTGCTGGGGATCCGTACCAACCCATGATGGTAGCAGGTGGTCACTGGATGCCCCGCGCAAGCGCCATCCACCCCCAGAACAGAAGCGCAGCTCAGGCGATGCCATGGCCACCTGTCCACCATTGGCCAGGGCAGGTGCACCTGGCGTGGCCCAGGCAGGACCACTTCTGGTGTTCTGGGCTCGGCAAAACCTGGCCTTGGGCGCCACCTGGTGACCAGACATGGGAGAACCAAGCAGGCAAGTGGGGGCCTGGAGGGGCAGGTGCGTGGCGTTTGGGGGACCTCCAAGGTCAGGGAGCCACGTGCTGTGCAGGTGAGCCACCCTGCAGGCCAGGGGCTGTGTGGAGGGCGGCAGGTAGCAGGGTCTGTCTGGAGTCCTCCCTCCACCCAGCCTGGCCAGTGCGGATGCTGAGCTGTGTGGGGCCCATGTGCACTGGGACTGGTTGAGGGAACAGGCCAGCCATGGTCCCCACTGCAGCAGGGACAGGCCTCGCACGTTCAGCTAGAGGCACCCCCTGGGGCGGGCTATCGGGTCTGCCCTGGCACAGACCTACTGCCGGTGTGGGGTCCATGGCAGTCACTGGGCCAGACTTGGTGGGCTGCTGTGGGGCAGGCCTTGGGGGGCTCCCCAAAGAGAACCCAACCCAGGGGAAGCCTGGGACTGGTGCTGTGCTCTCTGTGGGAGCCACTGATCTCCAGGATGCAGTCCTGCCCCTGTAGGGGCCCGCTGCCCCAAGGCTCTGTGGGATCTGGCCCTGCAGACTCTCACCTGCCTGCCAGGCTCCAACCTGGGGGTCCTTGCTCCAGCCGTCCAGCCTGCACACTCTTCCCCAGGCCCCCATGGCCTGCTCCACAGGACCACCTGCATAGCCACATTGGTGCTGGGATGCCTGCTTTTCCTTTCAGGGGCTGGGTCAGGATTAAGGGCTGGAAGATGCCCTTTCCGGGGAGATGAAACCAGGATGCAAGAGGAAGGGGCACACACGCCCAGGAGCCCCAGGCTGCCAAGAGCACCCTGGGCCTGCTGTGGCCATCTGCAGGCAATGCCCAGACCAGACCACAGCTCAAGAAGGCAGCTGGGCGCCTCGCTGCCCCACGCCTGCACCCTGACATCCCCAGCACGTTTTTTAATTTTTTTTTTCCATTTTTTATTTTTTGCGTGTGATAGTCTTGCTCTGTCGCCCGGGCTGGAGTGCAGTGGCACGATCTCGGCTCACTGCAACCTCTGCCTCCTGAGTTCAAGCAATTCTCATGCTTCAGCCTCCCGAGCAGCTGGGACTACAGGCGCCCGCCACCACGCCCAGCTAATTTTTGTACCCCAGCACCTTTAATAAGCAGCTATCGGCGAGGCCCAGTGGGTTCTGCTGCCCATGCTTCTGTGACCCCGCCCCCATGGCTCACCCCTCCTCCTGCCAGCCAGGCCAGAACCCTGGGTGCCCGCATCCCCTGGTGCCGTCCTCACTGCCCCCAAATCCTTTCCCACCCCCCTCCCCCAACCCCACTGCTGCCCCCAGGGGCACTCAGCAAAGCCTCCAAACCTCCCTTGGCTTGTGGGGCCCAGGAAGCCCTGGCAGTCCTGGCGCTGTCCCCTACCCGCTGCCTGAAGTTCTTCCAGGGCCTCCAGTGTGCCCGGCCCTGGCTCTGGGCTCTGCTTTTGAAAAGTCTTCATTTTCCTTTACATCCCCACGTGCAGAGAAATGCCGGCTGCGCCCGAGGAGCAGAGTTGGAGGGGCCCCCGGGAGAATCTGAACATCCCAGTTTCCTGATCTCTTTCTGGGTCTCACTTTCATCTCTGGCCATCAGCAAGGGCATGCCCCTCCACCCGAAGGCCCTGCCTCTGTGCCAGGCTCCAGGTAAAGGGTACACCCAGCGGGGCCCTGACTCCCCCAACATGGGTGATCCTGGTGGCACACGCACAGAGCTCATGTACACCCAGCCACGCCTGAGGGTGCCGGTTCCTGCTGACCCCCCGTGCCCCACAAGACAGGTGCCCACAGAGCTTTGCAGCATGTTCCCCGACTCAGGAGGCAAAACCGTCCCCCTGGGCTCTGCTCCTGCTGCCCCCGGGGCCCACGCCACCTGCAGAGTGCACCCACAGGTGTCAGCGTGTTGAGCCAGGTGCTGCTCTAGGTACTGGGGATACAAGCAGGAACGGAACAAGTTTGGCGTCTTCAGGGTCTCAGGTGGCGGGGCCCCTGGCATCGTGCTAAGCCCTCTGAGGACGATGAGGCAGGGTGGGGCAGAGCGCAGGCACTGTGGTTGGAGACTGACTGCAGCTGACATCTGGCACGTGGTGCCCGCTGGGGTCCACGTGGCCCACTGGGCTCTCTGGCTTCTCTGAAGCCAGGCGTGGCTGCTGGTGGTCAGAGGATGGCTTGGTCATGCCAGAGCTGGGACACAGCACAGAAGCCAGTCCTTCCTGTGGGAATGGCCATCAGGTGGCCTGGCCATGAGGCTGTTTCTGCCCGTGACCCAGCACCAGACAGCGGCCGTTCCACTCTCACCCTCTCTGGGTGACTGGTACACCCAGAGACAGCAGAAGGGAGAGGGACCTCAAGGAACCCGGCTGGCCCTCCGCATCCATTTCTGTCCCTGTGAGCAGAGCCCTGGTGCCTCTCTAGGCCCAGCCTGCCCAACCTGGGAAGGGCTGGCCTGGGACCCAGAGGCGGGAAGATGGCTCTGTCCTGGCTCCCAGCCACACTGAGCCTCGGGCACCATGCCCTTCTGTCAGCCTGCAGATGCTTGCTGGGCACCCTCCCTGCCCCAGGCCTGGCAGGAAAATGAGGTGACAGAGGCGGCCCTGGGGAGCTCCTTCTGCTCACCTGGCCACCCCTCACCTAGGCCAGAGCCAGATCCCGGCCCCGCCTGACCTTGCCCCGCAGCGGCCTCTGCAGGCGCAGGGCCTCCGAGCTGCCAGGACACGGCTTCTGGTCTTCTTCCTCCCTCCTGGTCCACGCAGCAGTCCTGGGTGCCCCACCCCACACGGCTATGGCCCTCTGTGGGTCTGCCCTTCCCAGCCCTCACCAGTCTGTGAAAGCACTGGGGATGCGGCGAGTTCACGTGCCCGTGGGGAAGGGGCCAGGAAAGACACCAAAGTGGTAAACCGCAGGAACATGAAGCTGTGAGGGCTGGTGACGCCGGGCGGGAAGCCAGGTGGGGAGGCAGGCTGGTGCGTGGCCTGACCCCACCTCGCAGCCGGGAAACTGAGGCACACAGAGATGTCTTGCACATGTCAGGGCCCCAGGTAGGTGGTGGCAGGAGTCTGGGACCTTGGGTGGGCCTCACCAGTCACACAGCCTTGGCTGACCTGTCTGTCCTCCCATCCAGCCAGAGGGACACAAAGACCTCTTTGTCTCTCCACCCTTCCGCCCAGAGCCTCCCCAGCCAGTGCAGCTCTGAGCGTGTCCCCCAGGGAGGGAGACAGCCCCTGGTGGGGACTGGCAGTCCTGGCAGCTGCCCTGAGGCACAGGCCCTGGGGGACTCGGTGCTTTGAGGGCAGGGGCAGGTGATGGAGATCGGCTGGGGAAAGGGAGGCCGAGAAGGCGGCAGTGTGGAGCGTGTGAATTTGTTCATGAACTTAGCTACAAAAATGTCTTTTCCAGTGTCACAGCTCTTCTAGAATTTGACTAGCAGGTTTTCCGATTTTTACTGGAAAGCCCTTTAAATAAAGAAAGAAAAAGAAAAAAAAACGTCTTCCTCAATCAAATCCGAGGTGGTTCCTTCCCCCACCAGGCTGGCTGGGTGGGGAGAGAAGGCTTGAAGCCCAGGCTCCTAGGGAGAGGCTCTGCTCCCCACCCCAGGGCTGGGCTGGGACACCGGCCCTTCCTGGCAGGGGTGTCCTACTCCACAGAGGAGCCTTGGGAGGTGGCCACCACTGGGCCACTGCCCCTCACCAGGCCCAGAGGCCCAGTTCTCAGCCTGAAAAGAAAACCTGCCCTGGGCCCCTCATGACCAGGGTGAGGCTTGTTGG